>NC_000010.11:33052823-33357106 GCF_000001405.40 Homo sapiens | reverse complement strand
CACCAGGTCCCTCCCACAACACGTGGAAATTATGGGAGCTACAATTCAAGATGAGATTTGGGTGGGGACATAGCCAAACCGTATCAGGCTCCTAGGAAAATGCCCAGGGCACAAAGATGTGTAACTACACCATTTGAGCAGACCTCATTTATGTATCTCACTCTTATTCACTGAGTTAAAAACTCCTTGATTGTGAAAACGATGTTTTATTAATTTTGATATCCCCTAGCCTAGCGTACATCTAGGCATTTAATAATATTACTTCTAACTTTAATTGGCTCATGAAAAATATTATTTATGTATTCAACAAATACTTGTTGGATGTGCCATGATGAATGAGACAGATGCAATCCCAGAGCTCATAAGAGTAATGACAATCATGATGATTTATTGAGTGTTTATTATCTGCCAGGCACTATATTAGATGCTTTATGTTTATTAACTCATTTAAACCTCAAAACAAATCTACATGGTGGGTACCATAATTACCTTAATTTTACATCAAGAAAGCCTAAATAAGGTCATACAGCTATGTAAGAAAAAGGAATTAGGGTTTAGAACCTGGGCAATCTGGCCCCAGCGCCATTTACCATGACATTATAGCTGATGAAACATTCTAGCGAGGAAGATGGCATTAAAGGTGAATGAATTAAATACCATCCTGATATGTACTGTGAATGAGCAGTACAGGATGCTATGATGTTATGTGGCAGAAGGGGAAAATCCAGATGTTTTGAGGTGGTCAGGATGGGTTTTCTTGAGAAAATGATTCCTTAGCTCAGACTTGAAGGATGGGCATGAGTTAAGAAGACAAAAGGGAGCAGGTAAAGTGGTATTACCAGTCAAGGAAAAAGCATGTGCTTCGTTGAAATGGGCTGTGAATCATGTAAGGAACTGAACGAATGCTTACATATTCTGGTGCAGCTAAAGAGAAACGTCAGAGCCAGCCCATTCAGAGAATTAGACTCCTGTTAAGGATTCAAAAATTAACCCTCGGCCAGGTGCAGTGGCTCATGCCTGTAATCCCAGTACTTTGGGAGGCCAAGGCGGGTGGATCACGAGGTCAAGAAATCGAGACCATCCTGGCTAACATGGTGAAACCTGTCTCTACTAAAAATACAAAAATTAGCTGGGCTTGGTGGCACACGCCTGTAGAGCCAGCTACTCGGGAGGCTGAAGCAGAAGAATCACTTGACCCCAGGAGCAGGAGGCTGCAGTGAGCCAAGGTCACGCCACTGCACTCCAGCCTGGCGACAGAGTGAGACTCCGTCTCAGAAAATAAAAATAAAAATAAAAATTCACCTTAAGAGCAATGAGAAGTCACAGCAGTCATCTAAGTAAGGCAGCTGTGTTACCAAGTGTCAGGTTAGAAGGGAATAAGTACAAATGTGGGGAGATGGCTGAGGGGCTACTACTACTACAGTCCAGACAAGTGAGGAAGGTGGCTTCTATTAGGGTGTTGGCAGTAGGAAAAGAGAGGAATGGAGAAAAATAAAACTTGTTGACTAACTGAGTGAGCACTGAGGGAGAAGTGCCAACAAGAACTCTAATTGCTGTCACACAGAGGGATGTGACAGAGAGTGACTGCAGGGGTGACTTAATTTGAAACTTGAGTGCCAAAGGGGAATGAGTCTTGTAGAGATCTACGAGGGGGGAGGTAAGAGGAAGTTCCAAAGCCCTGAAGTGGCAATGCGCTTGGCTGGTATAAAGAAGAGGAAGAAGGCAGCATGGCTGGGAGGTAGTGGGAGAGAGGATGCCAAGGAGGGCAGGAAAGGGAGATGGGGAGATGGGGTTTGGATCATGAGAGCCCTGTGAGCCAACACAAAGAGTTCAAAATTATCCTAAGTTAAATGGGACATAGAAATACATGTGCAAGATTAAATACAGTATTTGTTGTTATGTAGAGTCAATTATAAAAAATCAAGAGAGTACAGAAGAAGACGTGCAGGAAGGTACCATAACAGTTCAGGTGGGAGATACTGGTGGCTTAAACTAGGAAAACAGAGAGAAAGGAATAAACTCAGGGTGTATTTTACACGTGGCAAAGGTGAGACCTGTTGCTGGATTACATGTGGCAGTTAAGGGAAGGAGGGAGTTAGATTCTGCCTTGAGTGACTTGATGGCTGTGCTCACTAAGATGGACGGTACTAGAGGGGGAACAGTTTAGGTGGTGAGTGTCAAGAGTTCTGTGTTTGGCGTGCTAAGTTTGAAGTGCCTACTAGTCTTTCAAGTGGAGAGTTACACTGGCAATTAGATAGATGAATCCACACTGGCAATTAGATATATGAATCCCGAGCTCAAGCCCAAGGCTGGGGGTGTACTTTTGGAACCTTACTTAAAAAGCCATGGAAAAGAATAAGATCACCTAGTGAAATAAGGAGTAGAAAGGGGTATAGCACTGAGCTTTGGGATACCCCAGCTAATAGAGGTTGGACAGGCAGCAAACGATGTGAGAAGAAGGTCAGGAAGAAAAAACATCAGGAGATTGTGTTGTCACAGAAGCCAAGAGAAGAAAATGGTTCTAAAAGACAGAGGTCAAATGCGGGACAAATGAAAGGCTTGGATGAGGCCAGAGAAGTGACCACTGCCAATGACCACCTGCAGGTCTCTGGGGACCTTAACAAGACTAACATCAGTGAAAAGATGGCAGTGATCACCTGATGGAACTGGGTAAGGAGAGAAAGTGGAGGGAGTGATGCTAACTTATGTCCTAAGTTGTATCGTGATAAAAACCAGAGAAGAGCACAAGAGCTGGAGGGGATACAGAGAATACTACAGCATGTTTATTTGTTTTAGAGACAGGGTCTCACTCTGTCACCCAGGCTGGAGTGCAGTGGAACCATCACAGCTCACGGCAGCCTTGAACTCCTGGGCTCAAGAAATCCTTTCTCCTCAGCCTTCTGTGTAGCTGAGACTACAGGTGTGCACCACTATGCCCAGCTAACGTTGTTTTATTTTGTTTTTAAAGATGAGCTATGTTGCCCAGGCTGGTCGCAAACTCCAGGCCTCCGGGAATCCTCCTGCCTCAGCCTTCTGAAGTGCTGAAATTACAGGTATGACTCACTGCACCTGGCCACTACTGCTTATTGGGTGCAGATAAAAAGGAGTCAGTGAATAAACTGATGATGTGGGAAGGAAAGAGAGAGAGAGAAAGAATAAATGTAGGACTGAAGTTCTTGAGAAAGGCAGAGGAGGTGCCAAAAGTGGAGGGGCTGGCTTAGCTAGGACCAGGGATATTTTGTCTATCAAAATAGGAGAGAAGGAATACTATATGGGTACAGATGCAATTAAGTTGGTTGATTTGGTGAAAGAAAGAGTAGTTAATTCATTTTCACTTTCTGCTTATATTTTTTCAATGACGTATGAGTTGAAAAAGCGGGGCAAGATAGAACAGTCAATAGAGACGTTTGAAAAGGTCATAAGAAGGTGTGACATTGTCACATAAGCATGCAACAACCTGGGAAATAAAGTAGGGCTGCACTACAACAGTGTCCAGTTCAGTTGTGGTTATGAATTTAAATGAGACCAGTCAGCACAATTATGTGATTCTTCCCCCTAACAATGTTCAGCTGCTTCGGCGACAGCACGGAATAGACGGATCATTGGTGGAAACAGGGATGGAGATACGCCAGGAGTGTGCAATGAAGAATAAGAGGGGTAAGCAAATGAAAGAAGCGATTGTAATGATGGGTGGAGAATAAGGAGGGAAGAAAGTGTGGACAATCAAGATCTTTAGATTTGAGATCTTGATAATGTACAAGAATTGCTGCTGTGGCATACTAGAGTATATGATTGGGGGAATATGATAGGGTATAAAGAGAGAGGGATGTTGAAAACCAAGATTCTGATTTTGATTTTGCTGGATTTTTGTTTCTCTTGCATTATAGGTCATAATCAGTTATTCAAAATCCCTTTGACCAGGCACTTTCACCATTCAGAAATTTTCCAATGTCACAAAAAAATAGGATATGCATGCCCTATGTTACATAACCCCTGTGAGATTCAAGGCAGCATCCTCTAATCAAACACATGAATATTTCTGTAGCAACACCATGGATTTTCACACTAACTGGGATAAGGAAAGACTATTCACAGGCTTGCAATAAGTAAGGTCAAGTCATCTTGCCAAGGAAGTTTAGATCTGGTCAGGTTTGGTCTCCAAATGAGTGGTCAATAAATAAATAAATGCAGATGTCAGTTCTATTTGAATTTTTCAGTTCTATTTGAATTTTAAGATCGCAGATAAGAGATTGTGAGCACAATAACCCTCTGTGCCCTGAGGCATTTGATTTTTTAAATATTTCTCTTCTTTCTCCTAGGAGAGTTCACACATTTCCATAGGAAGAGAGCCACACCGCACAAACAACAGGTGTAATTCTAAGGTGCTGTTTCTCCGAATGCCACACATGTTTACCACTGCTCATCTCAAGGAATCAAAACCCAGTTTCAACTTTTATACAAAACCCATGAAAGACTTAACCTTCTATAAAAATATGTGAACAAAAGTAGACTCCCTTCTGGGAGGATTGGGAGGGATGGAGGAAATTATCCCAGAGAGTGCCGGCTCGGGAGTCGCTCTGAGGTCAGCCCCAATCCTTTGGTTTACATTTGTAGGGAGGATCCACCCAACAGCTGTGCTTTAGTCATCTTTAGAGATACTCTCTCCCACCCCCTACCCTAAAAAACACAGAGTTGAATGTGCTGAGAAGTATACATTATGCTGCATTGTGTGACTGTGTAATTACTGTCCTATACATGCTGGACCAGAGATTGACTGAAGACTGGAGAATTAAACAAAGTTGTGACTAATTCTGGATCAAATCCAATAGGCAGATGAATAGGGCAATCCTGATATTTTGCCAAAGCCAGGGCTGTAGATAACTGCAGTGGGCAGGAGGTAAGTGAAAGAATTAGTTGAGTGAAAGTTTTGATTAGGAGGTTGATGAGTCTGACACATTTGTTTAGAATGGTGTCTTAGGCTAGATTCTTTTATTAAAAAAAAAAAGCAAAACAACAACAAACTTTCTCTGTTCTTAAGTTTTAGCATTGTTTCCAAGGAATTAATGAAAGGTACTATACTTAAATTTTTTTAAAAAAATTTACCAATATGAATATTTTTTCCTTTAAGAGAATTTTTTCTAGCCTGAGATTCCTGAACCACCAGAGAGCCATAGAGTTTGCAATGGTGGTCCACTTAGAATTTAATTTTTCCAAAAGCTTAAGAGAACCATGTATTTGATTATGATAAGGCTAAGTAAGCTAATTAATATTGCAAGTATATCCCTGACAAAGTGCATTCCAGGTGGGAGAAAGAGAGTGAGCAAAGGTAGAAAGGTAGAAATCTGCAGATATCCAGAGAGTTCAGTCCAACTGGACAGAGCATCAAGGTAGAAGCAATGGGATTGAAGAACAGAAACGAATATCAAGGCTCTTAAGTGCCAGGCTGAAAAATTGGAATGTAGTTAGTTGGTTTGCAAAAACAATGCTCTTGAAGGGTTTTTGAATGAGAAAATGGCATTATCATATTTATACAGCTTTTTTCCATAGAAGTCAAACCACTTCATGTACTTCGGTGTCATTAAATATGTCTATGGCTTTAGGGTAACATCAAGTAAATTTGAGTCCTCATTCTAGTTTTCATTGACTTCCAAGACCTGGAATTTATAAATTAGACTCTGCCTGTGCCTCAAACTATCTGAACTTAATTTTACTCATATATAAGTGGGGATAATAATACTAATCTTATAAAGTCCCTGCAAAGATCAAATGAGAGAATTTATAAACCACATTGAGTAGGATATGGCACCAAATGGATGTTCATTAGAAATCAGTTCTCCTCCCAGACCCTCCATGTCTTCTAATAATTAGGATGATAACATCAGAAAGAAAATACACCCCCATGTGAACCTTTTCATTATTTCTTTTTTTAAAATTATTTCTTTATTCAGCTGAACAAATTTTATATGGCCACTTGCTAGGCCCTAGGATACAAAGATGAATAAGATAAAGCTCTTCTTCTAGAGTGTTCTACAGTCCCATAAAGGAAGCAGAAGCTACATCAATAACCAAAATGCCAACTGAGAAGGAGAATTAACAAAATGCTGGGGAGCAGAGAGAGGATAGGGGACAAATCCTGGCCAGGGGATCTAGGAAGTCTTCACAGAAGAGAAGATATTTCAGCTGGGCTTTGAAAAATGAGGAGGTTGGTGTGTAAGCAACTTAGAAGGATAAATGTGAGAGTTCCTAAAGCAAGAGTGTGGCCAGGGTAGGCTGGAACAGTAAGACTCCAGGAGGAATATCAGACCAGGTTATTAAGGAATATATTTATCCCACTATGAGTGGAACAAAAGCATGATACTGTACACACGTGTACACATGTGCATGCATGCACACACATGCACACCCATGCACACTATCCCAGCAAAGAATTAAACTGAATATCTGCCAAAGAAATTAATATGAAACACTAGGACTTCACCAATATCCATGGATTTGAGAAAGAACAACACACAGGACAGAATGACGGTAACATAGTCTTGGGTCAATTCAAGCATTTCACACAATTGGAAGCTAAAGTCCAGAACAAACTCAAGCTTCTGAAAAACACAATCAGTAAAATAGACTTAAGGCCTCCATTGTCTAACTCAGGTGGCCTCCTGAAACCTGAAAAATTTTCCTGAAACATTTTTGCAAGCTTGGGATGCAGTGTTAGTAGTATACTATTTAGAACATAATAATTGGCCCACTTTTTTTTACTATTCATACCATATTTGTAGTAAGGGTGGCATTAAAAACCAACAAGGAGGACCTAGTCAGTTATAAATCATATTCTGTGACCGTAGTGGAATAGTTCTATCATTAATCACACAGATGAAGAGGTTTTACCTTTAAAAAAAAAAGCGGGTAGCTGGAGCAGGGAAAACAGAACATTAAAAGTTGAGTCAAATATTTGTATGACAGTTGTACAAATACCATTTAATGTGATGTGGACTTACCCTCTATCAGGGGCTATTCTGAAAATTCAACACCTAACTCTCCCAACCCTATGAGGAAGATACTAGTATTTTTCCCCACTTTATGATACGAAATTGAAAGGCAAAAACATTAAGTAACTTGCCTGAGGCCACACTATTAATGATTGGTAAAGCCAAAATTTCTATCCAGGCTGACAATTTCTACGGTCATTTAACTTCTATAGACCTGTCATGCATTAAAGCCTTTAGAATTTAGAAGTGGATAGAATTTATTTGCAATTAAAATTTCCCAGTGATGAACTGATAGGATCAAATGGCAGGATGTCAAGAGTGCATATTTACAACAGTCAGAAAGTTAGGTCTTCAAGACCTGTTCCAAATTCAGAAGTTTTGATGGTGGTTTTTGTGTACATATAGGTATCTATTCTTTCCAAATGAAGTGCAAGATTCTTGGGGGTATGAATAATGTCTAATAGTTTTCCATATTCTTTTTTCCATACTGTTCCATGTACACAGTAAGCAAAAATACTTGTTGGCTGATTTTGAAATCCTTTCCACTGGCTAGCCTTTTAGAAGAGGGTTGATTATCCCTCTTCTGTGATACTGAGCATGAAGGCAACAGAACAGATTTGTGACTTCTAAAGCTCCCTTCCAGGGCTGTGATTTGGTAGGGGACAAAAATAGACAGGAAAAAGCACCAACATCCTTATGTCCTTCTGTGGCACAGTTGGAGAGTGCTATGCCAGAGTTTCTGATTTTAAAGGTTGTTTGAGAAAAAAAAAAAAGATAAAATGAAGTTCTGAGCAATTCTCAAAATCACTTATTGATCATGTCACCCAGCTCTTCTAAATTCCAACCTGCATATATAAGAAATATCAAATTGGTGTTGGGAAAAAGAGCTAGGTTTTCTGACGGTCTCAAGGATATATCAGCAATAACAGCAAGCAGTCTAAATAGTTCCAGACTTACGACATTCAAAGACAAGAGGACCAATCATCAAGATTTTACAAAACAATTGTCAGCAATAGAAACACATCAGAAAAATTACACTAGAATTGTGGCTAATATTTGTAAATATTTCTCTAGATTGTTACAAAGATTTTGAAATGATCATTTTGCCTCTAGACAGTGGCAATTTGATATTATAAATAGCACAATATAATAGTTTTGAAGCAAAAACTACAGGGGTCACTTTGCAATTGACCTTATACTTGGATGCATTATTGTTCTATTTTTTAAGGCTAAATGAAAGTGCAAAAATTATTATTGAGTCACGAAAGGAAAAGTGTAGGATATTGATAATAACCTTCCAAATCTACTCTTGACAATTTAAAAATAGCACATTGTACATAGCCATTTTCACCTAATAGCTAAAACATTAAAACATGATTTGAGAAACAACAGATGCATGCACTTGTTGCAATTATTTTGTAAAATCTTTAAGATTGGTCCTCTTGCCTTATCTTTGAATGTTGTAGTCTGCAAATATTTAGACAGCTTGCTGTTATCTCTAACGTATCCTTGAGGCCAACGGGAAGGCTAGCTCTTTATACCAAAACCACTTTGATATTTCTTTCTTTTTTTCGAGACGGAGTCTTGCTCTATTGCCAGGCTGGAGTGCAGTGGCGCGATCTTGGCTTACTGTAATCTCCGCCTCCCGGGTTCAAGCAATTCCCCTGCCTCAGCCTCCCAAGTAGCTGGGACTACATGTGTGCACCACCACGCTTGGCTAATTTTTTGTATTTTCAGTAAAGATGGGGTTTCACCATATCAGCCAGGATGGTCTCAATCTCCTGACCTTGTGATCCGCCCACCTCGGCAATTTGATATTTCTTATGCATCCAGATTGGAATTTAGGAGAACTGGTGACAAGATCAATAAGGTGCAAGCACATGGAGACTTTGAAAGCATCAAATAATGATACTCTAGTAGTGAAATATGGTTGGTTTTCAAGTCATAATTTTACCTTCATTAATAAGATGAGCTCCAACTCCCAAATAAGCTGTGTACAAATAAGAAGCAATTGCTGTCCACCTTTACCCCTCAACGCCATCCTGGTCCCATGAAGGACACCCAACTCTCTATGAGCCTCTTCTTCAAATTGATGTGCTCAGCTCTTATGGCACCTCCTGACAGGAGCCTCATGCATGGTCAGGACCTGAATCCATTCACCACTTTCAATTCCTGCTACTTAGAATATGGCCCCTCATAATCCCGTGAGAGCAGCCCAGCTGCCAAAGCCTGGCTTTTTCTAGCCTGCTTCTATCACTACCCTCTTGATTTACCTTTCTTGCCCCTCTTAAAAATAACCAGGGCCAGTGTCACAAGAGACCTCACAACTCAGAGCTGCCAATGATGAAAGTTCAGCTATGTGGGAGTTTAAAATGGCTTGGTGGACTGTCTTGTGGCCCATCTTTTATGACATTTTTCCTGTGGGGAACCAGGCAGAATTCTAACTAATTTAAAAACTGGTATCTACAGCAGAATTCATTCCTAGGCTAGGGACCACATATAATAATAATCACCCCAAATAAGCAGCAGGAGCTGAAATTACATAACTGAAAATATTCCACCAGAGAAAGAAGAGGAGCTAAATTATTGGGGATGTATATTTAATACAGTTGCAGCTGTAGAAGGAGAAAGTCTACTGGCCAAAAAAATAAAAAAGACCTTTAAGTGAAACTGCTGACTAATAATCCTGTCATGGGAACCTCTATAAAATGCTTACATTGAAGTCTAACAGATCGCAGAATTCTCCAGTGCTTTAGGGAATCGAGTTGTTGAAAGCATCCTATCTTTTGTATTTAGAAGGTCCTCTCTCTGTTTTAGGCTAAAAAGTGTGTCAACACAACATGTTGACAATAAGCCAAAAAAAGAAAAGAAAAGTAAGCAAACAGATTAAAAAAATCACTCTCATAGTTCTTCTTTTAAAGGAATAGCACTAGAAAACAAAACAAAAAATATCAAGGCCAGAGCACAGGACTAATCTAGCTGGATCTGAAAGGGACATATTAAAGGTCACCATTGTGTAGGGCACACGAACTCAACACCAAGAGGATTTGGGAGGCATTCGGCTTTGACTTAATACTGTAAAAGTGTTTGTGCTTAATTATGGGAGTCCTTGGGGGCCCTTCCTTGCCCCCTTCCCATGTGGGGTGTCGTCAGTAATGGAAATCACCTGGTTGTGAGATTAACAAAGACAACACTCGAGATGCCAACCAGGCGCCACCGTTGTTCTAACAAATGACAACCGAGCCTCTATTTCAGGGCAGCAGGATGTCACTCTGGGGGATTTTTCCATCAGCCAAAGTGCACCTACCTGGACCTTTGTAGATGCGACCTTCAATTAAGGCAACGATTTCCTCATTACCCATTTTCCACAGGCTTATTTTACAGAGATGCTCCCAGGGAGCACGAAATGGGAAAACTCAGAAGGAATAAGAAAAGGGATTTTAAAACCAGGATAGTCATTATAGCCTCAGGGGGAAAGGAAGAATGTTTGGGAGCCTTTATGAAACTTTATTTTATTTATATTGTTTTTCAAGTACATCTTTTACTAAGGGATGTGATTGTCAAAACGGCAACAAATATACACTTTGTTTGATGGATGAAGAAGTTCCTCTCCAACTTCCCCCTCCTGCTTTGGGCCAGCGTGGAGCTGAAGAATATTTTTATGTTAGCAACAAAACCTACCTCCTGGACTTCATAATATTGAGCATGTTTGCTGGAGCCACAGCTTAATCAGTATGAGCCTATCCAATACCTCTATGAAAAACCAAAAACTGCCCAGAAACCTTCTCTATCAAAAGCATGGTACACTGTAGGTAGAGCTTCCAACCTCACAAGCAAGTCAGCAATTAAGCTCAGAATTGATCTGAAAAAGACTCTGAAAAATAATATACCGCTGGTCCAGAAGCTAGAGACGACATAAAAGAAAATCCACAGCAAAAATGTGGCATCATTTGTCTTCCACTTGACCTAGCACCAGTGGTGCTCCGCTCCTGCTCCTAGAACTGGGGGAATGATGGAGCAGGAACCCAGGCTAGGCGTATCTGTTCCCATTTGCAAGAGTATCCAGAGAGGCAGAAAATTTCCAGTAGCAAAATAGCACGAAATCGGAGAAACATAAAAAGGAACAGCCACATTTTGACTCATATTTTCTTGATAAGCCTTTTTCCTTAAATTTTTAATTTAGCTAACTCTCAAAGATCTTCCATGAAGTAAACACTCTTGTTCTCAGCTGAACAGGAATATTGACTTGCCTTGTGTTTTAGAGCAATCAGGCAGAGAAGAGTTTTGGTGAGGGGTGTCTGTGTTTGCGTTGTGCTGTTTCCTTGCTTTGTTTTCTTTGTGGTTTGATCATCCCCTGCCACTCCTCTGATAGAACTTCATTTTATTATCATATTTCTTATTGCAAGCTGACAATATGTACAGGTAGACATAGGACATGGTATCCATGTCCACTTCAGAGATTCATGGCCCATGTTAGGAACACAAACAATTCAGAAAGAAAATATACCAAGAGCGTTTCAAATATCAGCTGTGCAAAGGAGTCAATGTCAGCATAGGAGTCAATGTCAGCATAAGTCACGTCATGTGCCATCCTAGTACAGCACTCCACACTTTCAAGGCCTCCAGTAGTATTGGGTAATGACAAGCCTGCACTAATGTTTTATCAAAGCTGCTGAAAAAAACAGTAGAATGATTCAATTTGGCAACTGATAAGGTCCTGATACATCACTTAATTCAATACTTGTCTCTTACAGATGGAAACACTGGAAACCGAGCTGCATGAAGCATGTAGTGAGTTCTATAGTTTTATGTTGCTCTGGCATCGGTCCTGAATCTAGGCTTGACTTTCTCATACGGGGAGCAGGGCTTAGTCATCTTTGACATAGTCTTCTGCTCTCTGCTTCCTCCCAGTAACTCAAGGTGGTTGACAACCACTTGCTGGTGACCACCTCCCTAAGGGAGAGCTGGATACAACCTACTTGACTGGCCCCACTGACTGCCCCAACAACTCCCCCACCAACATAGAACACACAGATATGCTGCAGTGACCCCCTCTCAGTTGCAGTCTCCACAGAGCTCACCCACCGATTAGAACTTCCCATGGGAAGCCTACTTGGGTAATGCCCTAGACCCTAGTAAGGGCTTTGGCCCACAGGTCCCCCCTACAACTCTCTCTCTTGCTCCCCACTCCCTGGTTGCATGTGTGTGTCTCAGACAGTTCCCCACTTCCAGCTGGCCCTATGAGTCCTGCTCCCTTCCTCTCTGGGACCTGTGAGTAATACACATCCTCTGCTGTTTCATGTGCTTTGTTGAGTTGCCTCCTTTGTGTCTCCCCTGCCTGACATACCTGAACCCAACCTCCTTCTGGGGTCTCCTAGAGAGGAAACCGATCCAGGCTTTCCTAGAGAGTAGCTATCTTGGTAGGAATAAACTGAACACAGATCAAACAAGAGCCACAAGGGTGTCTGCTCGTAGAAACGGATCCCTGTGAGAGAAACACCTGCTCACAGGTGGTCACTTAGACATTAGGCCTTCCCCCAGGATGAAGAAGTATCCCAAGAAAGTCACACTGTAGACAACCTTGCCCACTTCCTCCACAGCCCCTTCAGGGCAGGGGTTGAGTTTGTAGACGCTCTCCGGAGAGAGACCTTGGGAACAAATTAGTGGAAAATATGACAAAGTGCTGTGTTCAGAATTTCTCTGAGAGTTGTGGAGAGCGGAGACTGGACTCCCAGTGCAGTGCTCTGAAATTAAGCTGTGCTTTTTGCTTTCATAGGTGAGACTCTCCCTGACAGTGCTCCCATCCCCATTTAAGTGTGTATTTAAAAATTTTTTTTAAAGGTAACATTTTGTAAAAGAATAAACTGGCACCACAGACGTGTGTGGGCCTGTTCCAGATACATCTCAATATAGTCAAGTAATTCTTTTGTTCCAAGACTCTTAACATACCTCGAAAAAAACACACCACACAAGATATGCTCTGCAGAAGAACAGTCTGTTCCAAGCTTTTCCATTTATGATGCTATTGCTGTTATACTGCACACTTTTCACACCTGTAGTCCACCAGTCGTAGCCCCTTAAAAATGTTGCATTTGTTGAGGAAAACTTCATATTTTAAAGGTGCTTCTCAAGCACTGTCTTCATGGCAATCTCCCCAGAGTAAATATAATCTCATTTCCTTTACAAAGGCAGCTTTAAATGTCTGAACACAGCAGTACACTCCAACTCCAAGTATGCATAGGTTCCTTACATCCTTATGAAGATATTTTGGAAGGTTCCTTGCCTCCAAAAACCTTCCTCACCTGGCTAACAGTGGTGCCTGCAATCTCACCATTCTATGAGTTAAGTATTGTGTTCTGCCACTGCTCTATTTCTTTGGAAGTCCTTGTGAGAGGACAGGGAAGAGCGAATTAAATTAGGGACATACACCCAAAAGGAGATGGAGTTAAAAATGAACTCCTCTTGGCCGTATACAGCGGTTCATGCCTGTAATCCTAGCACTCTGGGAGGCTGAGGCAGGCGGGTCACTTGAGGTCAGGAGTTCGAAACCAGCCTGGCCAACATGGTGAGACCCCCATCTCTACTAAAAATACAAAAATTAGCTGGGCATGGTGGTGGGAACCTGTAATCCCAGCTACTCGGGAGGCTGAGGCATGAGAATCACTTGAACTCGGGAGGTGGAGGTTGCAGTGACTTGAGATTGCACCACTCCACTCCAGCTTGGGGACAGACTGAGACTCTGTCTCAAAAAACAAACAAAAGCTCTTCCTGCTTTATAATTTTACTGACAGCTGGCCCTGCATACAGTACTGGCCTCAGATTTTGAAGTAAAATCTATAGATTCATGCTGTCTGCCACAGCTGGATATTCAAATAAAAAACTGAAAGCAAAGCAAAATAAAACAAACACGACACTAACACCAACCAAAACAAAAACTAAGAACATGTACAGCTGACCCTTGAACAACACAGGTTAGAACTCTGCAAGTTCACTTCTTTACAGATTTTCTTCTGCCTCTGCCACTCCTGAGACAGCAAGACCAACCCCTCCTCTTCCTCCTCCTTCCTCAATCTACTCCTTATGCAGATGATGAGGATGAAGACCTTTACGATAATCCACTTCCACTTCACGAATAGTAGACGTACTTTCTCCTCCTTCTGATTTTCTTAATAACATTTTCTTTTCTCTAGCTTACTTCATTGTAAGAACACAGCATATAATACATGTACACGATATGGGTTAGTTGACTATGTTATTGGGAAGGCTTCTGACCAACAGTGAGCTATTACTAGCTAAGTTTTAGGGGAGTCAAAAATTATATGTGAATTTTCAACTGTGCAGGGGAGGGGTCGGGACCCCTAGCCCCCATATTGTTCAAGAGTCAACTGTACTATCACTTGAAAACAACTAACTATAACCAAGAGAATGGGCTGCCGAGTGGTGGGCACCTGTTTCCGCTGACTGCCTGGCGTCCTTTTCCCTTTATTTGTATCACAGAATCCAGAGACTCCCTTTTCCTCTTGGAGATGGCCTGTCTGCATTCTGTCTACCATGTGTTCTCATGCCCACAGCCAGGGTGGGCTTAAGAGTAACCCGTCTCCCTTGACAACTAACTGGCCCAGGGATGGGTACATCATCCAACTGGAGTGAATCAGAATTTTATTAATGATAATTACATACTCTGAGGGAGAAAGCACCCTCTGCCTGAACACTTTCTCAGTGATCATGACCTTGAAGGGCCCCTTAACTACGGAGCTGTCATTACTATCTTTGACACTGCCTGGGGAGTTCTTGCTTGAGAAAGAAGCCAGCTCAGATGAAAACACAGAAGACACCCTGCTGATTGGCATCCACTGAACCGTTGGTTCCAGCTATGCCTGAAGCCAAGTTCACTCCAAAGTTTCCCTGTTATGACCACTAATCTCCTTTTTCATTAAGCTCATCTAGGTTGTGTTTCTTGATATGCAACTGAAAAACCAGGATCACCACTCACTCATGTACCCGGGACCTGAAGAGATGCTTCCTCTTTTACGTGACATGCAAGTTGTTGTCTTTTATCTACATAATAAAAGATATGCACTTGACATAATCAGAACTAGTGTCAAATATGTAGATGTCAGAGTTGATCTATCTAAGACAGATAACTGTTTTGAAACCCAAAGAACACATTTTCAAACCAAGGTCCAGAGAATTTTAAAAATCAATGAGACAGAAGTTTGCTTTGGCAGACAACTTTAAATTTGAATGTTTGAGTACATTTGAATGTGAGTCAAATCTGAGTATGTTTAGCTACATCCAGTCCACGCCCCAACATCCCAACATAATTACTAACTCTGTGAAATCACAAAGGGGTTTAAAAATTCAGAAAAAGAACTACAGTAAAGAAACATGCCAGGCTAGATACAATAGCACAGTATGAATTTAAAGAAGCCATTTGACCTTATAAAACACAAACTAATTTTCAAAAGGATACACTAATTGTGTATGATTTAGCCTTATTTTATTATAAAGTTTTACTTTCACTTTCTTTAAGATACAGACTCAATTTCAAAACATCCATTTCCCATGTTTTATTCTGTCACTGAATTGCTGCAGAGTTTTGCCAAATTTGAACTCTCAATGTGCCTCATTTCGGCTACCTGTGGCTTGTTAGGGAGAGAAGCAAGAGAATGGCAATACCCAAGTTCCACTTTGAACTTTGTGAATGCAAATTATACTAATTAGAGAGTCTCAATGTGTGCTTGCTTTATTGCTTTACATTTTGAGTACAAACTGATATGTTTTGTTGTATCACCTGTCACTTTATAATTTTGCTGTTTCAACTTTTACATTTCTATTTTTTCCAGTTTCTTCAACTAAAACTTACAAGGGAAACATCAAAAAGAGAAAGTGCAGGAGTATCTTTTAGCAAATATTTTCCCTTGCTGTCTACATTGCTATTTATCGTCCCTGCTGGGGTGTTTATAGCATTCGAGCAGGAGGAAAATGTGCCTGCCAAAAGGTAACCTGTTGTACTAACAGGCTGAAGACTTCTTAAAATATAAAAGTTCCAGAAAGGCCTGTTCTGTTCTGCATGACTTCCTCATGTCATATAAGCTTTAGTGTGGATTAAAGCAAGTCCATCAAGGCTGTGCATTCTGTAGCTGAAAATCAACCAAAAAGGTATTAATGTATCACCCCTTACATAGAAGTTAAGATTCTTTGGCAGTCTGATGCTTTAACAAAATAAATTGAAGGAAAAAGGCTTTTTTTGAAAACAACGCCCTCTGATAACCTACCCAATACATTTGACTGAAATATCAAGGCAGGAAATTGTATAACAATTCAAAAAACATCACATATATATCTGAAAAATGTGTGCAATATTGATGTTGAGTCTAGACTTCGCAAAACTAAAGAAACATCTTGGTTGTATTTCACTTGAATTATCCAAATAAGCCAGTCTGTGGAGGTCTGGTACAGGACATAAATGATAACTTTAAATTCTTCTTTGGCTATCTCTAGGAGGATAAAGCACAAAGGGCAGGGAGGAAGTGAAGACATTATTACAAAGAATTATTTGGTTGGGGGGAAACTTTTCCTACCCATCAATAGACACATTCCTTAATGTGCTGTAAATAATGGTTGGAAAATTTTCTTTTTAAAAAAGAACATTTATAGAACACCTACTTTGAGTCACTAAAGCTGAAAGAATACCATTCATATTATATTACTACTTCCTTGTGAGTTAAGCAGATTTTTTTGAGTTTCATGAAAAACTAGCCAATTTTTCTAGGAGAATGCCTTCCATAGAAAATGTGCTCCCAGCTCAAATTTTTAACTTACGAAATTATCAAAACAATAACATGATAACAACAGCTTCTCTGGTCAGCTTAGTCGTCCCCGTCAATTTTTTTCTGCTCTCCAGGCACTTTCGGCTCCTCTCCTCCACTGTCATTCTTACTCAAAGGTACGACTTACTTCACAGAGAAAACCAGAGTAGAGAGAAATTGCCCCCCACACCCACCCACTGAAATGACAAACCTTCTTGTAATCACACCCATCAGCTCCTCTTTCCCCACTGCTATAACAGAGGAGCTGTCCCTCTTCCAACTTACGGTAAATCTGTCCATCTGGGCTGTAGATTGTATCCCTTCCTGCCTTCCCAGGCAATCAACACCCGGATTATCTTTTCAGTAGTTTAATCTCAACATATCCCCCAATACTGGATTCTATCCATTGGCATTCAAGAATGTTCACAAGTACCCTATCTTAAAAGCAAACATAAAATAAAATAAAAAGTCAACCTCCCTCCACATCTCCTCCTTCCAGAGCTATCGTCTGTCTCCTCCCCTTTAGTAGAAACTTCCAGAGAGAATTTTATCTTTATGTGTTCTCTCTCTTTCTTTACCTTCTATTGACTCTTCAGCCCATTGCAATCTGACCTCTAGTCCTGTTCCTCCATCGCTCCACTGAATGACTCTTGGAAGAGTCAATTCTCAGTAACCATGATACCACTAAGTCCAATTGCATTCCAGTCCTCATCCGAGTGGAACTCTTGATGGTGTTCCACTCTTGTCCAGAGCTTCCTTTTAGAAATTCCCCCTCTCCTTGACTTTTATGACAATAGGCTCTCCTGGTTTTCCACCTACCACCCAGCTGCTCATTCTCAAGGTATTTTGTTAGCTCACTGTGACAATCCAGGCTTTAAAGGGTCCTTAACTTCCTATCCTGGGTCTCCTGAAATTTCCTCAGCAATTTTATCCATTCCTTCCACTTTGATTGCCATCATCTACATGTCAGTGACTCACAAACTTAAAATCTCCAATCCAAACATCTCCTCTGAATTCCTAACTCATTTGATTGCCTCAAAGACACCAGAAACTGTACCTAACCCCAATCAAATTCATGATCTTCCTTCCAAATTAGCCTTTTGCTAGTGTCCCTTTGCTTACATGAAGGCAATCGCACCCATCAGTGATGAGGGCCTGAATCTTTGGTAACACCCTCTCCTTCATTGGCTTATCCACCACCATCTGTCCAGTTGGACTTTCTCAATACATCTGGAAAGCATCCTTTTCCAATCTCCACCGCCAGATCCTTGTTGAAGTTCTCCTTTAGATTCTACTATGGTTACTTCAAAACTGGTCTCTTCATTTCTTCCCTTGCTCCGCCCATAACCCATTCTACAGGCAACTGCCAGAGTCATCTAATAAAAATGCAAAATGAAATTACATCCTTTGAGAATAAATTCAACAATTCTTAACTGTTGTGGCCATTGTTTGATATTTTTAAAAATTATTTTTTATTGATTTAAAATTTTAGCTATTTACATAAAACTATGATTAAATATTAAGAGGCAGCCAGTTTTCTATTCTGGTTGTTCAAATTATATTTTAAAGATTGCCCTATTTAAAACAGTCCTTTCAAATTTTGAATATGTTCTCTCTAATGATGTCTCTATTGATTTGAAGAGTGTTTCTGTTGGTTATAATTATTTTAATTTTCCCAATTTAAAAGTAATCCAATGAAGGCAAAATCATTTAATATTATTATCTCAGAAAAATAATACAGTTTTCAAATATGGCTGTAACCTCTACTCTAGCAAATGTTTTGAATCTAGTGTGATTCAAAATTTAGCATTATCTTTCTTCATCTTGTTGGTTAGTAAATATACTGTATCACAAAAACTTCACATTGTAACTTTGTGTTAACGTTTTAGTTGGTAGTCGTTTCTCCAATATTTGAGGAATTTTCAAGGTAACTTTTAAAAGGCTAAAAAGGTAGAATCAGAAAGTGAAGATTCATTTGTTTATTTCCTTCCTTCTCTGTCAGTACAAATCAAGGAGATGGCCAAAAATGAGGCCCAGATGACACCTCTTGCATGACACAGTCACTTGACAGAATAACCACTAATAGGCTTATTTTAAACATTAGTTAATTAAAATTCCAACTTTTAATGTTTTTCCAGTTTCACTTCATCTATTCATACATCTCAAAACTAGGTTAGCTCCTACTAAAAATATGGAGCTTGTATTGCTTTTCTGAAATTTATGGGTTTGATGTTTTCAAAAAACTTGACTAGATATGATGCAGTTTGAACTACCAACCCGAATCTCCATATTGCATGAATCTGAAGTACTTTGAGGGAGTTAGTGGCTCAAATGGCCTTCTGGGAGCAATCGATTTCATCTATTTCTGACAAAGGGATGAGAGCTTGATGAAAGGAATCGAGCAGTTACCATCCAGTCTACTCTTACTGATGGGCCACGGTTCCAATCCGACTCAGGGAGCCCCAGCTGAAGGCCTTATTTCTGCAGCACCTCCTAAGTGGGAGTCCAGGAAACTGGGCTTTGCCCACTCACAGCCTCTGCAGGGCGTTCTGGGGGTGCGGTAGAGGACTCTTCCCTTCCCTGGAACTGGGTCCTACCAAGTCCAGGGATTTGTTCTATCAGGAAGAATAATGTGTTCAAGAGACCAAAATAAAATCAACCCGGGAACACTGCCAAATTCTTCCTCTGCCTATCACTTATTCTCGTATAGAGCCGGCCTGTCTCCACGCTGGGGAATTGCAAAAATCTAAAACTGACCCCTCTCACCACTTAGTGGAATCCAACAGCAAAGGAAAAAGGTTGTTAGCAAGGACAATTTGCTCTGTACCAACCCACTGGCCGGCAATTCTCAATCAGTGCGGTAGGGCTCCATTACCCAGCACTGTGAGTGGAAACTAAGGAGTCTAGAAAAACCTTAGATCAGCTAAGAGCAGAGAAATCAGAGGCAGAACTTAAATATGACATTTCCTTCTGAGTCCATAGTGCATCCCTTATTCACTGGTTGGAGAAAGCTGGCAAAAGCGCTCAGCTGGAGGCAGGCGTTTTCTGTGCGTTGAGGCGCCGGAGGAGCCATTCCCTTCGGGAAAGACAAGGTCGGGGTGGGGGCAGTCGCTCCGGAGTGCACGATCCGGTGGCTTTATTTGCTGGCCTGGCGGGTCTAGGCTGGAAAATGCACACTCAGCAGGGAAAGGGGAAGAGAGATTGGCGGCAGTTTTCTAAAAACAACACAGCTCAAGTCTCCCTCGTGTGCCCCCTCGCTCACCCCGCCGAGGCTCAGAGCTATCCAAACGGGCGCTCCGGAGCGAGCGCGGAGGTCGGGTCCCCCCAGGACGCAGGCGGGCCTCCGAGACTCCAGGCCGCCCCGGCCGCCGCTCCCTCCCGGTTCCCCTTCCCTGTCAACCTGCCAGGTCCTGAGAGGCGCCTCTCCCTCCGAGCCTGGACCGAGGTCGCTCCGGGTCACCCTAAATCTGATGATGCCGCTCGCCCGGCGCAGCCGGGGGCTGGGACTGGCGGGGCTGCACCTGGGGAGGCGGCGACCGCGCGCGGGTAGTAGCCGAGAGCCCAGGCTGCCTCTGCGGCGCTCACTCCCCCGGGGTCTGCGCTGGGCGCGGTCGGCGCCCCCGCCTCGCCTCCCGCCTGCCCGCCTGCCCGGGCGCAGGGCTGCCCATGGCTTCGACAGTGCTCCTTCCGCTCAACTTAGGCATTTAACTCCCAGCCCTTCGGTGCCCACTTCCCACCCCGCGCCTCCCAGGGGTCCGACAGCTGAGAAGAAGGAGGAAACTGGCAGAGGAAAGAGGCGCTCGGGGGGGCCGAGTTTCCAACTTGGCGACTGGGAATCCCGAGGCGCGTGGGGAGGAGAAGACAGGCTTGACCCGGGGCAAGAGAGTGGCGAGTGCGGGCTCCGTGGGTGCACCTCCCACTGGCCCGGGAACGGCCTGCACCCCGAGGGGCGCACGTCACTGCTCCCAGCCCGAGTCGCGAGCGCGCAGTCCTGGCCTGGGGCCCGCGCGCCTTGGGCTTTCTCCCTGCCCGCCCCTTTTTCTTCCGCCAAAACCTTTGACCAGAGTCTCCTTGCCAGCATTCCTACCTCCCTTTGGCCAGCTATTTGTGCCAGGTAGGAATCAGGCTGTACTTTGGCTGTGTGTGTAGACGCCAATCCCCAGGAGGCGTGTGACCTTTTCACCTTACCCACAAACTCCCTGGGAGGTGCCCCGTGGGCACTGACCCTTCTCCGGGGCCTGATCGGTGACCGCAACCTGTTTCTTCCCAGAAATGTCCTTGCTTTTCGCATCTACAAACGCTTCCTGCAGCACTTCTCGGAAAACCCTCGGGGACGGGCCTGGGGGGCATCCAGCGGGCTGGGGGCACGAGCCGCTGTGGGAAGTGGGGGTGGCAGGAGCTCCAGGGCCGGCGTGCACGTTGTCTGTGGCCGGGAGCGGACACTGAGAGGGCGCAGCGAAGAGCACCCCTCCCCCGCCACTCTTTCCCTCCCTCGGGATGCACAGAGAAACGGGGGCCGCCCGACCCCTGATTTCCACACCCCTCCCTAGCACCTGGGCTCCCAGACAAGGTTGGGCGGGGTCGGGCGGCGATTGCCCCCCTGCTTGGAAGGCGCAGCACCTCCCACCCTCCGGTGTTCCCTCTGCCCCAGAGGAACGGGCACCAAATCTCGGGAAACAATGAAGCCTCCGCGGCGCGCAGAGGGCACCCAGCCGCGCGCCCTGATGCGGGCCAGGGAGGCCGCGTGGGGCTGCAGCCCGGCCTCGCCCGCCCAGGCGGTCTGTCTTCGCTTCACACCACAGCGACACTGCTGCCCCTCGCCCGGCTTCGCGGTGCGGCTCCCACTCCAGCCCGGCTTTCCCCTCCTCGCCCTCCAGCTCTGGGCAGGGGCGTCCAGGGGTGCCCCGCTGCTCCCCGCCACAGGTCTCAGGATGGCGCGATGAGGAGTGGCAGGGGGTGACCCTGCGTTCCTCGCCGCCGAGGGCGCGGGCCCCGGGATTTGAAGTTGCGAGAAGCAGCCGCCACCTCCCGGGCGCTCCGCACTGCGCGGCGGCGGGATCTGCGCCTGCAGGAGCTGCCCAGCTCTCCCTCTAGGGGTGCAGAGCGAGCACGCGAGGTGGGCTGGCCAGACCCTGCGGCTGGCACTGACCTCCGCGCCCCTTCCTCCGACGCCCGCACCCACGCGACCGGGGCGCAGACTCCCAGCGCCTTCCTTCCCGCGGAGATCCCTGCAGGGTCTCTGGGAAAGACAGACAGACGGACGGGGAGAGCACTCGGAGGGAAAGTTGTTCCTCCCAGTCTCCTGTCAGGCAATTACAGGCGAGCCCAAGCGGGGAGAGGGGCGGGAGGAAGCGAGGGAAGGGCTCCGGAGTGGGGGGAGGCCGCAGGAGGGGAGGCGGGGGTGCAGTTGGTGAAACTCCTCTGTCTCCCGCTCATCTTTTCATTGCTCGTTCCCCTCCTTCCCGCAGACACCCGGACCTCCCCTGGGCGCCAGCTCCGCGGCTCCAACGGGTCCAGAAACAAGCCGGATTTTTTTTTTTTCTTCCTGGAAATTGGCTTTGGTGTGTGTTGCCCTACCTCCCTCCTCCCCCTCCCACCCACAGCCCCCCCCCGGCCTTTTTTTTTTTTTTTTTTTTTTTTGAGACATGGCCCGGGCAGTGGCTCCTGGAAGAGGAACAAGTGTGGGAAAAGGGAGAGGAAGCCGGAGCTAAATGACAGGATGCAGGCGACTTGAGACACAAAAAGAGAAGCGTTCCTCTCGGATCCAGGCATTGCCTCGCTGCTTTCTTTTCTCCAAGACGGGCTGAGGATTGTACAGCTCTAGGCGGAGTTGGGGCTCTTCGGATCGCTTAGATTCTCCTCTTTGCTGCATTTCCCCCCACGTCCTCGTTCTCCCGCGTCTGCCTGCGGACCCGGAGAAGGGAGAATGGAGAGGGGGCTGCCGCTCCTCTGCGCCGTGCTCGCCCTCGTCCTCGCCCCGGCCGGCGCTTTTCGCAACGGTAAGTGACAGGCAGAGGCGCGGGTGACAGCGGCGCCCCGGCTCCCAGCTGCCCGCCCCGGACCGGGGCTCAGGCGGGGCTTCCCGGGATCAGCCGGGAACAACCGACTCCCGGGCGAAGGAAACTTTTATCTGGGAGGAGAGAAGAAGAAATGAGATCAGGCGGTTTAGAGCAGGAGGATTTCAGGTCTTTGGGCTCCCTCCTGACGTTGATCCTTGGGCTGTGGGGCTTTTCCTTACCTCTGTTACAAGACAGAGCTGTCTACCTTCCCAGATCAGCATGCCAATTATCTTAATAATGTTTCCTCCCAAAGGCAATTAGAAGAGACTCCCTTTCAAAAATCTGATGGCTGTTGAAAGTTAATGAACACTTTACCAGGAGATCTTACTTCCTGGTTCCTTTGCTGCTCCCCTAAGCCGTTTCCTCTGGTGGGTGACGGCCAGAGATATCGGTTTGTGGGTTGATGAAACTCCCTCCCCCGCCTTTGTACACCTTCCGTAATCTGTCTGGAGTATGACTGAAAGTTACATAGTATCAATACAGGAATCTGACATATACAGTGTAAGGCACCAGGATATCTGAAAATCCCTAAGCTAGTTGCAGCTTCCACTTAGCTTTTAAAATCACTCACTGTTAAGTAAATGAAAAACTATACTGGGGTCTAAACAGTACCATGTAACCTAAATAATGTGTTTTAAAATGGGATCTGGTTGTAGGCATGTTTGACTTCACACTGTAAAGTAAGTGCAGGCAAGGGTATGCAATTATCTTTACAGTAAGTCGTCAGCAATTGTTATTAACTAATGATCAAATATTTACTTTTGTCTGGCTTAGATTTCAATCACAGTAATTAGAAGAAAAGAACATCCACTACTTACTGTGGTATATTGTTTTAATAAGAGACCGCAAGTGGAGGGCCTCATACCAACAGGAATTTAAATCACATCTTTATGATGGAAGTTAATCTCTCTAATATGCTTTTTCAAGGTTTTGTGATTTTAGCAATGGATTTCCCTCAGCAGCTACCAAGCAGTATTTTAAGAGATGCTTAAAGCAAAACACATGCAAAAAAAAAAATTATGAACATGGAATTCAGCTTATTAATGAGCCCAAGTTGATGGCATTTTTCTATAATCTGGCAGGAAAGCAAGACACAAAAAATTATGAATGTAGAATTCAATTTATTAATGAACCTGAGCTGGTAGCATCTTTCTATACTCTGGCAGGGAATGAAATAGCATTCTCGTCCAACTGAAAGAGCTCAAATGGTTGGACTAGAAATTATAGTAACCCTGTCCTCCACAACTCTTGAGACTAAATCCATAGTGGGGGTGTTCACAAGATAGATTTGAAGCTCAATGCAAAGAGCTATCAGACTTTAGGTTGTGAACTACACAAATATATATGCAGTACACACACACACACACACACTTCTTAGTTTTCTTAGCAGAAATCTGGGGAATGCTGAAAATCTGGCTTTAGTTGTTGAGCTTTACCAGCAAAAGCCATGTCGCTATGCTTGAAGTGACCAGAGCCAGAAAATGCCTCTGTAACTCAGCAGACCTCTCAAAGCCATGTCCACCTCCTCTGAGTAACCAGTGTCTGCTAAATTAATTCATTAACCTTATTTAGGACTAATGGTCCAGAGTCATTAGAAACTGCTCTTTCTTAATCAACTGCTAGAGAGATTGAACAGAGCCAGGGAGTCTAGCAGTCCACATTATCTTATTACACTGTCACTTTCTCAGAAGTCACAGATTAAAGAGCTCTGGTGTGGTACCAAGTCCACCTAAATGTCTTCTGAAGTGACTCTGTCGAGTGACTAGAACCAGTGCTGTTTTATTTCACTCCTGTAACAGATGCCAGACACTACCATGATGTTTGTCCAGAGCTAGAGGAAACTTAATGAGACGAGGTCACTTTCCAAGTTTTCTGCACATTCAAAATAATGCAAGAGTCTCAGCAGAATCACATAACAGAGTCCAACATGATCATTAGCTGAGATTTTGAACTCCAGTTGCAACATCATTTCTTCCTGGCAAAGCTTACACTTTTACAAGCCAGTGCAAAGGAAACCAGCATAAGACTACCCCCAGTCTAAGGAACAAAGTCAGAAGCACCTAGCGATTGAGAAAAACAATATAACTTATATTGTCTTCTTTTTTTAATTTATGGGAAATGATTTCTGTAATGCATGTAGCTTTATGCATTTTTGATGTGCACTTCATCTTTCATTTCCATTTGACCTGGTTTTCCTGTAATAAAATTCTGTAGATTTATAAATTCATGCTGAGAGCAAAGAATGCCATTCTCTTTCCACAGGGAATCTATTAGATGCAGTGTTAAAATCTACATCTACCATTACTGAAAATTTGTGATTGATAGGCTTATATATTTCACTGTTTTCATACCGTTTCTCTTATATAGTTTATGCACCGAATTTTTATTGCTCAAAATTAAGCATCAATAAATGTGGCAGCATTTCAGGCTGAGGTGCTCCAGTATGAAATCCATCATAAAATGTGACAATGAGAATCTATGCTGAACAATATAGGCAGCCCAGAGACTGGTTTACTTGGTTTATTTGGCTTCACTTGAGCATTTTTGAAATGAAGGCTCAAAACTACTTAGCTCACCTTTCCCAGAATGTGAGAATGTGGGTTACCATATGTGATACCCAGACCTGTGTGGTGGGTTATTTTTCACCCAACATTTAGGTAATTAGAATTAATGCCATGTGGCTATTTACTTTTCCTTCTGCCCCGTTGCTTTGATCCGATCTCCAAGCTTGAACAACTTTACTTGGAGAAGTAAAGCAGAATTATTTCTGCTTCACCAAATATACTTTGTTCTCTGTTGATTTGGATCTCAAGAGCAGAGATAACTCAAAATCACTTAGATTTATGGGCAGATAAAACAACAACAACAAAAGGTTTGGCTTTAAGCCAATCAAAGACAATCCCCACTGATCAATGACATAGACCAGGCTTATCATCAAAAAACAACACAAGGGGTCGAACAGCATCTTTCAGTCACTTTCCACTTAGAACTTGCTACTTAATGTGATTACACTTCTTGGGGGATAATTAAGTCTAGCAGAAGCTCCCAGGGGACCATGTTAACATCAATTGAGGGGATTTAATGTTTTTAATGCTAGAAGACCTTTTCCTTAGGAAGAAACTTCGGGGCTGGGGGGAAGAGTCCTCTCAGATCTCAGTTGGCTTTCTGCCTGAGTCAACCTTCCTGAGATCAAAGAGTGTTTTTTCCTGGAGTGTTGCACTCAGAGCCACACGAAGGACTTACGGGGACCTTTTAGAGTTCCCCTTAAAAAGTTAAGGAATGTTTAATAACCAGTAATTTACATATAAAGCTAGATTACCTAACAGGTTGTCAGGAAAGATCTGCTAAAATCTTACTTTCATTGCAGATAAATGTGGCGATACTATAAAAATTGAAAGCCCCGGGTACCTTACATCTCCTGGTTATCCTCATTCTTATCACCCAAGTGAAAAATGCGAATGGCTGATTCAGGCTCCGGACCCATACCAGAGAATTATGATCAACTTCAACCCTCACTTCGATTTGGAGGACAGAGACTGCAAGTAAGTGGGAATGTTTTTGAACAGGGCACCACAGCACCATCTAGTGGTCACGCCTGTCTACGGGGGGGAAGTCGGTGTGTACAATGTAGATTATAAATGGATCCAGGAGGGATTCCAATCTCAGCCAGATTATATGTCAATGGTATGGAAATTGAAGTACGTTAAGTGATTTCTGAGTTCCCCAAACCAGGAAGATTATAGTTAAATGTGTAAGCTCTTATACTCCTTCCTGTTAGCACTTTTGGTTTGGGAACTCTTGTTAAGAAATGTATACAGTATGTATGTTTCTTTTTTCTTTCTTTTTTTTTTTTTCCTGGAGAGGGGAAGAACTAGAAACTCAAAAATCTCACTTGTATTTTTACGAAATACAGTGGATCACTAATATACATCGCATCCACAGATAGTGTGATTGGAGATCTCACTATTTGAGATATATTGAACTGTGGCACATCTTATGATTTAAGAACTGCATTCATCTTACTAAGTAAGTTTGACATGGAAAAAGCAAATTGAATAAAATAAGGCCTACAGGATAAGCCAGATGAGGGGTTTTGTAAATGGTGGATTACTGATTAAAATACTTTTATGGAAAATGCTAGAAAATAATTGTTAAGACACGATGAATACAATGGGAACTCAAATACACATCAGTGTTTCATCCACCTGCTTAGTCTTGCTATCTCTTTCTATTGTTAAGTTTCTAAACATCAACTTATGCCCAATTTCGTTATTATGAAGACATTCTCACTATAGAGACAGTCGAAATTATATTTCCTCACTTTATGTGAAAGAACTGGTATGTGGATATTGCTTTCCACAGTATCGAAAGTATGTTTTTACCTTGCACGTAGCAGTCCACTCAGATACATGTTTGCTCGTCTCTCTTAACACCCAACAGACCCCCTGTCTCTGTCTTGTCCACATTATCCCATTCTGACCCACTGAAAGTGGTGTAGTCTCCAGAGACTTGAACCTGAATATCCATCTTTTAAGTTTGTACATATATAAATAGTTTTATCAAAGAAAAATAATCGATTTAAATCTCAATTCTAAAGTGTTTCTCAGGGACTGAGAGGTTTTCACAAGTTTTAAAGTGGGTCAGTTTGGTGTAACCGTATATGATATCTACAGACTACTGCTACCGCTGGACCTAAATATTATTTTGCAAGTATATTCATTGTTAAAGACAGTCTATTTGAACACACATTTCTTTTGGGAAAGAACAGAGTAATATCAAAATCTTCCTACCTGTAGGAAGTGCTCGACAACCTGTTGAGTTGGTTTAGTAAACTAGCTTTTCATGGTCAGAGAGATGAGGTCATTTGGTTCATTCAACATTTTAGTATCTAGAGAATTAGCATAAATCCACAGGCTGATGACCAGTTTCCAAATAATCAGTGTATACTACAGTGCAACAAAATTACACCAATTCCAATTTATCTTTGCTTTGTGATTCAGAAGTGCCTCAGGGCATTATATTGACTTTTTAATTGTGTATGGAAGTTACCATTAATAGTGTTCCAGTGACTGCTTGGAAACAAAGAGTTCATTGTATTGATTTATTTATTTTTGCTAATATTCTTTATGGTGGTTTTTACAGTGTCAATCACCTAGACAATCTGGAGACTTGTTTTCTTTTATATTTGATTTACTTCATTAGTAGTAGCAGTAGTTATTAGTATTTGCTTTTTGACCATGTTTAAACTGCTATAGGAGAAACTCTGGTAAAACATACTCAAGTAATAACATTATTCCAAAAAATAAAGTGCTGTTAGAATTCAATAAACTGACGTTTACTAATTTCTAATCTGGAAATCATGACCATCAATACGTGTAATATAATACTTAAAGAATTCAGAATAATCACTAGTTATTGGCAGTGATGTGGTGGTAAATGTTTAACAGCTGGCTCTTTGGAGAAGACGAGTCAAGTCCTCATTTGTATGTAGCACATGCCAATTTCTGTGGTGTAAATACTCTCATCATAGCCAATTTCAAACTAACCATGTGATGTCACTGTGCCCAGACTAGCAAAGAAATGTGCACAGTTGGTTCTTATGAGCTGGTGGGCGCCAGATCCAGCACACAACTGGAGTAGAAATTTAAGAAGGGAAGCCAGTTGAATCACTTAATATATGTAAAGGGCTTACAATTCTATTTGCACATACATTTCTTCTGGGAAAGAACAGAGTAATATAAAAATCTTCCTACCTGTAGAAAGCGCTCAACAACCTGTTGAGTTGGTGTAGTAAACTAGCTTTTCATGGTCAGGGAAATAAGGTCATCTGGTTCATTCAACATTTTGGTGCCTAGAGAATTAGCATAAATCCATAGGCTGATGATCAGTTTCCAAATAATCAGCGTATACTAATTATTACAACAGCATCTCACAGTATTACAATGGTGTCTAGCTCACAGTAAACCTTAAATAATGATTTGTCATATCATGGTGTCAGGTGGGGTATAATGGGATTAAAGGAGCACCTTTTTGGTTAGTTTTCTTTTTAAAAAGTACATTAAAAGATGATTGTAATTCACAGAAAATGACAGTTTTAGTGATATCAGCAAAGTATTTGAGAAACTGACATGGCCAAGAAGATGTTACATAACAATCTTAATAATGGTGACTTTGTTTGTTTTTTTAATGCTACAGAGTAAGGTGATTTCTTAATTGTCCCAACTGAGGCTTTGCTCTCTGTGAAGGTGTCATCTCCTGGCCAAAGCTGAAAGGCTGTTATATTTAGCCTGATGAAGTCAATGGAGATTAGATCCATGGAAAATATCTTCCTGCTGTGTTTTGAAGTGTTGCATTGTGAGCTTTTTATCAATGAGAAACTCCAGAAAGATATAGGAAGACCAGCATAAGGCATTCCTTTCACTATCTTTCTAAGCTGATTCATATGAATGACTAGTGCTCAGTGTTGAAGGGTGCATTTGAGATTCTACAAATGTGGCAAAATACTTACCTCCTTTTGTGAAGGCTTTGAGAAGAATCCACAGATTTAAATTTTACAGGGGATTGGAATGCCCTAGGGGGAAAAAAAAAACCTGGGAACACCAGAAATTATTTGAAGAACAAATTCATAGACTTCAAAGTTTAGATTAGATTCCTACAAACATAGTTTTGTTATTAGGGTTTTTTTGTACTTTATATCAGGCTATTTACAAAAATGGATTGGAGGTGGCACAAAACTAGGCACAGTTAAAACCACATTCTGAAAGCTGGTGAGCTTTTAGTTATCACTCTTGTTAAGAACAAACTATTCATCTTATTTAAGACATTTAATATTTTTCCTTGTTCCAGCTTCATTATATGTCTGTTGGCAGTAAAAAACATTTGCTATGCTGATGTCATAGGGTTACTAGTAGGATCAAGTAGTAGATAGGAAAGCCTTTTTAAAAGGTAAAAGTGACCCTCAAAATAAGTTATCATTATTATGATATCTTTAACAAGTTGGTGATTTTTAGAACATTTGGAAATATGAAACTAAACATACGTCAAAACTAAATCTATTGACCCAGTAATGAGATGATTTGCACATGATACACCCTGCATTTTCTCTTGAAATGGTCAGTATTTGTATAGTCAACTTCCACCCTGAGAAAGCTTAAGAAATCGATGCCTTAGCACATTTGCTTATTGTGAAACATCTTTGAAACCCAAGTAAACAGTTTTCTTTTGTAGAGTATAGGGATGGTTAAGTCATTAGACCAGCTACATAGTCCTGGTAGAAAAAAAAAAATTTTTTATTTAGATTTTTATTGTTTTATGTATAATTAGGTAAAAAACATCATTTCATAATCTTAACAATACAGTATACAGTCACAACTTCTCATGTGAATAGCACCAAGACTGACCCAGTTCATGAGTTAATTCTGGATCATACTTTGCAAAATGGTGAAGTTTTTGCAGTGGCTGTCAAAGGTGGATACTTCGTTAGGAAAATTAAATGTGTAAGTTGTGCCTCCATAGTTTTAACATGCAACATTCTGTGTCTATGCCAGCACTGAATGAGGTTTCATTACAAATAAGCATCAGAACCATAATACTATAACCCCTTAATTCTTTTATTGAACAAGATGTGGTGTAAATCAGTCGATCAACAGACCAGTGGAGCGTCTGTCTGCAGGGCTAACACAGAACTAGGATTTTTTCCCAGCTATATATATGCATGATTTTATTATTAGATTGAGAGGATTCTAGAGAATGCTCTGACCGAAGAAGGTGTTGAGGGAGAGGAAGGAATGTTGATTTCTTTTTTGCCAGCAAAATCCTGCACACTTGTGAAGTGTCAAAGCATAATTAAAAATAGAAAAGAAATAAAGAAGTGACCAGTGGAGAGTTTTCGGAAACACATGTTCATTGCACATTGAAAATGGTTTTCAGTATGTACATCGAACTAGTTAGATCTTACTCCACTAAAGTTTTCTTCAGTGGTAAGGCAGACATCTTGAATCTCATAAAAGTTTATATCTGTATAATAAACAAGAATGTCATTGATATGGTAGTTAGAATTTATGAAACTTCTCCAGTTTCCCAGCAATGCACACAATCAGCATGATAATTTATAATGGTTTGTGACAAATACTGCTGAGCAAAGAGGTGTATGGTTACATTCAGATCAGATGTCACCATCCGGGGAGCAATAAAAATTTCACAGACATTGGGTTAAAAACATTAAGGAAATGAATGCAAAGCTCTAACAAAAGTCTAAAAAGGTGGTAGCATTGGGGGACTCAAACCCAGTAGTGCTTTTCCTACTGACAAGAAGAAAATCTTACTTACCGACTTCAGTGTCTGATTTGACAGTGCTGTTTCATATCATGGCACAGTTGCTTTTTTCAACTATGATTTAGATTTGTAATCTCTCCTCTGTGTAACCAACAATAGGCATGTTTTTCCTAACTCAGTGCGTTCAAAGGAAGATCGCATACTTGTAACTTCGTAAGAAGTTTAATCATAGTGAAATTATAAGCAAATAGAGATGATATTCGTTTCAGAATTTTGTTGGGATAATTCAGATATTGTTCCTTTAATGCTAGTTTTTAAATTACCTAAATTATTAAAAACTTTGAAACAGTGCTAATGTCTTTTATTTTCAGAGAATATAAACTTATGGAATGAAAAATAATCTGCCCTTGGTTTCTCAAATCTGATTATTCCCGCACATTTACATTTATTCCTGCACATTTACACTTATTGGCATTTTTTGGAGTGTAAGTTCCATTTTCTGTTTTCCTGAGTAATATGAGTAATATTTTCTGTTTTAATCTTTCTTTATTATTACTAGCATGGATTTTTTAGGATTAATTTGGATTTTTAAAAAATGTTACATTAAAATACTATTTATCTTAATCACTGAGTTTTTGGCTTTTTGTATCCAAGGGAAGTACCTCACTCTAGTCTTGTATTTTAGAGCATCACTTAGACTAAAACAAAATCCTTGTTTTATGGAAAACTGAGTTTTTTAAGCCAAACTACATCTCTATTTTCCATATGAAATAGAGAAGAATATATACCTTTAGTAAAGTATAATATATATTTAGAAAAATACACAACCCAAGTATAAGATTTGATAAAATTTTGCAAGGTGGATACATCCACAAAACCAATCTAGAGGCCAACATTTCCAGCTTCCTAGAAGCCCTCTGATGTCAGTTTTAGTCACCAACCTTTGCCCTCAAGGGCAACTGCTGTCCTAACTTCTGTGACTTCATTTTTATACATTTCAAAATCAGGTAAAACTCAACTAGAGTCTTAGAAGTCTGTATGTACAGGCCAGGCACGGTGGCTCACTCGCAAACATTGGGAGCCAGAGGCAGGCATCACTTGAAGTCAGGAGTTCGACTGAAACCAGCCTGGCCAACATGGTGAAACCCCGTCTCTACTAAAAATACAAAAATTAGCCAGGCAAGGTGGTGCACGCCTGTAGTCCCAGCTACTCGGGAGGCTGAGGCAAGAGAATGGCTTGAACCTGGGAAGCGGAGGTTGCAGTGAGCCAAGATCCGCACCATTGCACTCCAGCCTGGGCAACAGGAGCAAAACTCCGTCTCAAAAAAAAGAAGCCTGTGGGTACTATCCTTGAACATAGACAGTGAAAGTCTTTGGAGTGGATATAGAAAAAATAGGTACTATTTCTAATCAAAAAGCAGAATCCTACTGATGCATTTTCTAATTTTTTTCAGTGGCTACTGATGGAAATATCTTGTCTTTGTTTCAAACTTTTCAATCTGGAGCCTGCTTTATTATGCAGATTTTATGTGCAAGCAAATTCAGAAACATTCTCCTTTGCCGTATTTTTCTTCATCTTTTTATTTCTGGTTTTGATCTCTGGTGACTTCTCAATGTGAGAGGCACCACCACCAAGCTCAATTCAATTAAAAAACTATTGGTGGAAGAATGAACCCTCCTCAGAAGAACTGCTGGCCAAAGTTGTTACTACCACTTGCAGCATCCTTGGTTATTACTCAGGCAGATAATTATCTGCTTTCTTCCTTTTGATTTTTTTCCCCATTAGCACCAAATTTAATTTGAACAGAGCCTCGTGTGTTTAATAAAATTAATTTTCTTTATTATCCCTTAGTATAAGCAATCACATTTGATCATAATGAATTTTGAGTATTACGAGGTTGTTTTGTGTTAGGCATTTCTGTAATTTAAAGGAAGCAACTTTTGCGAGCTAAAGGAGAAGGTTGGTTGAAATCTTATCAGACTGAATCAACATGTGCATGGCATTTCCAACGAGATTTCACTTTAGGGAGCAGGCACTTAACTGATCCAAGTGAGACATATGCCTTCAGCGGGCATGCACATTCTCAGCTCCTTTCTTTCCAGCATAAAACTTGATACTTGCATGCCTGCTGACATGGCTCCACAGAAGCGCACACACAAACACATATGTGTGTGTAAAGGAAGCTAAAAAATAAACGTAACTAATTGCAGTGGTAGTATTCATCTAGACTGATCATTAAGCCTAAAGAACAACAAGAAACAAAAATTCATTTGGATCAGGTTCCAAATGCCTCTTGCCTGGGTGTTTGTCATCCATCCTGATTGTAAGAGTCAGTGGCTTGGCAGTTCGTTGCACCTTGAGAGGAGGGTTCTCCTGCTCTTCTCTGGTTGATTGGCCTGTATCTGGTATCTAGGGCAGTTAGTAGTGTCTTATGGTTGAAACAATTCATAGATAGCTTAGGAAGTGAAGCACATTCATTCAGAGCTCTACTAAGTTCTGCAGAGGAGCAGAGGAAGAAAAAAAAACAAACAGAATATTTTGGCTTCCGTCTACTCAATTCCTTTATAGAGTTCAAGTTCATGGAGAACTTTTGCCTTATAACGTGGTCTTCCTCCTCATCAAGCCCAGGTCTTTATTGCTAGATCTTCTTTGGTCAACATGTTGTTTTTTTCTTCTTTAACTTAAATAATCATAGAGTGTTTGGGAAGGAATAATTATGACTGGTTTTTTTTTGAAAAACATATTTATTTATTTATTTAAAACACAGAAGGATGGGGGGGCTTCTCACTATGTTGCCCAGGCTGGTCTCGAACTCCTGAGGTAAGCCATTCTCTGTCTCAGCTTCCCAAAGTAATGAGATTACAGGCCTGAGCCACCATGTCCAACCTATGCCGGGCTCTTGCTGTTGAGTCTTCAATATGTGCCCATTATGGGGATGAGCACTCACTTTTCTCTCATCCTCATTTGACAGCTGAGATCCCTGAAGCTGGGAAAAGTCATATGAACAGAACCCAAATAAATAGTTGCTGCGTCACAAATCTTTCTGTCTTTGTGATCAAAGTCACACATGGATGTGCTTTTTGAATGAGGAAATTCTCATGAAACGTTACCAGCTTATTTTTTCTTCAAGCAACTCTTTTATTAACAAGTTCTCAGGAAAGTTTAAGTATAAACCAACTAATTCTGAGGAAGGACTTAATTTTTGAACTTTAAGTTCAGATTAAATAAGCACTTGTGAAAACTGTGCATAGAAACTTTCAACCAATTGGTGGTTTTCCACTCAATTGAAACTTGGCCAGAGTGGTGGCTCAGGTCTGTAATCCCAGCACTTTGGGAGACGGAGGTGAGAGGATTGCTTGAGGCCAGGAGTTCAAGGCTAGCCTGAGCAACATAGCAAGACCCTCTCTCTACAAAAAATAAAAAATTAGTGAATTGTGGTGGTGCACACCTGTAATCCCAGTGCTTTTGGGGGCCAAGGCAGGAAGATCGCTTAGGCCAGGAGTTTGGAGTTTGAGGTGACAGTGAGCTATAATCTTGCCACTGCACTCCAGCTTCGGCAATAGAGCGAGACTCTATCCTTCAGTTTTTAAAAAAACAAATAAATAAATAAAAACTTGCCTTAACTTAGGAATGGAAATCCTGGGGAGTAAATATCTAAATTCTAGTGCTTTTTGTTGATGGAGTTTAAAAGCACAAAGCGCATATAAATACAATGTTTATTTAAAGCCTGACAACCAGGCCACACATGGGTTTGATCTGTTCAATTGGTAAAAGGGCATATTAGATACCACTGTGTCCAGTGCTTGTTCTCAGGCCCAGAGGTGAGAAGGCCACATTCCCTTCCAAGCGCTGGTCATCTACTTAATCTCAGGTAAATAGCAGGGAAGTGTTCTTCTCCCACAGCGCCCTCATTCATACAGTTTCGATCCTTGCATTTGCCACGGTGGCTCTGTAAGGGTTAAAGGGAGACTGCTCAGGCACTGGGTTCCTAGGAGAAATGGAAGAGTTTTCTGAGAAGAAACAGATGCTCCAGTGTATTTCGTTTTATCTGGGTGGATACTTTGTACAAGCAGCCAGCCAGGTTGGAGGTGATGGCCTGCTGCTTCTATGATAGACTGCTATGTCACGGAGAGAGCTTCCAGTCCCGGGCTGAAAGAGGATGCTAACTGTCTCTCAATTCAAGTTCTCATATTTCTCCAGAATAGCCGAAGATAGCAAAGGCCAGTCAATATAGTCACGATTCCAAGTCCTTGTCTGACTCTCTTAACTGTTGGACGCTACCAGCAGGGCAGCTATTATGCAAGATACAAGCAACCCAGGAAGTGGCATGGAAAGAATTAAGACGGGGTCAAAATCATAATCTTACATAGATCACTTCAAAATATTTAAAGGCATACATTCTTACATTTAAAGAAAAAAGGAACACACTCTTGACTTAAAGATTAAAAAACAGACACAAGTCTCTACAAACCTGGAGGAGCTAAGGCTGACTTGGTCTGATAAGAGATTAGGCTGTTTTAGATGTGGTAACCCCTGGCTAACTAAGATCACTGTTTTATCTTTTAAAAAAAATCTCAGTTCATAGTTGTCTGTCCTTTTTATTCTCCAATAAAGTGAAAAAGTGGGCATTTGTTTGTTAACACATTTGGTCACAGAAAAGATGGTAAAAATAAAATAAAATGTAAATTTCTAGCCAGGCGCGGTGGCTCACCTATAATCCCAGCATTTTGCGAGGCCAAGGCAAGCGGATCAGTGAGGTCAGGAGTTCGAGACCAGCCTGGCCAATATGGTGAAACCCGGTCTCTACTAAAAATGCAAAAATTAGCCAGATGTGGTGGCACGCACCTGTAATCCCAGCTACTCAGGAGGCTGAGGCAGGAGAATCGCTTGAACCCGGGAAGCAGAAATTGCAGTGAGCCAAGATCAGGCCATTGCACTCTAGCCGGGACATCACAGCGAGACTCTGTCTCAAAAATAAATAAATAAAATGTAAATTTCTAGATCAACTCTTTTGGAAAGATGGCAGCCAGTCAAGTTGACAAATTCCAGTTAATGTGACAGTCTGACTGCAGCACTCTATTTTGCCTTCCAGCACCCATCTCCGTAGAGTCCTCATTCTAACTGTACAGGTGTTCATCTCTCGTTTGGGTGGCAGACCCCAGCAAGACAAAAACCATGTCTTACTTACATTTCTACCTTTCGCTGTCCCACAGAATGCTTTGCACATGTAAACACTAGTTTAAACAGCTGACACTTGTATTGAACTCAAAATGAGGTATATGAAGAGTTGAGGTGAAAAACCGCAATGTGTCCCTGAGAAGCGTCTGTGACCCACAGTAGGTCATATGGAGAAGAGATCAGCAAAAATTCAGCAAAGAGAGAGTGAAAGGGGCAATTTCAATAACTGCTGAAGTGGGTGGTTTGTCTGGATGACAACCTTTCAGAAAGCACTTAAGACAGCCACTCCCTGGGTGTTGGAGTGGGTGCCTGCATGTCCACATTCAGAGAATCTGGCCACATCCGCTCCTCCTCACTCCCTCTAGCTTAATCAGAGGCACCTGATTTTGAATTTTGGGGCCTCTGGTTCCCAGCAGCACAGTTAAGGGCTACGGATTGTCTGGAGAGAGACTGGGTCCCGGTGCAGGCTTTTTTTTTTTTTTTTAAAGACGGAGTATTGCTCCATCGCCAGGCTGGAGTGCAGTGGCGCAAAGTCGGCTCACTGCAACCTCAGCCTCCTGGGTTCCAGCGATTTTCCTGCCTCAGCCTCCCAAGTAGCTGGGACTACAGGCACACGCCACCACGCCCAGCTAATTTTTTGTATTTTAGTAGAGATGGGGTTTCCCCATGTTGGTCAGGCTGGTCTCAAACTCCTGACCTCAGGTGATCCGCCCATCTCGGCCTCCCAAAGTGCTGGGATTACAGGCGTGAGCCACCACGCCCGGCCCCGGAGCAGGCTTTTACGCATGCCCCGCGCGCCCCCTTGTGTCCGGAATTTATTCCTTCCGGTGGGTTCGCGGTCTAGCTGACCAAGAACGGAACTGGGGACTTTCGCAGTGAGAGTTACAGCTCTTAAAGATGGCACCGACCCAGGCCGGGCGCGGTGGCTCAGGCCTGCAATCCCAGCACTTTGGGAGGCGGAGGCAGGTGAATCACGAGGTCAGGAAATCGAGACCATCCTGGCTAACATGGTGAAACCCCGTCTCCACTAAAAATACAAAAAATTAGCCAGGCATGGTGGCTGGCACCTGTAGTCCCAGCTACTTGGGAGGCTGAGCCAGGAAAGTGGCATGAACCCGCGAGGCAGAGCTTGCAATAAGCCGAGATCGTGCCAATGCACTCCAGCCTGGGCAACAGAAGGAGACACTGTCTCAAAAAAAAAAAAAAAAGAAAGAAAGAAAGAAAGAAAAAAAAAAGATGGCACCACCGCAAAGAGTGAGCACCAGCAAGATTTATTGTGAGGAGGGAAAGAACAAAGCTTCCACAGCCTGGAAGGGGACCTGAGCAGAGATTAGGGGGCCAGTTTTTATTCCCTTGTTTGTCCCCACCCATGTCCTGTTCATTGGTCCATTTTACAAACCTCTAGCTAGCTACAGAGCGCTGATTGGTGCATTTTTACAGAGCACTGATTGGTGCATTTTACAAACCTCTTGTAGAAAAGGTGTCTAAGTCCTCTGGGCGCGGTGACTCACACCTGTAATCCCAGCACTTTGGGAGGCTGAGGCGGGCGGATCACGAGGTCAGGAGATAAAGACCATCCTGACTAACACAGTGAAACCCCCGTCTCTACTAAAAATACAAAAAAATTAGCCTGGCATGGTGGCGGGCGCCTGTAGTCCCAGCTACTGGGGAGGCTGAGGCAGGAGAATGGCGTGAACCCGGGAAGCAGAGCTTGCAGTGAGCTGATATCGTGCCACTGCACTCCAGCCTGGGCGACAGAGCGAGACTCCGTCTCAAAAAAAAAAAAAAAAAAAAGAAAGAAAAGAAAAGTTCTCTAAGTCCCCACTCGACCCCGGAAGTCCAGTTGGCTTCACCTCTCACCCTCTTCCATGATCAGTTACACTGGGAACAGGCTGCCAAGCCTGACGCAGATGTTTGGAACATATTTCAGCCCTGGCTCTATTAGAGTTCCTTATATTACCAAAGCTGTGCTAGCACCTTCCTCAATGCTATTAGGTTGGCGCAAAAGTTATCGTGGTTTTGGCCACCAAAACCACGATAACTTTTGCGCCAACCTAATACAAAGGGCAGCCCATAATTTTATTTTTCAATGACGATTGGCACTAAGCTAAGGAAACAGTGAGGGATTTTGTTTGTTTGTGTGTTTACTACTGATTGGAATTGTCATTTCTTTTTTCCTTAGGAAACAGCTTTGCATTCTTCTTCCCGTTTCTCCCCATGCCAATTTCTTTGCTCGTGTCTGGGGACACTACTGAGTAACTATTAGAATACATAGGTTCAGTCCTTCCAGACATCACCATTTCCCTCTTCAGCTGTTCTAGCAAACTGATGTGTCTGTTAGTTCATTCACGCAAGCTGGGGATTTTGGATTGTCAGGGGATCCTGTTAGCAGCTCCCTGTGAAAAAGAGTTCTGGTGAATTAGGGATGTGCGTTATAATTGCACCTCTGCCATTCATTCTTGTCTGTGAGACAGGAGATGGGTCATATGGGCTGGGTCCCGATATGTGAATGGCTCATTATGGCACCATTAACATCGTGGATTTGACAGTGTTAACCAGTACAGCCCAGGAAGATGTGACAGTGACCAGGTTGCCTACATCAGAGTCTGCCTGAGTAATGCCACCTAGACACAGCTTTAATTCCGAAACAAAAGTGCTTTCCTTCCTCTACCTATCTCAGCAACACAGTGTTGATGAGCTAATGTAGATGGAAGTGTCTTATGAATACAAGAGACACATACATATTTATAAATAATAAGACCTAGGTATTACTATAACAGGAAGTGCATCCGCAGGTTTGGTTCCTTAAATAAGTTCAGACTGTAAACAGTAACGTCTGCATCCTTAGGAGGAGACACTTATAAATATTTCAAAAGCACCAAGGCACTGCACATACACACAACAGAGATAGTATCTATGCTCAGTGTGCATTCAGCCAATAAGAATTTCTGAGTGTTCTAGTAAGTTGACCAGTTAAGTTTGTTATAATGGCAGCCTTCTGAAGATCTAGATGGATGGAGTTTCTGGAAAACCTCATAGAAGATGCTATTTCAGTGTCACGAACTTGATGATAATAGCATCAATGACTTAAAAAAATTATTCTTTCATGTGTGCTTGAGGAATTGTAAATATGTTTAGTGCATTCAGACCATAAGCCAACCCATACATAAATAGCAGTATTCAAGCCAATAGCTTTGTGGTTATTACACAGGGTTGCCAGTCCTTGACAATCCATTCAACAAAATAGTGTCATTATGTTCCTTTCCAAGAAAGAGAAAATGATATGGATTTTGTAGCATAAATCCATAGCGAAAGGCAGCTGGGAAATAAATGTTTTTAAACTGATGGTCCATTCACATCATTTCCCCTCTATTTCTAGTATCCCCTGTCCTTTGACCTTGCCATCTCCTTCCTGCATTTCTGGTTATGACAGATTTTCCAGTAGTAGGGAGGGGAGTTGGTTCTTAGTGGCAACACCAAAGAGCATGTTTGCAGGAAAGAGCTTGGGATCATGGCAGAGAAGAGGTTACTATTCTAGCTCCTTATCCCCACCTCACCCTCATGAATGGCCTTATGTGATACACACTATATCTGCAACTCTTCAAAAGCACTCTCAACGCTTCTTCATTTCAAATGGCTACAGATGTGGCTGGGAGACCCAATAGAAGGGATTGGCTTTCTTTTTTGTGGGACTGTTATGGGCCTCTATGGGTCAAATGAATTCTGTAGGATCTACCTCTTTGTGAGTAGCAAAATCCTTCTTGGACCTTGTTACCTTGCAAGCAAACATTTCATATATCTCTGTCTCTCACACTCTGTCTCACACTCTCTCTCTCTTTCTTATTACTGTCAAGGTATTGAAAGTGGTGACTGCAGTTCAGAACTCCACTTTCTTACTTAGCTGTCTTCAGCATGACAGCATAACTTCAGCGTAACATTCCCTCCAGTGGACTGAAAATGTTTGCTCAAATCAAATACCCCAGTGGCTCTTCTAATGCTTCAAAACATTGGCCATTTCTTGGCCCTGATTTCTCCAACTTTTGTGCAATCTTATACATAATTGGCAACTCCCCAGTGTTGGGGCCTTCTTCTCTCCTGCATCTCATGGTGCTGTGCCATCTTGGTTTTCTCCCCACTTCTCTGACCTCTTCTCTTTTTTGCCTCTATTTCTCCTCCAACACTGAAATGTAGGCATTGGCCAAGGTTTTGCCTTTGCCCTGAATTTTTCCTCTGAATAAGCTTTTTGATCTTAGCCACTAGGCTCAGATAATACCTAGCTTCCTGAATCTGACGTGAGCGTTGGCCTCAAACTTACAAATTCTTTCTGGAGGATGTTGACCACCTGGAGAACTGACCATTTCCTAAAATTAAAAACAAAAACAAACTTTGCAGCTTCCTATGCAAATGACTTCTCTTCTGCCTTGTCTCTGTTTTACTGATTCCTTCATTTCCTACTTACCCAAATTTGAAACTCTGGAATGTCTCCTGATTCCTATTTGTCCCCCAAATCTAGTCAGTTTAAAGGCCTCTCAATTATCTATCTACGATGTCTCTCCTATCTCTTCTGTTACATTTCTGCAGCTATTTGCCAAATGCAAACACTGTTTAACCTATCCCTGGAGCGATTGCATCAGCCTCCAGAAGAGGTTTTCCTCCTTCTTGCCCTCTGCTCAGAAGCATTTAGAGTTCCCCGTTTCCTCCCTGCCTCGGTCTGTGCTTCTTGGCTTTCCCTAAGGAAGTAACCATTTTTAACTAGAATAAGTAGGGGAGCCACAGGAGGCCAAATAAGGAGATAAGGGCAGATAAGGCCTTCTCTCTGGCCTTATCCCCTGTGGCTCCCTTATCTATTCTAGCCAAAAATGGTCACTTTCTAGTTCTTGAAGCTCACTCCTCCTTTTCCCAGCCCCATGCCTGTGCATAGGATGTTTCCTTCACAGGTGTGGTGGGGGTAAATGCCCTTTACACACCTGAGACTCCATGTCAAAATGTTACTTATCATCCTAGTTCTACCTGAAATGATGCTTCCTTCATGAAGCCATTTTTGATAACCAGCCACCAAGTAAATGCGGTCTTTCTTTCTCCGTCCTCTGACACTTCTCAGAACCGTTTTTATACTTCATTCATGTTCCTTATGCTATTCTGTATTGTGTTGTAATCATTAATATTATTCCACTATTCTCCCAAGATCATACAGTAGTTACAGAGACTAGTATTGTTTTTCTACTGCTCAGAGCCGAGTTTAGTGTTTTGCATATAGTAGGTGCTGTATTTGCCAAATTGAATTGGCCAATGGACATCCAGTGAGTCTTCTCCAATTGGCCAATTGACAACCAATGAGTCTTCTCCAGTTAGCCAATGGACATCCAATTAGACTTCTCCAGTGTGTTCCTCCAGCACAGGAAGACCAAGTCAGCTCTCTGGACAAAGGCTTAACTTAATCATACTGTAAAATGCTCACTTATTCTTCTCATTTACATGGTAAACCCTTCATTTTCCTGGGTAGTGAGTCAGACTTACATATTCCCCCTAAAAACCTCTATTTTTAAAAGCTTGAATTTTTACATTTGAGTAGCTCTAGCTACATCTCAAAAAATCTGCAGAGATAGTGCTTGGCTGAAAGTTTTTCTTTCTGTCTTACAGTCGTCTCCATAATCTGTTTTGGAGTTGAACGCATAAAATGTATTAATGTTGTAGGCATACGTCCTGATTGCTGAGTGTTTTCTGACATCCCCACAACTCTTGGGACTTTGTGTCACAATTCTGTAAACTTGGTCTATTGTATATTCACATCTGGGCTCAGGTCCAAACCACCTTTACATAAATTAAACACAAATAATTTAGAGCCTGCTTCCGTTCCAGCTGGCAACCCCAGTAAATGCACATGTTAACTTCACAGCAGGCTTGCCAGGGAAGAGGCAGAAAGTGAATTTCTTCATTAGAGAAGTTAACATGGGATGCGTTCCTTGAAGAATGGTGTAAATATGTCAGTCCATACCACCAGAAAAATAACAAGCCTCCTGTCCTAGACAAAGATGCTACTTGGAGGAACTAGCCCAGGCCTGCTTGTTTCTGGAGGGGGCAATGAGAGGATTCCACTGCTGCCTGGGCTCTCCCCTCTCCCTCCATACCAGTGTTTCCTAAGTGTTTCTTAAGGCGTGTGGCACAATGTGTTCATGCCAGCCCAAGAGGAAGAGGCAAAGTAGTAGATGTATGATGACACCTACAACAGGCAAACCCAGCCTCCACAGCTGGTTTTATCTTTCTTACTAGCTCTTCAATGTTACTCTCTTACACTTAGTTTTCCGCAATATTTCCAAATGTTTCTGTTATCTGTCTATTTTAGAAACAAACAGAAAGCACTCCCTCCTTCTCACCTCTCTAGTTTGTCTGCAACCATAGAAAAGAATGATTTACATGACGCTGGACACAGTGGCTCATGCCTGTAATCCCAATACTTTGGGAGACCAAGATGGGAGGATGGCGTGAGGCCAGGAGTTTGAGAACAGCCTGGGCAATACCGTCTCTATAAAAACTTTTAAAAAATTAGCCAAGCATGGTGCCATGCGCCCGTAGTCTTAGTTACTCGGGAGGCTGTGGAGGAAGGATCACGGTAACCCCAGGAGTTCAAGGCTGCAGTGAGCCATGATCACACCACTGCACTCTAGCCTGGGCCACAGTGCAACAGTCTACCTCTGAAAATAGAGAGAGAGAGAGGAGGGAGGGAGGGAGGGAGGGAGGAATAGAAAGAAAGAAAGAGAGAGAGAAAGAGAGAGAGAGAAGGAAGGAAGGAAAACGAAAGGAGGGAGGGAGGGAAAGAGAGAAAGGAGGGAGAGAGGGAGGGAAGGAAGGAAGGAAGGAAGGAACTTACGTAATAAACTAATAAACGTTTGCATTTCCATTTCCATGGGATGAAAGACAAAAGACTGTCTGGGGCAGAGGCAGAAGCTTCTCTTGATTGTGCCCTCAGCTTTGTCTCCTTGGTGCCCGTCCTGTGTGGACCATGTCCGTAGCTCTCTCAAGAAATTTGCTCAGTTAACGGTGCGGTCTTCATGTGTGATGCCCGCAGGTACTCATTGTGATCCTGAGTTCTAGGAATCACTTGAGCTCTAATTAGCTGTGAGCTCAAGTATTGAGACTTTCTGGGCCTTTGTCTCTTCATCTGTGAAATGAGAGGAATGAAGCTCTTCTCTTTAAGCACTTTTGTCTCTAAAGTAACAGGATTCTAATTCTCCAGAAAAAATCCTCCTGCCATAGAGCATATTACAAAGATGTCTTTTTTTTTTAACTTTTAATTTTTGGGTATGTAGCAGATGTATACATTACTGGGGTACATGAGCTATTTTGATACAGGCCTACAATGTGTAATAATCAGAGATGTCTTTTCTGACAGCTGAGGCTGGTCCTGATCCCTGGGGCTTTCTTTGGTCTTTGCAAGACCCTCCCTACTTTTTGCTTTCTTCTTCCCTAGATCCAAGCTGCTGTTCCAGCCCAGCCCAGACCCTCCTTGACTTTTGCAACACAGCCTTCTCTTCCTTCCTACTCATATTTCACTGAGACACATGTTTTATGTCAGTTTTCAACCCCTAAGTGGTATCAGACGTTTTAGACCTTGTTTTGGCAAAATTTATTCTAAGGAATTGCCTACTTTTTCACCTAGACCTTAGTCTTACCCATGAACAGATGCATTTTATCTAATCAGTTATTTAGAAGAACTGAGAATGTGGTCTTCTGAAATACACATGTATTGTTCTGCTGTTGTTGAATATAACATTCACAGTCAGTAGAAATTCCATACATGAGTGATTGGTTTGGTCTTCAAACTACAGGAGCCGCAAACCAAGTTTGAGGTGTGCTTTAAGTGCAATTGATAACCTGAGTATTAACCCAAACTCGGATTTGATCACTAACACAAAAGTAGCTTTTACCTGATCTTTTTATTCAACATAGCTCATTAACATTAGCTTGTAAAGAAGAGAAATTACTTTGAAAAAAAAACCACAAAGGAATGACAACAGCGATTTTGTTAATGAATCCCACCTCACTCTTTGTGTCTCAAAGGCAGCGTAAGCAAAGTAATAAGCTATGTATCTATTTGGAAAACAGTCTCAAATTAAGGAGCTTATTCAGATGCCATTGTAAAAATAATTTTCTGAAATTGTGGTCTATCAACAGGAGATAAGATGGCACTTTGTTGTTGCCTGCAGAGGCCCATTAGAAATATTCTATTTCAGAAGCAAATCACACTGTAAATACCACGTTCAGATTCATTTATTCCTACAATAGCATTTTTGCAAAGGTGCAATTTCATAATTTGACTTAGCACTGATAGTCCATCATCATTTCGAAGCTCTTTGTAACCACTGGTTAATTCACACATCCTTGGGAAATGGTTTAGTTGTACCAGACCCATTTTTAAAGGAAATGCCCAAAATGTATAATGATAAAGTAGCTTTTCAAAGGCTAAACAAGGACACAGATGTGTTTTAAACTTGTTTTCTTTCTGAATGTGTCCTTAGCACATCTGACTAGAAAATTCTGAGCAATTTAAACATAGATGTGTTTGTCACCAATAAAGACTAAAGAGCCCTATTAATGATTCAATTACAGACAGGAAACTTGATTTAAAAAATAATTAAAATAATAAATGCAATTCCTTCAAGATGCAAATGTAAACAGGACCTAAAATGAGTGAATATATTAATTGCACTTTTCTCCTCCATTTGGTCCTCCTGAGCCATATTTTTGTTAAAGCAAGTGCTCAACAGAGGACTAACTTCTAAAGTTATTCAGCTAATTCCCAGCATTCATTGGAAAATGTCTAGTATTTCTAAACACTGTTATGAGAAAAAAAGGATTTGAACTGTCAACTCCCATTATTTTTGTCATTACACCTTTCCTGAGACTGGCCTTGCGACTTAAACTGTTCCTGTTTCTTATCAATGTTGTTTTAGGGTTTGGTTTATATGTGGAATATTATACAAGTCCTGAGATTGATGTTGAACATGAGGTCATGGTTAAACATTCATCACAACATGTGCTTAAAAATATATATAAGTGGTAATAAATTCAGAACTTACAAACTCAGAAATTGAGGGAGATTCAGGCACTTTCCCAAGCATTGTTTCTTGGGACACCAGAATTCTTCTTCTGAAAACTTCATTTGTTGCTTACTACCACATTCATTCATTCATTCAATAAATATTTATTGACCAACCAGTATGTGCCGATCACTGTGACAGCTGATAGCGATAGTGATAGAGACAGTGATAGATCAGTGAACAAAACAGGCATCATTCTCTGCCCTTGTGATATTTATTCTCTAGAAAGACACTGACAAGTAGAAGAGACCTGCTACTCAGGGGCTGTTCTCCGAGTGGCCTCCATGCCTTTCCAGCTTGCAGAACCTCATTATCTTCATCTGCAGCCCCCAAGGCAGGCCCACCTGGGACCTAGATCATGCTCTAAACAAGACGCATATAAAAAACATCTGGCAGAGGCAATTGTTGGCTGAGGATCAGGTTTGTTCCTGGTTGCTGGTGCTCTCTACTTGTAACCCTCTGCTGGGGTCCTAGACCCTCTGAGATTCAGCCATCAGCTGGAATACTCTTGTTTCCCAAGGTCACTCAATCCCCCGACCCTGGACACTTGACTAGCATATGCGTATTCTCCATGTTAGACACCCTCTGCTAGCTCTAACTTAGATGTTTGTCTTCTTTGCCTATAATTCTAGGTCCCAATCAACCCCTTTACACTCACCAGCCTGCTGTGCCTCATACTCTGGAATGACAGGCCTTATCTCTTCAAAGGGGACTGAACCAAGTCAGCTCTGACTTTTTGGAATTGGTTTATGGTCTTGGCGTCATTTTACTGACTCTTCAAGTGGCACAAATTGAACAGAAACAATAAATAGAAACTGTAGGTCGTCTTTTCTTCCCCACATCCCAAGCCGGGGTCTAAAAATAATAATTATCCAATAAATGTTAAAAACTAAATACATTAGTAGAATGCTTTGTCTTTCCATTTCACGCTTATTTCTTCCCACGAAAGAACCCCAGCCACTCTCTGAAGGTGACTGGCGGCAGTAAAATTAGAAAGAAAGGTACGTCCTGAAGGAAACATGGAAAGGACTCCACCAGTGATAGAATTTGAGAGGAGATGGAGGCCAGGATGTTAATGATGATACAAATGTTTCCATCTTTGGGTCCGAAAGAACAGTGGTACTAGTAACACTAAGAGTAAATAAAGCAGCTGGGCGCGGTGGCTCACTCCTGTAATCCTAGCACTTTGGGAGGCCAAGTCGAGTGAATCACTTGAGGTCAGGAGTTCAAAATCAGCCTGGCCATCATGGTAAAACCCCGTCTCTACTAAAAATGCAAAAATTAGCTAGGCGTGGTGGTGCACACCTGTAATCCCAGCTACTCGGGAGGCTGAGGCAGGAGAATCGCTTGAACCTGGGAGGCGGAGGTTGCAGTGAGCCGAGATGGTGCCATTGCACACTAGCCTGGGCGACAGAGCAAGACTCTGTCTCGAAAAAAAAAAAAAAAAAAAGGCCGGGCGCAGTGGCTCACGCCTGTAATCCCAGCACTTTCGGAGGCCGAGGCGGGCAGATCATGAGGTCAGGAGATCAAGACCATCCTGGTTAACACGGTGAAACCCCGTCTCTACTAAAAATACAAAAAAAATTAGCCGGGCGTGGTGGCGGGCGTCTGTAGTCCCAGATACTCAGGAGGCTGAGGCAGGAGAATGGCGTGAACCCGGGAGGCGGAGGTTGCAGTGAGCGGAGATCGCGCCACTGCACTCCAGCCTGGGCGACAGAGCGAGACTCCGTCTCAAAAAAAAAAAAAAAGGCAAATACAGCAAGAGAGTAGGTCCTATTTCGAACATTTTGAGAGGCTTTTAAACATTGCAGGTAGAGATGTGCAAAAAAGAACTTGAGAAACGGGAAACTGGGCAAAGCTGGACATAGAAATGTGGGAATCACTTGTTGGCTAAAGCTGTAGAAATTGACTTTTCGTAGAAGGGCAAGGAGAAAAAGAAAAGAAATAAATGTCTCGAGAAAAAGCCCCCTTGATGGGATGGATTAAGGTTAGAGGGTGTTCCAAGGACAATGGGAAGGCGTTATGAGAGAGGTACCAGTTACAACAGTGTCTTGCTACAGAAAGCTGCTGATGTGAGCATTTCAAAAACGGAAGCATTGTTCACAGTGTCAGGTGCTAGAAAGAAATACAGGAAATTGTGGACATGGGCGATACAGTAACTAGGCTCACCAGGACCCTTGAGGCAGCAGCTTCACCCAGCCCTTGGGGCAGTACATCCTAACACAGACATTCAGCATTGAATGCATATGAAGAGACACCGCGCATTTCTTTGGATTTGAAAGAAATACACGCAGAACATTCTAAGACATTCGAAGCAAGATGATCAAGATCTACGGTGATAAAAATGTATTTCACCATGTAGTCTTAAGAGGAAGGGTGGAATTAACTTGGAAAACTTATGTAGCCCTCTCACAGAGGGCAAATATGTTTGATATCACTTAATACTTCTGACTGATTAGTAGTGGCCATCTGTAGTACATTTGAGAAACTTCTTAGAAAGAAATGGCTTAATAGGTTGCAGTGTTCAGTGTGGGCAAGAGGAAAAAGTGGCAGCACAAGTGCCCCAAAACTGCCATCTCTGCTCCATCTATGAAAAGATAATGTGATTCATAAAAATAATATTTTAGAAAATATTTAATTTTTATTACATTAAAAAGTGGACTGTTTTGGAAATAGGTTAATACTCATTTTTAAATGGGTACTAACTTTATTTGGGGCTAACATTTCTATAAATTAAGAAGAACTTTATTTGGGACTAACATTTTCATAAATTAAACAAAAAGGCATGTATATTTATTTTTCTTGAGCACAAAATTATCTGAAATGAATTTTAAAATATATATTTTTGGCATATATTCTTTCTGCTTATTTTCTTTGCATTTAGAAATATGCATTTTTTAAAAAAATTGAGGCCAGGCATGGTGGCTCACACCTGTAATCCCAGCACTTTGGGAGGCCAAGTCAGGCAGATCATTTGAGGTCAGGAGTTCAAGACCAGCCAGGCCAACATAGTGACACCCCATCTCTACTAAAAGTACAAAAAAATTAGCTGGACATAGTGATGCATGCCCATAATCCCAGCTACTCCAGAGGCTGAGGCAGGAGACTCACTTGAACCCGGGAGGCAGAGGCTGCAGTGAGCCGAGATCGCGCCACTAAACTCCAGCGTGGGCGACAGAGTGAGACTCCATCTCAAAAAAAAAGAATAATGAGATTATTTTCTATAGACAGCTTTTATCCTACCATTTTCTCTTGAAATTACATGTAAAACATTATATTAGGCTCTTAAATATATATATTATATACATATATATGTATATATATAAAACTTTTGTTTTATATATAAACCTGTACGTGTACAGGTTTGTTATATTGGTAAATTGCATGTCACAAGGGTTTAGTGTACAGATTATTTTGTCACTCGGGTAATAAGCACAGTACACAATAGGTAGTTTTTTGATCCTTTCCCTCCTCCCACCCTCCATCCTCAAGTAGACCCTGCTATCTGTTGTTCTTTGCGCCCATATGTATTCAATGTTTAGCTCCCACTTATAAATGAGAACATGCACTATTTTATTTTCTGTTCGTGCACTAGTTCATTTAGGATGATGGCCTCCAGCTGCGTCCATGTTCCTGAAAAGGACATGATCTCATTCTTTTTTATGGCTGCGTAGTATTCCGTGGTGTACATGCACCACATTTTCTTTATTCAGTCTGCCATTGATGGGCTTGTAGATTGATTCCATGTATTTGCTATTGCTAATAGTGCTATAAAGAACATATGTGTGCATGTGTCTTTATGGTAGAATGATTTATATTCCTTTGGGTATATACCCAGTAATGAGATTACTGGGTCAAATGGTAATTCTTTAAATATTTTTAAAAACAAGCATTTGGTAAATCACATCTTTCTAAAATAATTTTTATCTAAATGGCCTAGAATATTTAGGACATTTTCAATTTTTCAAGATTATAAATAATTATAAATTATGATGGAATGAACATCTGTATGCATAAATCTTGATGTATGCTTAGGGATTTCTTTAGAAGAGATTTCTAGAAGTGTGGTTGCTGAACTAAAGAATAAAACCAGTATTAAGACTCTTGATATATACTCCAATTTGCTTTAGAAGATAATTCATGGAGGTAGGGGAGGTTGGGGAGGTTTACTTTAAAACTATATCTATGTTTTCAAAGAAATTGATTTTTTTTTATGGCACAAATTGATATTTTAAATCAGGAATTGGCACACTTTCTGAAAACGGCCAGATAGGAAATATTTTAGGCTTTGCATGCAAGACAGCCTCAATCTCAACTGTTCAGCTCGTCCGTCATACTGTGAAAGTAGCCATAGACAATAGGCAAATGAATGAGCATGGTTGTGTTCCAATAAAACTTTATTTACAAAAACAAGCAGTCAGATAGGTTTGATCTACAGGCCATAGTTTGCTGACCTCTGTCTTAATTGAGAGTCCTGTTGTTTTGTGAAAATATTTGAATTGTGACTGTCAAGAATTGGGAGGCATGCTTTGCAAAATTCCCTTTATGAAGATTTGAGCCTATGGGATCATGAATCCTAGTTATAGTCTTGGGAAGGGAGTAAATCTGCTTTTGTTGCAAAGCGATTTGGAAACTAAGCAAGGAAGCTATGAATCAGCCTGTCATTTCAACATATGCAGAGTATGGAAAAGTCCATAAAGTTAGGCTTCTGTTTGCCTCTGTCAGGCAGCTGTAGCTCTGCCCTGAGTCTTTTCTTTGTGTACTTTCTTGAGAAATTCAGTCCAACTCCCACAAAAGTAATCACAACCATGTTTGCAAGTTAATTTCACACAATATTGATTCAATCAAAGTCTCTATCACTCATTAATTCCAGCATTTCTACACAATTCCTAGGAAAACAAAGCTTGAAGCTGCAAGGAAAGAGTCATCTGAGAAATAACTTTGTTCTCATGAAACCTACCCCATTGGGAATATTTTTCCCAGATGTTAGGCATACAGTTGCTTTTCCTTAGGTGACCCTTTATTGAGCAGCTAAAAGACATCATTGACTACCTTTAACAAAAGTGTAAATAACAAAGGAAATCAACCATAATTTCTGAAATAATATGTCTTAATTAGCAGTTATCTGTCAAGGAAATTGTAAACTGACCACAGGGATAAGATATGTTTTACCATATTAAGTCGTTGCCTGGCCTGTCTTAATCTCTTGTTGCTTCTGAAGGTGCTTTGAATTCAGAATCTTTATGTCAAAATAGAGGATGAAGGAAGCTGCTTTCAGTGATTCTCAGATCTTACATAGATGCAGGAGCGTGCACACACACACACACACACACACACACACACCCTTCTGACCCGCAGAATGCAAAAGCAGCTGCCTTCGTAAACACTACATCAGAGTCCGGCAGTGGTTTAACACTCATTGTCCTGCCTCTTTTATTTAAGCCAGAGAAACAATGTCAGCTGGATGCAGACAGCTCTCTGCCATGAACAGAAGTGTTTTTGCAGGCTAGCCCAAGCAAGTCACAAAGAGTTGGGGGGAAAAATGGATTTAGCCTTTGCAAATTAATATAAACAATCACTTCCCTACATGTATGACAGCTGGAGTGAAAATTTTGGTTAGAAATATTTTTTACTGGCCTGGCACGGTGGCACGCCTGTAATCCCAGCACTTTGGGAGGCTGAGGCAGGCAGATCACGAGGTGAGGAGTTCGAGACCAGCCTGGCCAACATGGTGAAACCCCATCTCTACTAAAAATACAAAAATTAGCCGGGCGTGGTGGTATGTGCCTGTAGTCCCAGCTACTCGGGAGGCTGAGGCAGAAGAATCTCTTGAACCCAGGAGGCGGAAGTTGCAGTGAGCTGAGATCATGCCATTGCACTCCAGCCTGGGCAACACAGTGAGACTCTATCTCAAAGAAAAAAGAAAAAAAGAACAGATTTTTTTTTTTTTTTACAAAGAGATCCCAAAATTGTGTTCCCGTTATCATAGACTTTTAGTCATGGTATATGATTTTTTAAACCTATAGAATTTTACCCATGTACTGTTTGGCAGCTAACGGAGAATCTGACCTCTCTAGTTGATGGGTAGAGAAAGTGGAGTTTAGGCAGGAAGTGACTTGCCCAGTGAGTGGGTCCACAGTGAGAACTTGGTTCCCAGGATTCCCGAGACAACGATCCCCTCACTGAACACACTTGTCTTCAGCCATATTGCTTTCCCTACTTCTTACTTTTCCAGGTAATGCATAATCACGATCTGGTGTTTGGGAGTGCATGCACCCATTTTGCAGCTAGACCTTCAGGGGTTTATAACTTATGCTGTGTCATCCTTAAGGGCAGAACAGGGACCAATGGGTAGAAATTATAGCCCTAATATACCATGAAAAGGTTTCCAACATGCATCAATTATTATTTTCCTAGGATGTCCACATTATATCTTGAGCTATTTTGACTTGAAAGGTGCACAAAAATTTTTTAAATCATTTTTGTAGATTATATATGTTTGTAAAGTGCCATCCAGCACATTGGAATAGTTATTCACCTAAATATATGATAGCAGATCTTCAGCACTGAGTTACCAATGAGATCACACTAAATCATTGATTCACATTCTCCTCCCCATGTGCTATGGAGTAGTTTATTGTACTACCACAAAGTGCTCATGCCTAGGCTGGCAGAACACACCATCATGGAGCACAATGCTCTACAGCAAGTCATTCTTCAATTTCAAAGAATCGATTGGACTGTTTACATTACTTTAAGTCAATCTGGTTGCATGGATGCTTCTGCTTTTTGAATGTCATTGCTTAGACTCAAGACATATGGGTTTCTACGCTATTTCTACTCGTGTGACAGACTGCCTCGAAAAGCAGCGAGCTCCCCTTCCACCAGAAGCTTTCAAGGGGTGGCCAGATGCCATCTGTGAGGAGTGCCATGCATTTCTGTAAAGCCTCAGACCTAGACTGAATTGGATCCACAAATAAATGGGGAGGAGTCGACTGTTGAATGCCAACCATGTGGTCTTTTGTTTAGATGGGGTCATTCTCATTTCATCCCCCAGAGAACATAAGGAAAGACACAGCTTATTGCAAAGCTCTGTTTGAGTTGAATAATGTCATTGGAATGGCTGCTAGGGGACCATCATCATACACTGGGGTTCTGGTGCCCTAGTGCTAAAGAGTGGGAAGACCAGTGAGGTCATAATTGGTAATAAGTAAATAAATAGGCTTTCCTTTTTGAAAACCCTTGAAAGAGGGGTCTATGAGAAGGGTCTTATAGAACAGGACAGGGTTGACTGACAGAGAACTCACAGAAAGCAAAACTCTCCGAGGTTTCCTTTTGGTAGTATTGGTTTTCCTCCCCATTGTCTTCTTAGCTTTCTCAATTTTTTGCTGTGGTGAAATAGTCCATCTGGGGGAGGGAATTTCATTCAAAGAAAGAAAAGTCAATCAGTGAAAGAAGACGGAATGGAGACCAGAAATAGAAAGAATTTTAATGAGAACATGTCTTGGGTCAACTCCTAACCTAATTACCATGATGTCTTTCCGTTATTTTCAACTATTTGGCCTGGGTGTGTGTGTTAACCAAATGACATTGAGTTATTTCCCAGAACAGCTAAGTGCCACACAGGAAATACTTGCTGCTTCATGTGATTTGGTTGAATCCCCAATTTATAGCTTGAAGGAAAAACAGATTCTCAAGATTTGGGAAAAAATCAGAACCTACATTTCTTATTTCTCATTGTCATGACAATATTATTTGATGTTAATCAGAGAAAACACTGGAGCTTATATCAGTGTATATCATATGCCAGTATCATAGTGAGTACTACACGGGTATAGAAAGATGGACAATGACTTGTTTATTGTCCTTGAAGGGGTCACGGTCAAGTGGGGAGTCAGGACTTGCAAACAGATATGTTATATCTTAAGAAGGTGAATGCTATAACTAAAATGTAAATAAAATGTTTTCTAAGTTGGTTCTCAGTCTGTTTGCTAAATGTGCAAAAGCACATTTAACATTTACTTTCTTATCATTAACCACCAACCTCTGACTTCGAGACACTGAAACAGACAGAACAGCCATCTGCAAGTTCTGGCTTCATCATTTTGTTTCCTTATTACAATGAAGTAAGGCCCAGGTCATTGTCAATTAGAAATGAAATAAAGTAGAGTTTAAATACGAAACTGTTTACCGATGCTCGTACCTAAAAAGTATGGAAGGAAGGGGCGAAGAACTACGCTATAATCCCCTGGGATTGAAAAGTTTATAATCTATTTCAAAAGATGAAGTTTATCCAAATAATGAGATAGTAAATGGAAGAAGATAATTTATTAAGTGCCCTCTGAGTGGTGCAGAGAAATCTACGATAAGAATTCAAAGCATCCTTTCTTCTTGTCAGGTAATTAACAAAGAAGGATGTGTTCCAAGATAAGATGCATTCAGGAAAGAAGGTCTTTCGAAAATGTTTGTTTGTTTGTTTTGGTACACTTTGATCTACTCACCCAGTTTAGAAAGAAGGTAGAGGAAAAGCTTTGTTCTCTCCCTCACTTCACTCTTCCATGGCAAGGTTCAGAGACAGGTGTGATTAACTAGAAATAAATGCAAAATTCTTGAGTGACTCTTGAGGGACAGCTTTTTGCCTGAACTGGTTAGCTCATAATGAAATCACGGGGGAAAGATTCGCTGCCTTGGACAAAGATGTACCCAACTTTGAAATTATGAGCTGTGACTCTAAAGTTGACCCTAAAAACAGACCTAAGCAGTCCTTTTACATGGAATGATGTCTCCAACTAGGAAGTCATTGACTATCCTCCCATTTCTCAAAAACAGGCCACTTACCAACCATGGGGATAAAACTAAACTTTTTTGGTGGAAGTCATTATTCTTATTTCCAACCTCTGAGACCCTCAAGGTTGCTGGGGCTCTTCATGCAGTCCTTCTGTCCCTCTTTCATATTCTGAACTGATGTTTGCTTCGCTCACCCTCCCTGGCTGCTAACCAGGAGGGGACCCCTGCCAGGGCCATTGCTCAGAGGAATCTTTGTGTTTCTCCAAGCCCTACCTCCTCATTAACAGCAGAGCAGCTGCAACTTACTTCTCCTGCAACTTCATGGAGTCCTGGCAAATTGCCTGTCACCTCTGCCATAGATACCTAGTAATGTACCCTCCAACAGAGGATCTCATCTGGAAAATAAGAGTGGCTGGCAATTTAGGGGAAGTTCTTATCCAATAGCCATCTTTTGATCAAGGAGGAGCCCACAACCTCAGAGGAAATCTTTCCTGTTTACAGACTTCTGGGGCTTTGAAAGCCCTGGTAGGCTGTGGGCCAGCCATCCTTAGCTTTTACGCAAAGGGGCCAAACAGGATGAGACCAGGATGGAAACTGCATATCATAGGAACCCAGAAGGGCAGGAAGTAACAACATAAGAAGGAATTCTTGATTAAAAGCACAGTTAGAAGGTTGGTGTTGGGTGGGGTAGGGGATAATGACATTAAAATGCGTCTAGTTTGTATGTGTGTTTGTTATAATAAAGCCATTAGCCCATCTCCTTCAGTTGCGTTTCCGTTGTTACATTATTCTTCACTTTGGAGAAATTGGAAATTTTTTTTTATTATACAGAGACTCTGTACTAAGTAGTCTATTTGGAGGAAAATCAAAACTCCTTTCTCTCTCTCTCTGTCTCTTGCTCTCTTTTTCTTTCTTTTTATAAATTCTCTATGTGAAATAGAACCTAGGAAAGACCTTGTTATCCTTTGCAGAATTCATTATTCTAGAACTAATTATTGGGATATTGAAAATAAGCAATGTTTATAAAGGGTAAAGTTGCTATCCATATGTTCTTTCTACACTTATTCCCCAAGAATGACACAGATGTTTGTGAACTTTTTAAAAAACGAATCGCTCAAAAAGTGGCATTATTATGAAAGGAACAATTTTTCTCCAAAAACTTTTTTTTCTTGGTGTTGTTTGCTGTTGAAATCCTGCTTGTGGAGTAGGGATGTCCAAAAAACACCCCTTTAATTTTTTAATTCCTCTCCTGACACCACCACAGGGCATATGAGTGGCTGAGAGTCACGCGCACTGGCCCCATGTCCACACAACACAGTGGACCGTGATCGTCTTTTTCCAGACAGAAGTCAGTAGTAACATGTTTTATCATTGTACTCCTATGCCAACCAGAGAATAAATTGTCGTTACCAGATGGTTCAGTGTTGCAGAAAATGTGTTCCTACAGAATTCTGCATCAGCCTCCTTGACTTCCACCCTGCAGGTGATATTTATGGACTGTTTACAAGTTGCTCACATATGGCATTCTAAAGAGGTTTGTAACTTTTATACGCTGTCATCCAGTTTATTTATTTTATGAAAATTCCACTCCAAAGGTCACCCTTGTTCCACCTACCTCCCTAACTTCAGGCCAAAGAGAAAATCCTGAATGTAATCTCAGGACAGAGGAGCCAAGCGAACAGGCTGTCAAGCCCTCGACATTCAGTTCTCCCCATGCACCAAACTCTGCTCCTCTGGACTGCAGGCATAACCCAAATGAGGACAGCACCGAGCCTCTCTCCTATTTGAATAATACAACATTTGTGTTGTTTTGTGTGGCAACGTCCTGATTTGGACTTTGTTCGGCTCCCATGGAGGAGAGAATGGGGCAGCAACCCCATGGAAAGGGGTGCAGCCAGTATGAACCCCAAAAATCTGAGACAGGTCTCAGTTAATTTAGAAAGTTTATTTCGCCAATGTTGAGGATGCATGCCCATGACACAGGTCCTGATGACATGTGCCCAAGGTGGTCAGGGCACAGCTTGCTTTAATACATTTTAGGGAGACATGAGACATCAATCAACATATGTAAGATGAACATTGGTTCAGTCTGGAAAGGGCAGGAGAACTCGAAGTAAAGGCGGGACAACTCAAAGCAGGGGAGGGGCTTCCAGGTCAAAGGTAGATAAGAGACAAATGGTTGCATTCTTTTGAGTTTCTGACTAGCCTCTCCAAAGGAGGCAATCAAATAAGCATTTATCTCTGTGAGCAGAGGGGTGACTTTGAATACAATGGGAGGCAGGTTTGCCCTGAGCAGTTCCCAGCTTCACCTTTCCCTTTAGCTTAGTGATTTGGGCGCCCCAAGATTTATTTTCCTTTCCCACCAGCATTGGGGGTTGAGATGTGCACACACTCAGGAACCACTGCAGCATCCTCCTGTCAGATAATCCTGCCTGATTCTGTCCAGGCCGGGCGGGAGGAACTCGAACTCTTTGGAAATCCTCTCCTGGCCGCTGTCCAAAGTGGAGCCTTAGAGCTCCCACCTGATGCAGTGACAGATTTGTACCTGAGTTCTTTCTGACACAGATGCACTTTGTTGATGGACATTTGCATCCTTCACTATGTTTCTCCTTCCAGGTGGACACTCTTGAAGTGTGTAGAAATTTTATTGCTGTTAGAAGACCAATGAAAATAGGAGAGAAGGAACTTTCTTGTCCCCTTGAAAGCTCGTTGGTGATTGGAAACACTTTGACACCAAGGTTAGAAGAAAACTCTAGGCCTAAATGTACACAGGGTGTCCCCGTGATAGCAAAGAAAAGAGAAGGAGCAGGTTGTACAGGAATACAGGGGACTGTGAAGATGCTAGACATTGTGAAAGTCAAGCAAAGTGTTCATCTTGATTTGGTAGGAAATGGGAGTTAGCAGGCAGTTCAGAGTGTGAACTTTTTCGAGTGGCTTTCTAAGTCAATTTTTTACAGCCGTCTCTTTAGAGAAGTAGAGAGCAGTCAATAACCAAGAGTTCAGATGGAGTTCAGGGTCCCCCTAAAGTCCCCAGCTTCTATCAAGGCAGCGAGGATCTCTCCAGGATTCTCAAGCAAGCATCGTCATCAGAATCAATTACCTGTAGCAATTGGTTTATTTTTTTTAGAGACGGGGTCTCTCTCTGTCATGCAGTCTGGAGAGCAGTGATGCAATCATAGCTCACTGCAGCCTCAAACTCCTGGGCTCAAGGGAGCCTCCTGCTTCAGACTCTTCAGTAGCTGGGACCACAAGTGCGTGCCACTAAAACCAGCCGATTTTTAAATTTTATTTGTTTGTAGAGACTGGGGTCTCACTATGTTGCCCAGGCTGGTCTTGACCTCCTGGCCGCAAGCAATCCTCCCACCTCAGCCTCTCAAAGTGCTGGCATTACAGGTGTGAGCCACCACGCCCTGTCACCTGTAACAAATTTTTTCAAAAAATACCTAGAAGTGGGCCTGCCTCAGACATCTTGATCTGAAATCCTGGGATGGTTGTCAGGCAAGGATCAGAGGCAATTCTGGGGAGTACAACAGATTGAAGGGCCTGTTTCAGCAGCTGGTGTCTGACCCAAAAGCTGGTATGTTGTGCTCAGCCTGCAGTGCTGATGGACTCCTGCTTGGAAGAGCTATGAATACAAAGAAGATAGGTAGTTCTAAGGATTGGGGCAGGGTCAGGGGGGCAGGGACTGCTTTGTAGGGTGGGGTGCAGGTTTGGCTCATTTTCTAGAAAAGGCGTAGCATCGTTTTCAGATCAGTAACTTTGGGTCAGACAGAGCCAGGGTTAGACACTTCCTCTGTGACCTTGAGCAATGTAACCTCATCATGCCTCATTTATCTCAGTGACCAAGTGGGGCTAAAAATAGTGCCTACCTTGTGGGGTCCTTAAAGTATAAAACAAACCAAGCTTATGCAGCAAAGTACCTAGTGAAGTTCCCAGCACAAATAAGTGCTCAATGCATGGTAGGTAGAAGTAGTAATAGCAGTAGTGGTGGTGGTGAGAGTATTTTGATTAGTGGGAAGAATATGAAACTTTTATTCTGACAACATTCTAGCCTAGGCCTGGAATATGACAGCTAGAATTCGTGTGGTGTCTACGGTGTGCCTGGTGGTATGCGTGTAAATATAATCTTTAATCGCCACAAGTACACTGCAAGATACTATCTTTCTCATCTTACAAAGGAGGAAACTAAGTATAAAAAGATGAAAAGATCTGCCTAAGAATACATAACTTGAAATGGCAGAACAAGGGCTTAGAGGCAGCTGCCTCTGATGCCAAAACCAACATGCAGCCAAGGACGATGCCTGGCCAGATACAGAATTATGAGACCTCCTGCTCCCCAGCCAGCAAGGAGGAGATTTGCGGAGTTCTTGTCTTCATAACGGATGCTACTGGGGTTCTTTCCAGGGTAGTAAGTGAAAAGCAGTTGGAGATCTTGGGAATTCAGGCACTCTATATGGTTAGAACATTAAATGGGCCCATCGTCTTCCAGGCTGAAAATTCATGAGGTGTTTCTCAGTGTAAAGAGTGGCCGTGAAGAATAGCCCAGCGCCAGAACAGGAGGGTGAGAGCTGTCTGTGTGTACAGCCCATTCTTCCGATCCATGAGATGAGACTCTCTACGCCCTGGCAGTAAACCCCAGTGAAGCAGAGATGACAGAGGTCTACCTGATTACCCAGCAGGGAGTCACTAGTCACCCAGTGTAGAAATAAGTTTAATGTCACTTTCACACACTGTTCCTGGGACGAGTGTTGAAAATATATGCTTTCTTGCAAGTTCCTTTTCAACAACTGAAAAAATATTTCCAGAGGATCCCAAGATCTCAAAAACTTGCTTGGCTCCATACAAACATGTGTATTTTCGTGCCTGCCAAAATGAGCAAGATTAACAGGATAACTGAATTTTGACTGTGAACTGAAGTTGATGAGTATAGTATCAACAGGAAAATGTGGCACTAGTTTTCAGAAGATAATATGATTCCAGGGGATTTTTTTTTTCTTAGAATAGCATCCTAGAATCTGGTTTTCATAGGGCAGGAGACCATACCCCCATCTAACTGTAGGATCCCAGAAAATCATCAAGGGGTGACAGCCTCTGTTCCTTCCTCTCCTCCTTCTCCCTCTGCCGTCAGGACAGAGGGTAGTAAATCCTGCCTTTAAACCTCAAAGTGTTTGAAGGAAAAGTAGGTTTCTTGGAACAAGATGTACTTTTTTTTTTTTTTTTTTTTTGAGACAAAGTCTCGCTCTGTCTCCCAGACTGGAGTGCAGTGGCACAGTCTCAGCTCACTGCAACCTCTGCCTCCTGGGTTCAAGCAATTCTCCTGCCTCAGCCTTCCAAGTAGACTGGGACTACAGGCACATGCCACCAAACCCAGCTAATTTTTGTATTTTTAGTAGGGACAGGGTTTCACCATGTTGGCCAGGCTGGTCTTGGACTCCTGACTTCAGGTGATCCACCCACCTTGGCTTCCCAAATTGCTGGGATGAGAGGCGTGAGCCACCGCTCCCAGCCATGTACTTTAGCCACGTAAGATATAAGGTAGGAAATACAATTTTCAGAGGCCCCAGTAATGTTCCAGAATCGTTATATTCCATCCAAATCTAAAGAAACTGACAAATTCATTGCAAATGGCTTTTAAGAACATCCTTGGAGAAAAACTACCAACTCATAGGTTCCAAATGCAATATTTATCCCTCAGAAGTGTGCTGCTTCCTGCAATAAGGCACACAACCCCAACCCACAGCCTTGACTAAATTTACCATAACTTAAGTGGCATCAGGTAGAGAGATGTTCAGTGCTTGCTTTGCATTACAGCTTATGTTGGCTTCCAATTTGTGATTTATAATCAATTCTTAGGATATTTAAAGAGCTCAATGAAAGGTTTTTCTTTGTTTAAATTGGTTTTTTATTCTTTTTTTTTTCTTTTGGCACGATCTTGGCTGACTGCAAACTCCGCCTCCTGGGTTCAAGTGATTCTCCTGCTTAAGCCTCTCAAGTAGCTGGGACTACAGGCATGCACCACCATGCTCGGCTAATTTTTGTATTTTTAGTAGAGGCGGGGTTTCGCCATGTTGGCCATACTGGTCTTGAACTCCTGGCCTCAGATGATCCATCTGCCTCAGCCTCCCAAATTGCTGGGATTACAGGCATGAGCAACCACGCCCAGCCTAAATTGGATTATTAAGACTGAAATGCTAGCCTTGATGTCTGGGCTCTGCTGGCCCAGTGCCTTCCCAGGGACTCACTGACTCTTGCCTAAACCAATCTAGGGGTGAAGCCTTGGAACACAAAGCTGCCAAATTACCTTTTCCCATCCCCTCTGAAGCTTGGAGGTCAGAAGGGACCCCTCATGCCTCCAGCTGAGCAGTTACTGCTGGGGATCAACCCTCCCCAGGGCCCCGTCTGTATCCAGACCTCCTGCAAGGGTCCAAAAACATCTTGTCCTTCTTCTCTTCAAAGAATAGGTCTGTTCTGAGGATTCCAGATGGCTCTGGGCTGGCTTGGGTGTAAGGAGCAGGATTAAGATGAAAAGAGTACTTTTTCCTAAAACCACTTAAAGTAACTAAAAGAAAAGGAGACCAGAAGGCTCCAGAACAAACTTACTAGGGAGGCAACCTGGCTTCAAACAGGCCTTCCTGTCTGGCCGTGGGTTCCTGTCCTCACTGAAAGGCCCGAGGATGGAGCTGAAAGAAAACACAGTATTTCCCCAACTTAAGGAATGTATGACCCTCTTTTAAAGGGAAACATTTCCAAGGATCTTTGGTGTTGAAGATCACTCTTTTATTCTAATCTTATTATATACCTACAAAAAATTCACTCACACATTTTTTTACCCTTAGTATTCCCATACAACAAATGAGTCCAAGCAACTTTACACACTAATCCCAACATAACTACAAAACCCAAACACTCAGATGACAACATTAATTTGGTGTGATGACTGATGGCATTTTGTAGAAGCAAAATTCCTGTTATTGGGTAATATACTAGTAGAACGTACTTGCACTTTAGGCTTTGCTTGTTATTAACTTAATTTCCTTGAGTTTTAGCATAATAGGCAGCCCTTTTAGCCATCATTATTGCCTTTGCTGTTTATTTTTATGTATTTGCTTTTTATCTTTTAATTTGTTTTATCTACTAACAGGCCAAATGATCTAATGGTGTACCCCCAAAATATAATACAGGGAGAAAAATCTTTTGTTTTTTTGAGACTGGGTTTCACTTTATTGCCCACACTGAGTGCAGTGATATGATCATGGCTCACTGCAGCCTCAACCTCCTGGGCTCAAGTGATCCTCACACCTCAGCCTCCCAAGTAGCTGGGACTACAGGTGTGCACCACCATGCCTGACTAACTTAAAAATTGTTTTGTAGAGACAGGATCTGGCTCTTTTGCCCAGGCTGGTCTGGAACTCCTGTACTCAAGCAGTCCTCCCACCTCAGCCTCCCAAAATGCTGAGATTACAGGCGTGAGCCACTGCACCTGGTCTGGGAAGAAAATCTTCTAATGGAAAGTTCTTCACTGCCTATTTATGTCTAGACTGACCACGAATGAACTGTTGCTTATCAATTGTCCACAGACTTGAACATGCTGCCAAAGGCCAGGATGCGGGGTCTTTCGAGTTCAGATCCATGTTACTCCTGTGTTCCCAAGTGATGGCTCACCTCTCCCACCACTGTTTTATTTTTGAACAACTGGAAAACCTTGGCTATATAGGGATTCATGCTTTCCTATCACCGCACTTGGCAGTCATTCAATCATCAACACAAACATATGTGTTGCTACAAAAAGACATGGCAGTACTCCTTATATGGTACCTGTCTAGGTGCTCCACAATGGGTATAACTGCCATTTTTAGAAGATAATCACAAAAATGAAAATCTAAGATTTTTAAATTATTTGATAACTGTGGGGCACTTGAAGAATGCTTTGCTTGAGACCCATTGCCCAAAGTTGATGTAGTATATAGGTGGCATCAGGACAAGTCAGAGACCCTGGGCTATGATGAAACCCAAACACAGCATAACTGTTTTTGAATCATGATGTGTTTGTTGTTAATCAAAAGGGCCTTAGAGATCTTCTAGGGTAATCCCCTTAGGTTGCAGATGAGGAAACGAAGGCCCAGAGAGGTGAAGTTCTGTCCCAGGTTCCCTTACGCCTGGTGAACCCTTCAGGGTTTCACAAAAATGGCATTTTCCTTCTTATCTTCCTCATTAACTTTGAGATACTTACTCTTCTGGTCCCCTTGGCTCTCTTAGCACAGTTATTAGGACATAGATTTTTTTTTTTTTTTTTTGAGACGGAGTTTCACTCTTGTTGTCCAGGCTGAACTGCAGTGGCGGATGTCAACTCACCACAATCTCTGCCTCCCGGGTTCGAGTGATTCTCCTGCCTCAGCCTCCCGAGTAGCTGGGATTACAGGCGTGTGCCACCAATGACCGGCTAATTTTGTATTTTTAGTAGAGATGAGGTTTCTCCATGTTGGTCAGGCTGGTCTCGAACTCCCGACCTCAGGAGATCCGCCCTCTTCGGCCTCCCAAAGTGCTGGGATTACAGGCGTGAGCCACTGTGCCTGGCCAGGACATAGATTTTGATAAAGCATTGCTCTGCAAAGACATCAACTCCATGAAGAACAGTGATGCACATTTGCAGGAAGCTAAATGCCAGGTCACACTCTGGCTATATTCTCACATTCTAAGAACTCATCCCCAAATCCCACACTCACTGAAGCGTTTGAGATATGTAGGACCCCCACCATGACATAAAACTGCACATGCACTTGAAAATTACTAAGCGATCAGCATGTTATTTGGAAGGAATCACACTGATTTTGACTCGAGGTTGCAAAGCCCACAGATTCTACTTAGATCCATTTGCTCACACACCAGCATTGTTCAATAGTAATGTAAAATGAAGAGTGTATTTTAGTTGGTATTTGCGACCTCTTTGGGTTGTCCTGAGGTTAATTCTGAAGAAAGCACATTATCCGTGCTATGACTGTGACAGACAAAAGAATTCACGTTGAGTATGGATGAGTGAAATCCATTCATTCACATGGATATTCAGAAATTGATAAAATCCATCGTGTGGTAATAGTGCCACATCTTTCTTATGCAAATCAGCTAAGTTTTAAAGAATTTTATTGGGTTTTGAGCACGTGTGTGTGTGCATGCACGCGAGCACGTTTTTAGCAGATGGCAGGCATTCTTCCTTCAAAAATAACGAACATGTTTTCTGTTTTCTCTCCCCTCTTTGCTGAATGCTGAGTGAGTGTGTTTTAATAGAAAAAGCAGAGAATCCAGAATCCAGTGCTGACTTTGCTGTGGACGGTTGGTCGTGTGACCTTTAGCAGCCCACATAACTTACGGGGGGCTCTGTTTCCTTATCGGTAGCATTTAGGGGTCAGAGAAGATGCCCTCCAAATTCTCCTCTGTAATTCCGGTCCGTGACAGTTTTCCTTGTTTCTGGCACAATGAAATTAATTGTATGTGACTGAATTCATGAAAAGAGAGTTACCATCCCCATTATAAAGATGCAACAGTCCAAACAGGTTGTAAAATTCTAAGGAGGCCCCTGTTTCTGTTTTCCTCTGCACTGGCTGCCAAGATATGTACTAAAGAAGTTAAAGTTTGTCAGGCCAAAAATATTCCAGGGAAGGAAAAGCCTGGGAAAAAAGCTCCTGTCTGGACCATTGTGTTCAAGTTAATATTTTATAAATGTTTCTTACCTCATCTGAAAAAATAAGGAATTTAAGTATTCCAGATAAAAGTAGATTTTATTATTTTAGTATTCATGATCTCAAACTGAAACAAGACAAATCGGAAGCCTGTCTTCTAAAATTTTCTTGAAGGTAGGGGTTATGGACTACAGAAATGAGGTCATAGGGAAGCTGTGGAATTACTTTCATTGGCGGGCTTTTTTTTTTTTTGAGATGGAGTCTCACTCTGTTGCCCAGGCCAGAGTGCAATGGCACGATCTCGGCTCACTGCAACCTCTGCCTCCCGAGTTCAGGCAATTCTCCAGGCTCAGCCCTGAGTAGGTGAGATTACAGGTGTGTGCCACCACACCCAGCTAATTTTTGTATTTTTAGTAGAGACAGGGTTTCACCATGTTGGCCAGGCTGGTCTCGAACTTCTGACCTCAGGTAACCCACCCACCTCGGCCTCCCAAAGTGCTGGGATTACAGGCATGAGCCACCGTCGTTGGCAGGTTTTACAAACAGGACAGATACAAATCTGCTTATCTGCTGGAACTGGATTAGGTTGGACAAATGAACTCTTCAGGGCCTTTCAAGCCCTACGTTAAGATTGCCACCAAAATTCTCGGATGCCCTCTTTCACCTGCTGGGCTTCAGTGTCAAGGTCAGCATGTGGTCTATACATAGACAACTTACTTTCCTCTCTACTTATATTTGGAATTAAACATGAACCAAGACCATCAGAACACTTCAAAATGCATATATATTTTTTTGAATGAAGATTTTAAAAACCACTTTGTTTATGTAAAAAAATATGCTGGAAAGATAAGAGGGCCTACAATCAAGAGTTTGATATTGTAGAATTTTGCTTTCCAAGAACAATTGGGAAAGAAGTAAATTAGCAGAGAGGATTTGCATTCTTAATCGATACAAGTGGGAAAACCTGTTTGAGAAGTTTATGGAAAAGTTTAAGATGAGAGTCAGAAGACATGGGTTTTCTGACTTCACAACTAAATCTGTGGGCTGGGCACCGTGACTCATGCCTGTAATCCCAGCACTTTGAGAGGCTGAGGTGGGTGGATCACTTGAGCCAGAGAGTTCAAAACCAGTATGGACAACATGGCAAAACCCTGTCTCTACAAAATATTAGCCACGTGTGATGGCATGCACCTGTAGTCGTAGCTACTCTGGAGGCTAAGATGGGAGGATCACCTGAGCCCAGGATGTCGAGGCTACAGTGAGCCGAGATTGCACCACTGCACTCCAGCCTGGGTGACAGATTGAGGCCCTGCCTCAAAAAACAAAATGAAAAACAAAACAAAACAGACAAAAAAACCTAACTGTGATCTTGGCCAACCCAATCTCTTAGAGCCTTAGCTTCCATATTTGAAAATAAGGATATATTGAAACAGACAATTTTCTAGTTTATTTTCAGGTCTATGACTCTTCTAAATTTTCCTTCATTTAATTGATTCTCTGCTTCCAAAAAACACTTCGCAATCTGTGTTTTAAATGTTCATTTACAAACAAGTTTCCAATCCCTTTGAGTTTACGTCTAGAATTCATGCCAACACCATATCTATCAAAAATTGTATATTTGCATCTGTTTGATATGCTCCTACTAATTTCTTACTGAAGTCCAGGTTTCCACAACACATTTCTGTTTAGTACTGGTCTGTGGTTGCTGTTGTTCATAGTTGTCTGGAAAAGTCTTGTCTCCAAATTACAGTGGCTTTCTTTTTCTTGCCCTGAAGCAGCAAATGATGGGAGAAATATGTGTTTGTTTCTGTTCTTCAGAGTCAGAGCTGCTTCAGGCATAAAATTCTTAGCCCTCTAGTTTAATTCAAATGCAATGAGTCACAAAGTAAATGTGAACTCCGGGCTGTGTATTGTGGGGATTGGGCAAGTTAAATTAATTTTTAGAGCCAGATTGCGTTACTTAAACCTAGGATCCTAATTTGCGCTGACAAAAACCATCAAATCAGCCTGCAGAGGTGCCTGAAACTTACTGCCCAGATAATAGCTGACAATTTGAACTTGGTAGTTTTATGGATTGGTTTGTATCTAAAAAGCAGGCAGCTTTTAAAAGCCCTGAATAAAGGTTGCTTTCTGTGGACACCTACGGCGTGACTATTTATAAAAGCACCCAATGATTTTTCCCCTCCTAAAAGTGCTATTGGCAGAATGAGGCTTGGTATTTAATCCACAACCCGCTATGCACTGCCCCCTACAGTGGCAAAGAACACGCAGGGCTGGAAGAAAGAGATCAAGGAAGCATTAAAAATGTCAGGCCACGAGACCATGTTTAAATTATTAGGTGAGATGCCGTCTTGCATTTAACAATGGCCCCACGCACCTTGAGGCCCAACTTCCTCTCTCCTTGGATGTTTTGACGGGTTATTGCAATCTTTTCTGAAATTGAATTTCAGTTTGCTTCAATAGCATTTCCCAGTAAATAGGAGTGACTCTGGTATCTCGTTTGTGAATCTTGATGTAATAATCGGAGGTAATTGAAGCGTGCACAAACCACAGAGACTTATGACATGTTTTTAAACAAGGATTGACTGATACGAAACTAATTGAACAAAAGCTGGAAATCAGATTCCTCCAAGAAACCTTGCACAGAATACAGGGTCTTTCATAATGGCACTGAGTTTGACTTTAAAAGTGGCGTGTTCAAGTTTCCTTATTTTCCTGAAGGAGTTTAGGAGTAAGTTACTGACAGGCAAGGTTGTGACCCAATGACCAGAGTTAATCATCTGGCGACTGGAATTAATCTTTTGTCTGTCCTGTGGTTTGGATTAACCAGGGTCGGTCATCCCCTCATGCCTTGGTGGCCCCTATGAATTAAAAAAAAAAAAAAAAAAACCTCTTGGTAACAAAGACACACAAAATGAGCTTCAAAGGACAGCATTTTGTCCTCTGAAGGACAAACTAAACTAGCACAGATTTGGAAACTTTTTATTTTGTAAATTAATCTTCTGTAGACAGATAAGATTGTAATATTTTATATTTATGCTCAAGCATACACAAATATATGCACATATAGACGTATCACATATAGGCATTCTATACATCCTCAGGTTGCAAAGTGGCTGCAGGACTTATATTCCATTTCAATGGAAGTTAGATACTAAAAGGGAGAAATAAAAGAACAAAACCTGTAATTTACATATCCAAGCTATGCAAGAGACCAAGATTATTAAAGCAGGGCGCACAATGCTCCTCAGCCCCTGGATTTAAAGTGGGGGTGAAAAGCATTTATAGATAAGAATTTGAAATTCAAATGAAGGAACAAGTAGTCTGTCTAAAATGCTGGCCTCCGCAGATACTGACCTTCCGTACAAAAGGTAGCGGATTTTTATTTTCAGGCACTAAAGAAAAGAGAATGAATTGTGTGTCGTGCACTCAGATTAGTGATAACGATAAAACGTAGCAAACCTTTTGATGCTTGGTGCCTAATTGAAGGAAATAGAGGAGAGTGGTAAAGTAAGGAGTGAACATAGCCAGGAGAATAATTAACAGCTTCATCAGGCAAAACTTACCATTCGTATGTGTATCTAACACACGCTAATGTCAGTTGGATTGAGACTTGATGTGGAGCAAATTTCTTTAAAAGATAATGAATTGCCGCTCTTCGAGGAACAATTTGAAATGCGTCAATGTCACCCTTATTTATAACACCACTAGGGAATGGCAGGAAAGTTGAGATCTAAACATTTTATTTCTCTAAACAGGAGTCATGATGACGTGGACCTCATTAGAGTTATCACTCCACCTGTGGAAACTAAAACAGATAAGATTGATATAAGCACCTAGGGATTTATAGACGTAATACCTATTATCACTAATAGGCGTTAGGTAACGAAATCCCAGAAGGTCTTGGTGAGACTAAGCCCCCTAAGTATTTGGCATGCCCTTCTGAAGAGATGTTGTTGTCATTATGGCTATTTTTATAAGGTTTAATGTAATTGGAACAAAAGCAGTACACCCCGCCATGCTTTGAGTTTTCCCAGAAGTGATTTATGTGATTTGTAGAAAAAAATGTCTGAAAGTTTAAGGTGTTCTCTTCCAGAGCTAGTTCCTAAACGATTTAGAAGATTCTGTTTAAGTGTTGTTAAAAGTATGAATATAAAATAGTTTGACTACCTGGGCTATGCGGTGGTTGTTTTAGTTTCTCTTGCAGGTTCATTTTCTCAGTAGCATGAACTTAATCCCAGGGAAACAATACTGTTTTTGATTCTCAGAAAAATTTAGGGTAAGTAGGAAGATATTTCCTACCTAAAAGTATACATTTTATCAGGGAAGTAAATAAGGCACACAAGACCCCCCTAAAAACAGTTGTAGTGCAACATTTGGCAAACTTTTATTCCTTGGCTCCTACTCCCTAATTAAGGGTTTTATACATTCAAGGAGAGGAACATTTACAGGTTATTGAGTAAAAGAAAAGCTTCACAGAATAAATGAACCTTGGGTGGGCTTTGAAAGAGTGAGATTTGAATCAGCAGCAATAAGAAAAAAGAAACATCTAGAAAGGGATGCCAGAAAAATTCTCTAGTTATCTTTAGATAAGCGACATCAGGCTCTTGCCTTTGTCCTTCAAAAGAACTAACATGCCAGGTGAGGTGGTGTGCCTGTAGTCCCAGCTACTCAGGAGGCTGAGGTGAGAGGATCACTTGAGCCTAGGCGTTCTGGGCTGTAGTGCACTGTGCTGATGAGATGTCCACATTAAGTTCAGCATCGATAATGGTGACCTCCTTGGAACAGGGGACCAACAGCTTGCCTAACGAGGGGTGAACCAGCCCAGGTTGGAAACAAAGCAGCTCAAAACTCCCATGGTGATCAGTAGTGGGATTGTGCCTATGAATAGCCACTGCACTCCAGCCAAGGCAACACAGTGAGACTCCATCTCTAAGAAATGAAAAAAGAACTAACACTATCCCAAGAATAGTAACTGGTAGGGACTTGGGGCAGAAACATACCCACAGGATTAGCCAAGGCATGCCTCTTTCTATTTGAGCTTTAAAAATGAAAATCATGTGGCCAATACCTGGACATACATTTGACCTCCAAATCAACCGTTCTAATTTTCATTTTACCCTGACATTTATCTACTAGGATATATATTTTATTTTTTAGGACTGTCATCAAAGTTCACTTTAACCAAATTTAGATACCATTCTTTACCAAGTTTGGGTTAGGGTTAGAAGGAAAGGCACCGTGTTGTTTGCAACCCAGAAAAGCTCGGGCTCACACTCTATCTTGAGACAGCTCTGACGTTGTGAATGGGCTAAGCATGCTCGAGAGACCATGGCAGACAAGCTGCTATGGAAATGTCCTCAAATGATCTTCAGCAGACACAGCTTCCATTTCTCTTACCTTCTCCACAGCACCCATGCTATTGATTGATATCCTAGTCACAGGCAGCAAGGTCCGGACCCAAGGATGAGGCATTGACTCTGTCTATGCCATTCCTTCCACTCCAGACACCTCTATGGGCCTCTGGGTGAAGAATGCAGGAGTTAATTCAGTAGACTCACTAGTCAGGCTAAAGAATTGCCTGTGAAACCCATGGTCTTATCAAGTCAACTAGCTATCTCAATAGTGATGGGGATATAGCTGCAGTAAAGATATTCTCATGTGTAACAGGACACCACCTGTTCATTCTTTCTCTCCAAGCTTCTAAAATAATGACAAGCATAAAACCTCTTTCAGCTTTTCAGAAAAATGGGCTATGTAAATATAAGCTATTACTACTTTTTCCACCAAAAATTATGTATGTCGTACATGCTAAGAATCCTTTCCTGTTTAATTGCAGAGCATCATGAGAGTAGAAATCAGAGCTTCTGCTAGTAGTCTTCTACCATTTGTATGGAAAATTGCCATGGAAGAAATCAATATTATTACTGTTCAAATATTTGCACAGCCTGTGTTTAACGTGCCTGTCACACATTAATGAGAAAGTATTTTTGAAGACATTGTATTTAAAGAAGAAAACTTAGAAAAACATCAAGTTGAAGTTATTATTTTTAATGACTGCCAAATTCAATGTTACTTCTGCTCCAGTAGTATTTGAGCTGTTAACCTGTGTTTTTGAGTGTATGTTCGTTGGTGAATAATTAGGGAGGAATTCCTTAGTAAGTAATTGATATAAAGACCATTTGACTTTGAAATTTACAAAAGCCTATTTTAAATTTAAAATTTATGAAAGTTATGTGTGTGTTTAATTAGTGAAAATGGGTATTTTGCCTATGTCTGGGAAGGGGGATTATTGCAATCTCAGTCATTAAGAAAGGTCTCCTGAATCAATGACATTTTTACAGTGCAGCAATAATCTTATTATATTACACACACGCAAAAATGTTAAATGGACTATAAGATTTGGCATGAAATTGCCTAGTTGCTTGGGTGGGGGGGCGGAGAGAAAATTCAGCATAGCAACTAAACAGCTATAAAAATAGTCATGTTCTCTGTCCAGAATTTGGAGTTCTTGGCTGGCATGCCCAGTTTGTAAAAGAAAAGTCAGCAGAATAAGTTAAGTTTGTTCTGTGGCATCAGAAAGCCAACCCTCAAAATAGATGTGGAAAATGCTTGTGTTAAATGGTCATCCAGGCATTTCTTTGGCTCTCTGGTGCTTGGGGCCATCTATGGGAGACCTGGATCAGCCCTTCATTCTGCCCTGGACCTCTCTCCATTTCCTGGATCCTTGCTCCAAAGAATGATGGGATTATCTTCATTCTCATCACAAGACTCTACCTCTAGATTGCATGGTCCCAGATTAGCAGGAAGGGCAGATGTAGGAGGAGGATGTAGGAATGGAGGGAAAAGCAAGGCATTCAAGGGATAAGAACACAGAGGGGAAGTCTAGTCATCCATCCTTCCCTCTGTGACACAGGCTTCCCACACGTTTTGCAGAGCCTGTGAAATACTTACATGCATACTTGCCATCCCTGTCTTGCTAAAGTAATAACATCTCAACAACCTTTATGCAATTAGAGAAGCCGTTTCTTTGCTTATCTGTGTTTGGGCCTGTTTCTTAGGTGTCAGTCTAATAAATGAGTTCTTTAAATTTTTGTCTTCTCATAATACCATAAAATTAGAAACTCATCATAGGGAAGTGAAATCACGGTGCAGATAACTGTAAGGCTGTCATGCAGAAGAGGAATTAAATGCAGTCTTAGGATCAATGGGTGGGAATGACATTAAATACTGAAGAAACAATAGTTGACGGAACAGATTGGAGGCAAAGTAAGGAAGACTTGGAATACTCACCCGGGGGTCAAAGATGGGATGAGCTTCCTGTCTGGATTCGGAATTTCCCCTTCTTGTAGGTTTTCTTTGTTGTTGTTGTTTGTTTTGTTTTGTTTTGTTTTGTTTTGTTTTTGAGATGGAGTCTCGCTCCCTCCCCCAGGCTGGAGTGCAGTGGCTCAATCTTGGCTCCCTGCAGCCTCAGCCTCCCGGGTTCAAGCAGTTCTCCTGCCTCAGCCTCCAGAGTAGAGTAGCTGGGATTTCAGGCATGCACCACCATGGCTGGTAATTTTGTATTTTTAGTAGATACGCGGTTTCACCATGTTGGCCAGTCTGGTCTCAAACTCCTGACCTCAGGTGATCCTCTCACCTCAGCTCCCAAAGTGCTGGGATTACAACACTGCACCCAGCCCCCTTCCTGTAGGGTTTTGAGCAAGGATGAGAAATCCTGTGGTAGGAATCTTAAATTAGAAGTGGATCCTAATGATCACGAAAAAATTTCTCATCATCACCTAGAAAATGAGATGTCATGATTTGTCTTTCATCAGAATATTGTGGTAAGTTCTAATTCTTCTATTATAACTGGATCTGAAATATTGTTCCACTCCATTGAGTGTTCTGGGCTCCAGTTTTTCCATCTATAAAATGCAACCTTGGTCTATTATATCTTCCCACTGTAAAATATTGCTTAGTTCTATTCATGGCGGTCACCTTAACTCTAAGTAGTAAAACCAGGGCATTCTTGATTCCTGCTCTCAGGGAGACAAACTAGAGGAAAACAAGCTAAGTGCATTTGTCAGCCTTGGTTGAGCTCTTTTTACTAAGTATAGGCACAGTCTTAGGTATCAGCATCGTACTTGTTTAGCCAGAAACAGTTGCTAAAACAGTCTTTCAAAGCACTGAGTCAAATTAAATCCTTAATGTTGAAGGCAGAATAGGAGAAAGAACTAGATTGCCAAATTTATCTCTGTCTTCTCAAATGTATGTTTTCATCTACAAAGTTGATTCTCTCCCTGAATTTTTTTATTGCTTCTGATCTGTGCTTGTGCAAAGTAAATGACTTTTCAAAATAGCACATAGCAAGCCCTTCATGACGGCACTGATTCCATAGGTATTATGTCATAAAAGGGTCATGTGATCAATGAGATTGGCGTATGTTGGGTTTAACCAAGTTAATTCAGGGTTTCATAACTCTCAGAGCCTTTAATTTACTGATATAAATTGTGAATATTCATGAAAAGAACATTATTTGCAGCATTTCCCTAATTACTATCAAAAAAAATTTCTCTTGAAGCATTTTATAAGACTAATAAGAAAAAGGGAGTAAACACAATAGATTAGAAAGTGATGAAAACAATAATATGATCTAGGGAATTTGCCGTAAAGGGAAAAAAAAGAATTAATGAAATATCTGAAATATGGGGTATTTTTAAACATGACAATTTCAGGAACCTGTAATGTTTTTAATAAGTTTCAACTGGAAGGATTTCCAAAAGGCCTGTTTTATTGTACATTTTTAAATGAGCACTTATATGCCCCCAAATAATTCAAGAACTAAAATGCTGAAAAGTAAGCTTGTTCCTATCTCTTCCTGTGACTTTATCTACACTATCAATCCTCTTAATAAATTTTATGCATAAAGGGCAGTCAACTGCAGCTGTCTACATTAAATGTATTCAAAGACATTAAGCTGCTTAAATATAATAAAAAGCTAAGTTATTTTACATATTCTGGTTTTTAGTAAAAACAAATCCCCTTTTTGCTGGAATAATAATCTGTCAAAGAAGGTAAAGAACAACATTCTCTCTCCCTTTGCCTACCTGTCTTGTTGTCACAGCTGAGACTTAAGTATTATCAGGGGGAATTTTTTATACCTTTCTCTAGCTTCTATTGTGTTAAGAGAAGAGTACATTTGGACATGTTTGCTTTATGCCACGTTTTACTTTAGTGAACTTGACCCTATTCCATTTTTTCCTGTTAGGATTGCCATAAGGTTATCTTGGGATTGAGGAGCACTTTAGATGGTAGGATGGGGGTTGTATGTTCCCCTTGTTTAGTTTGAAATGTGTTCAACCACAGAGCCCATTTCAGCAAGCTGCACCTTTGTGTGGTCATATGGTTAAACTTAGCTGAGATGGTGCTCCTGCTCTTAGGTAATGTTTATGGCCATTGCTTTCCTTTCTTCTAAACACACAATTACTCCTTAAGGTCCATATAAATCATGAGGTTACCTAGATCATTACAATCCTTTCTTCTCTCCATGAGTTTGTTCCTAATATAGAGATAGTTAAAGGTTTGCTGTACACCAATTCATTAGTCTATAAGGCAAATCAGTGAAAAGAAACAAAATCATGTAAAACTACTGGCTAGACAATAAACAATGATTCTCTGAATCTTTTATTTTCACATGTTGTCAGATACAAAAAAGCTCTAGTTGATATCTGAAGTATTATTGTACATCCAGAGATATATTTCTCATTATATAAATTATTCACTGCATTACAGATTGATTTTGGGCATATAGAGGATATTTGGCAGAATAGTAAGACTACTAGAAGTTCAGTAGTATGGAGCTGATACACCCACCTTCTGACTTAATAGAATTTCAAAAAATGAAAAAAAGAAAACGGACAAGTACTCTAAGCATGAATGTATCAGAATCTAAAAATGATTTATAGCAAACAGTATGCTACTTTCAATAAACACTAGAGATTACAGAAGAGGAAACTCTCTAATACATGATCTGTTTTTCTCATGTACATTTCATTCTAGCATCATAAATATTATTAGGTACATCTCTAAAAGATTCATATTTCTTGGTTGCGGTTATCTTAGCAGTTTGTACTTCAAGGAAACTGGAAGGGTCTGTTGAACAAAATTGTGCAATTTTTACTTAGGTTAGTGCCCACTGCCCATCTTCTTCAAGTTCAGGTGCGGTGGCTCACGCCTGTAATCCCAGCACTTTGGGAGGCTGAGACAGGTGGATCATGAGGTCAGGAGTTCAAGATCAGCCTGGCCAACATAGTGAAACCCTGTCTCTACTGAAAATACAAAACTCAGCTGGGTGTGGTGGTGGGCACCTGTGGTCCCAGCTACTCAGGAGGCTGAGGCAGGAGAATTGCTTTAACCCAAGAGATAGAGGTCGCAGTGAGCCAAGATCGTGCCACTGCATTCCACCCTGGGTGACAGAGCAAGACTCTGCCTTCAAAAAAAAAAAAGAAAAGTTCAGCTCAACCTTTCTTTTAATGTTAGTGCCACTAAAAGGAAGAAGCATTTAACTGGTGTCAGTAGACCCATTTTTCTTCAACTATTTTTTGCTTTTTTTAGGAAAAGATGACGGTCATTTTAAGGTAAAGGACTTCCCTGCTCCAGAATAAATAATCTCCCTTAGTTGATGCTGAAAAGGTTCTATGGTAGTTACTGGGGGGTGAAAAAACTTTAAAAAATAAGAATTTGCCAACTTTAATTCCTGTAGCTTTGATTAGCAAACTACCTAGATCCCCACTGAATAATTACTAATTAATCAGGAGGATTTTAAAAATATCTTTAAATTAGCACATTAGGTCCTATAATATAAAACAGAATTATTGCTTCATTTCTTGTTTCCAAAGAATTAAAAAGAAAATTTGAGGATCATGATTTTGTGATGCAGTAAGCCGGACGCACTGCCTTTCCAGAACTGGAAATTGCACCCTAGTGCCTCCACCATACCAATTAAGGGGGCTTTTTGAGCAAATTCAGTGCTGCACGCTAATAGCACTAATCCAACTGCACTTCATTAAATCGGTTGGGTACATCAATGGAAACACTTAACGGATTTCATGATTTAAAAAAAAAAAACATACTATGGTATATATAAATTGCTTTATTTAACTCCATTACTGACAATGGTTTTAATTGATTGAGCTTTGAGAGCAATGCTAGAGCAAAACTGACTGTCATTCCAAACAGTATTTTTCAGAATATCAGGCTATGGTCATATTCTGAGAGTTGGTTATCTTCTAAGTGATACAGAGTCCCCTGGGAGATAACAATAGCTAAATTTCCTGGACTACCTACACTATAGCCTGTTTTGACCCAATAGTATACACTGTGGAAAACAAAGCTCTTCTCCATTTGGTTCTCTATGTATTTGTCTCTCTCCTTCTCTCCATATCCCAACCTCACTTGGAAAGGGACCATCGAACACCTACAAGCGTCATGACATGTATGATTTCGTTTATTTCTCCCTGGGATTCTGCAAGGTAATCATCATTTTATCCATTTTACAGACGAGCCACTGAGACTCACAGAAGTCAGTTAGTGACCTATCCAGGGCACAAGTCAGTGGCAGTGTGAGGACAGATTGACTGAGATCACAGTCATCCAGTTTTGGCTGACTTCACTGCCAGATGTCAGGTAGATGTCACCTCCTTTCCTCATTGTCCCCTGTGACACTTTGTGAGGTGTCAAAGATGGTGATCCTTCTTAATGGAGGAGCCGCCTTTTGGATCAAAGGTGCAGGAGTGGCTCCTGAGCCTGGGAACAAAGAACAGAATCCATTTCTTATGGCCTCAACCTTCTCTCTGCATGACTGTGATAAAAAAAAAGTCAGTTCACTTAAAAAAAATTACTTTGGAGGCTGGGAGTGGTGGCTCACGCCTGTAATCTCAGCACTTTGGGAGGCCGAGATGGGTGGATTGCTTGAAGCCAAGAGTACAAGACCAGCCTGGCCAATGTGGTGAAGCCCTGTCTCTACTAAAAGTACAAAAATTAGCTGGGTGTGGTGGTGCTTGCCTGTAATCCCAGCTACTTGGGAGGCTGAGGCAGGAGAATCGCTTGAACCTTGTAGGCAGAGGTTGCAGTAAGCCAAGATTGTGCCACTGCACTCCAGCCTGGGTGACAAAGTGAGACTTGGTCTCAAAAAAAAAAAAATTTGGAAGGCTGCAGGGAGTGGAGCAGAGAGAGGAGAATATTCTTTATTTCTTTTTCTTTTCTTGTCTTTTTTTTTTTTCTTTTGAGACAAGGTCTCACTTTGTCACCCAGGCTGAAGTTCAGTGGTGCCATCTCGGTTCAACCTCCCAGGTTCAAGTGATCCTCCTGCCTCAGCCCCGCAAGTAGCTAGGACTACAGGCGTGTGCCACCATGCCCAACTAATTTTTGTATTTTTGGTAGAGACGGGCTTTCACCACATTGCTCAGGCTGGTCTCAAACTCCTGAACTCAAGCAGTCTGCCCACCTCGACATCCCAAAGTGCTGGGATTACAGGTGTGAGCCACAGCGCCTGTTGGAGAATATTCTTTATAGGGAAAAAACCTTCAAAGTAAGGATATAAGGACTTAAAGCAATAAGAAGGAAGTAAATATGTACAAAATGCCTCCTTTATCACTTCTTGATGGCTGGACTTGCTATATAAACTCTTCTAGAGACAATCCATGAAAGTAATTGTATTTTTTTTTCCCTGAAGAACAGTGGAAAGTTGGCAAGGAGTAAAAATTTTCTATGAAATAGGGAGGTGAACAAGTTATAAATGATGTTAATATCTTCCAGATGGCACAGTTTTACATGGGAATTGAGTTTATTGTAATTAAAGGCATGTGAATTTTCTACAAATACTGAACTTTGCAAGTCTGACACTAGAAGATTCCATCACTTCTGGAACACAGTTGTTTTAAGGGAGGCGTTCCTTCCCTTCCGTTTAAAATGAATCCTTGGGTTTTATAATCTGAGCTAAATCAGAGAAATATTTTCCCATGTGAAGGGTGGTTTTTTAAAAAACAAAATCTTCCTGGACAATAAATCTTAATTATGAAATGAAACTCCTCAGAAACAAGAAATTTAGATTCCAAATATTTTTCCATTAACATTGTATATTTTGATCAATATTTAACACCATATGTCTTGAATTCTTAGATACATTTATTTTTGAGTTAAGCTGTTATCACTTTTCTGTCTCTAGACGTGTGTTGGGCAATCTTGGAGCTTCTGGTTTTGCTTCAATCAGGAGAGTGTGGCTCAATCCATTATCCTGCTTTCCTATTCATTGTGAACAATGCCTATAGGCTCAGAGCTCCCAAACCGACAGTCACTATGATGAGAGGACATTGAAATAGCCTCTGCCATCACTTGCTTCCCAGTCCTGCCCTTGGCTTTACCCTGGACCCGACTACCCTTTGCTGTATCAGAAGATGGAGCAGATGATCCCTCCTCCCTTCAGTACCTATCACAGCTTTCAATCTCCACGTGTCCTAGCAGAGCGTGGTCTTAGTGGTAGGCAGAATTCCAAGAGGGTCCCCAAGATCCGCAGCCCCTCATATCCACACACTGTCTCCCAGTTATTCAATCAAACACGAATCTAGGAGCCGCTGCAAAAGGCTTTGGCAGATTTAATTAAGGTACCAAATCATGAGTCAACCTCAAGAAAGGGAGATTATCCTGGGTGAGATGACTTCATCTGGTGAAGGGACTGAGCTTTTCCAGAAGCCTGTGGAAATGTGGGAAGAATGTGATGCTAGGGAGATTATCAATTGCTGGCTCTGAAGATGGAGAGGATCTGGGAGCACCCCCAGCTGGCAGCCAGAAAGAGGGCAGAGGCTTCAGCCCTGCAGCTGCAAGAACCTGAACTCTGCCAGTGGTGTGAGCTTCCAGGAGGATCCCCAGCTTCGGATGAGACTGCAGCCCAGCCAACACCTCGATTTCTGCCCCGTGATGCCCTGAGCAGAGAATCCAGCAAGGTCATCCCAGACTTCTGACCTGTAGACCTGTGAGCTAAGAACTGTGTGTTGTTTCAAGTCACTAAGTTGGTGATAATTTGTTACTTTGCAATAGGAAACCAGCAGTACACTATCTGCTAGACATACATTGCCTTGGTTTCTCCCCTTCCAAGTCGGCCTTGACTAACCATCACCCATGACAGCTCTCATATTCCCATGCACAATCAATTATTATTCCTTTGCATTACTACAGTGAAAGCCATTTTGGATCTCTTTTAATGTTTCTTACAAATTTTTTCTTTGATATTTTGTTTTTTCTTCATTTTCATAATACCTTGTTTCCTGGGACTATAAACTCTCGTACCTGACCTGATTACCTATCTCATCAATTAATCATCAGTTTTCTTAGTGACAATAAAATTATTGATAGTCTTTATTATGACCCCTGAGACATTACAAAAGCTTAAAGGTTACATTTTTAATGTGTGAGATTAGCTTTGTGAGCTCTACTGTACTTTGATTATTCGAGAACTGGTCATCTCAGTATGATATATATAGAAAACTTTCCTAAACTGAATCAGAGTAAGATGTTAGGTGGACTATATGCGATTATAATTTCTTGCAGGAGAATGTCCTAGAAGCCTTTAGACAAGCTCAAGGGTAACACTATGTGGGATTTTGAGGAAGACAACGACATAAGAAAAGACAAATGTTTCTGAAAACATTTTTATTTTTTTTTCTGCAAGAGAGGTGAGGACTTGGTGTCCCATTTACAGTCAGTGAAGTTGGTTGCAGGAGAGAGGGTTTAGCTTAAGTACATCCAGCAGCCACTGATGGATGTCACATTGCTGCTCTGGTCTCCTTAGCACCACGTTCTTCCCAGCTCTGTGGCTTGTGTCCAAGCAGTCCAGGAGATAATCCCTGAAATTTGGAACTTGTGCTTATTTTGGAGCTATGCAGACAGCAAAAACCTTGAGTCCTCCCATGTAGTAATACATGGAATCTGAGTTTGGGTGATAAGATTGGCGAAGGAGTTCAATGGTGGGGAAATGGAAAGGCTACCAAATAATCACTCTCCTACCCAAATGAATGGGATTACTAATAAGTCGTAAGTGCTTGCCCCAACAGAAAAAAAAAATCACCTTACACCCTGACAGTGTCGACAACGTATTACTTGATGCAAATATGCATAAACACATCGCAAAGTATAGAAGTAGTAATGCTATGGTTTAGAAGTTAGATTTGTGGGGTGTATTGAAAGGACTACAAGAAGTAAGAAAAACGGAGTTTTAGGAAGTGTCACAAAAAGTAAAAATAAGCCCTGGATCAAAGACATATGTCTCACAATCCTGCTTATAATACACAGAGAGCAAATTGGAAGACAGATACATAAATGAATGAATGAATGAGTGAATAAATAAATATGTGTGAAAAATATATATAGGAAAAATATTTTTAAAAAAGAAAGAATACTTTATAAACTTAAAAACAAACTTCAAAGGAAACTAGGACAATATAATAAAGCAATATTCTTTATTATTATTCTTTATTTAATATTCCATAGCATGCAATTTTATATTTTATACACATTTAGAATGACTTTCATAGAAATTTGGCATTTGACCACATACTAAGAGCTGGGAGGACAGCAGCCAGGTTGTGGCCCAGCCTCTCTATTTCTTATAGAAAGGTCTAGGGATTCTCTGGCAACGCCCTGAGGCTCAGGCCCCATAGCTCCTCGGAAGCTGGGCATTGCCACTCAGGCTGGTGGCAGCGCTGGTGGCAGCGCTGGTGGTGGTCAGGCCTTCCTTGGGGCTGCCCGTGATCAGGCCCACAGTGCTGGTGTGAGAAAGGAAACAAAATTAGAGCTACCGTGCAGCCCCCTCCAGGAGCCAACCTTGTTTCATCTCAGTCTTGCAGGCTGGGCTTTGTTTCCAGTAGTCATGAGGTCCCCGAGCAGGAGGACCAGGACAGCTCTGGCAGGAAGCCCATTCAGTGGGACTCACCAGACACCAAGACGGCTGTCTGTGTCTGTCTCTCTCTGTCACATACACTCACACATGCACTGATTATATCATAAGCATTTTTCACTGATTATATCATAAGCATTTTTCCTGTTATTTAAAAACTTTTATTGAGCAATTTTTTTTCTTTTTTTTTTTTTTAATTTTAGAGACAGGGTCTTGATCTGTTACCCAGGCTGGAGTGCAGTGGCACAATCACAGCTCACTGCAGCCTCAAACTCCTGGGCTTAAGTGATCCTCCCACCTCAGCATCCCAAGTAGCTGGGACTACAGCACAAGCCACCATACCCTGCTAATGTTTTTAAAAAAATTTTGTAGAGAGGGGGTTAGGGGTTCTTGCTTTGTGGTCCAAGCTGGTCTTGAATTATGGGACATATGTCTTTGATCCAGGGCTTATTTTGTCTTATTTCTTGTAGTCCTTTCAATAAATCTTTGTCCACACCAAGATGCTCTAAGCACACAGAAAAATCAGTGAGGTATTAGTTGATGAGATGATTGTCTAGCAACAATAACCAGTGGAAAAATGAATCACCGATAGTTAATGGCTAATCCTAAAGTAAGGACACACCCATCCCCCCACAAAAAATATGAAAGGGAGTAACAAGTGCAGATATCAGAATCAAGCTTGCCCCGAAGTAGGCAATATTAAAAGCATAAAAAGTGTCTCATTCCTGGGTCTCTTATGCTGTGCTCTCCCAGCTCAGGGCTCTTTCTAGGATATCGCCTGCTACCTGCCTTCCTGGGATCATTGTAAAGACTAAATTAGATCATACATGTGAGAACATGCTGACATGGAAATTCCTGTGCAATGTCAAGAATTCTTGCCAGCCTTTCAGAAAATGGATCAAATCCAATTCACTTTAACTTTCTGGTCCTAAAAATAAATATCACACAGAGCATCTCATTGATCCAGTGGGTGGGGGAAGAAAAAAAAAGCAAAGCCCGTCTTTGATTCACTTCCAAGATAGTGTTGTTGTTGTTGTTGTTTTATCAACAAATGGAAAATAAGGCAAACAGGTATTGATTTGTTTATTTATATATAGGTAGTTAGTGCTTTTCAAAATAACTTTTACCTGATTATAAAGGACTACTTGTCCATTGTAAAAATTTTGAAAAATACAGAAATGAATAAGGAACATAATGTCACTACCCAGAGATAACCAATTAATGGCTTGGCCTAGTTAGTTCCGTCTAGATTTTTTCTGCATATGAATAAGAGTTGAGAATACACTGTATATAGGGTTTTATATTCTGATTTTTCACTGATTATATCATAAGCATTTTTCCTGTTATTTAAGAAACTTTTGTTGAGTTTTTTTTGTTTTGTTTTGTTTTTAATTTTAGAGACAGAGTCTTGCCCTGTTGACCAGGCTGGAGTGCAGTAACACAATCACAGCTCACTGCAGTCTCAGACTCCTGGGCTCAAGTGATCCTCCCACCTCAGCCTCCCAAGTAGGTGGGACTACAGCCATGAGCCACCATACCTTGCTAATTAAAAAAAAAAAAAATTGTAGAGAAGGTGTTGGGGGTTCTTGCTTTGTTGCTCAGGCTCGTCTCAAACTCCTGGCCTCAGGCAATCCTTTTGCCTCAGCCTCCCAAAGCACTGGAATTACAGGTGTGAGCCTCCACGCCTGGCCTGAACATGGTTTTTTTTTTTGGTTGGTGTTGTTTTCGTTTGTTTGTTTGAGACAAAGTCTCGCTCTGTTGCCCAGGCTAGTGTGCAGTGGCGCCATCTCGGCTCACTGCAGCCTCCACCTCCCAGGTTCAAGTGATTCTCCTGCCTCAGCCTCCCGAGTAGCTGGCACTACAAGTGCATGCCACCATGCCCGGCTAATTTTTTGTATTTTTAGTAGAGACGGGGTTTTACCATGTTAGCCAGGATGGTCTCGATCTCCTGACCTCGTGATCCACCCACCTCCGCCTTCTAAAGTGCTGGGATTACAGGCATGAGCTGAACACACTTTTTAGTGGCTGAATAATATTCCATGGTATTTGACATTATTTTGGGTTGTTCGCTTAGAACAGATTTCTAAAAAATGCTTTTGTTAAATAAGAGGCTATGACTCTTTTAAGACTTTTCATACATCATGATTAGAACATTGCAAGCCAGAACTATTAGGGGACGACTCTAGTGTAAAAACACTCAGAAACATAGATGCAGACTAATTGGCTCCTCCTAGCTCCACCATTGTATATTTTTATTTCCAAATCCTGTTTCTAATACTCTGGAAGAAAAATCTGTTCTCTTTTGTGGGATACGTAAGTTAATTCTTGGACGGCAGCACAGCGATCGTTTACAGGTTGTTCAGTTTGAATAGCTATTAATGCTCGTGCAAAATAAACCAAAGAGCCACAGAAACACATTTTTGCTGGTGAAAATTGTGTTCGCCAACATCATTTCTCACTCCAGCTTATGATGTCAGGCATCATATTTCTCCATTATTAATGTACTATGCCAGTGGGGGGAGGTCCTCTTGGAAGGAGATTAAAAAGACACCACCACCTCAAATCCCCCTTCCTAATAATGTGAGAATGTCCGGAAGCCTGGGGGGTTGGTGCAGTAGCTCACAGTGTCAGACAACACCCTGTGGAGGATTAGCTTCCTTTCCATTAACCATCTCCACTGTAGAGAGTCAGGGGTCACTTGTACTCACCAGAGAAAACCTGACTTAGGCAAAGTCACTATTCATCTGTTCAGCACCACATACCTATAAAGCCTCAGAAACCGCTATTCAGTGACTGAATACATTTCTCACCTTCCCATCACTTTCCCCTTACTTGGCCATTTTCCTAAACCCATAATTCAAACTTTCCCAAAGAAAAAAAATAATCTCTAGGTAATGCTCTTAAGAATTCTTAGAAAGAAATCTTTATTCTTTGAGCACTCTTCTGGGAAACCTAACCTGTGATTACTGTTAGGACTCAAAATGTTTCACCACCTGCATCTACGTAGATAGGATGAGGAGTCTGGGGAAATAATGGAGCCAATAGGCTTTTAGCTTGAGGAGCGTGGATTCTAAAGCCAGGGACACTCATGAAAACAACCACCTGGCGGATTACACCCTAACGTTGAAACTGTGGCAAAGTACCTTTTAATTGCAAAAGGGTTTAGGCAGAGATTTATCTTTGAGTTCCTTGGCAATAAATGTTTACCCACTTTACCACTGTTACTATAGAATGGGGAAGGTTTAAGGTAGAAAATTTAAGAAAAATAATGGGAAGATGCCTAAATGAGGAGGGAGGGGTTGGTCCTTCTCTGAATATTTAAAAAATCCACAACATGTTTACATTCCGAGGGTGGTAAGTGGGGAGGGTGAGGTCTGGGGAGGGACCTTCCCCAGATGGGAGCCCCGTCTGTATGTGAGCAGAGAGAAAAAGACCCTGCATAGAACGGTGGTGCCCTTTGGACCCATTCATAGCCTCCTTGTGAACTGGAGCTTTCTTTTTCCAGAGCAGGGACCCAGACAGACAGAGGGGTCAACTCTCTGACCCCTCCTCTAGCTTTTATGAATTAAATTCCTCAGACGTAATTCCCAGCTCTCATCCAGCGGCTGGAACACAGGGAGTGAATGAGAGCCAAACAGGTGCCTTCATTCTCACCTTTGCCGGGCTGCTGTGCTGTCGTGACTGGGGATCTCGACATCCCGAGCAATGCCGTGTTTGCCACACTGGCAACAGTAACAGAGCAATCTGCAGCCGGCTTCGGGATCGAAATTTGCAAACTCAGGATCCTGGGCTTCAGGCCAATGCAGGCTGGGTGCGTTGCAGTGGTGACACGTTTAGTCTCTAGGGAGGGATGCTGGCACACCAGCTGCATTCCTGGCAGCACGCTTGCCAGTGCGAAACTTAACGAGTGGAGCTGGTATCAACTCCAGAGGGAGACTCAAGCTGCTTCCTTAACTTCTTTGGCAATACTCCCCTCTGCAACTTGTGCGCAGTACACCCTCCTGAATATTTACAGGAGCTGCTATTTGCGATACTATTTGGGGCCCTGTTGGATAGTACTTTGAAGGGAAGTGCTAAAACGATAGCAGCCTTCCAGTTTACAAATGTAACTATAGTATTCCTGAATAATTCAATTTCCTAAAATTGGCACTTAACTGTGCAATGACTTATTTCTTGCTGGGAAGGGATTCTAATCCCACCCCCCACCCCCCACTCACCACCCCACACATACTTTTAAAAATAGCTTCTACTTTTGCCAAGAGGAGCGCCTAGTATTTACTATTGGAGGATATGTGAATTAAAATACCAGCTTCTTTCCCTGTTGCAATCCACCGGCACTATATTAGCTGAGTTCTCTGCTACCTGAGAGGAACGTATCCTCAACAGAAATGCCTTAGTTTTTCAGAATGCCTCACCCACCTCTCTTATTTGTGCTTGGAAGGCAACGTGAGCTAGAATTTGGCCACTTAGTATTCAGACCATGTCAGGATTCAAGTAAAAAGCCTATATTGCAGAGCTGGATGCACCGTCGCCAGGCCAAACACAGTCAACAGTTCAAATCACAGTTAAATTATAAGAAAGCGTGGGGCGAAACATGCAAACCTGCCTTGTCAATGAAGCAGTAGAGATAAAAGGAATTACTCCATAAATGCTAGCTTGTGGGGCTTTAATGAATACAGAGATGGTGTTCTTTCCAGCTACATCCCATTGATTATAAAGGCTAGTTAGGATTTTAAACATAATGCTTTCTTCTTCCTCCTCCTCCTCCTCCTTTTCCTCCTTGCCTCCCCTCCTCCTCCTCTTTCTCCTCCTCCTCCTTCACTTTTGTCTTCTTTTAACATGCAAAGCATTTCCCAAAGTATGGAGAAATGAACAATACCTCTGTGTATTTCCACAGTTTTGCAAAGGGACGGTGGTGTTAGCAGGCCAAGTATCTACTACTGGAAGCATCATATGTAGCAGAGGAAATGCAGTTAATACAATAATTCACATATGTTAATGCTTAGTTCCATCAATGTCAGCTTTATTTTCTTCTTGATATACACAAAGCTGGCACACAGTTTTAACTGATGAGGTAATGTCATTTTTAATTTAGAGAGCCTTAAGCTGTCCACTTTTACTAGTGATAGCATCGTTGCAGTTGTCTCCTGAGACTTTATGTAAACATAAGTCATGCGTCCCGGGCAGTTTGAGAAGAGATTGTTAAAGATGACATTGGGCATCATGAAGATTTCCCCCACTTTGATCTCTTTTAAATTGCCAGATACAGTTTATGTTACTGCCATATTTTAGCCATTCCTGAAATTAATATATCCCAGGACTTTTGAACCAAGTTAAGTACAGAAATAAAACAAAGGTTGGAAATGAATGCCTTGTAATGTTTTCATGTCATTTCAAGAAGAAAAATGGAAGATGAATCAGATTCTCTTGCTCCTAGGTGACTTGGTAAATAAAAAGAGAAGAAAGAGCAAGCTCCTAAGAAATACATAACACCAAATAGACAAAAGCTTTCTTATTTTCCTAGGGGACACTAGTGTATTGGTGATGGCTTTGTACATTTTAAAGATAAATAAGATCCAACTATCTCTTATCTTTGTGTTAACTTTTTAGTAATATTTTATTGTCACTTTCCTTACGATTTGTATCCTTAGTGTCATTATTAAGCCTGAATTTTAAATCTCATCACTTTTGTGGTATCAAGCGTTTCTTTCTCAAACAACGAGATTTCTTTAAAGACTCAAACAATGATATTCCTTTAAATATTCAGACTAGTGGGTATAAACAAAGTTATTTTCCATTTTTAACTAAACTTTTTCTTGGGAGAAATTATGCTCTAGAATCCAAGTGTCATTTGGGGGAAGATAATCTGTGTTTTAACTATTGGATGTGGCTACTGAGAGACTATTTTCAAAGAAGTCTGGAGTTTGGTGGAATGCAGTTAAATAGTAAAGAATCTGTTTATTATTCTGTGGCCATATGTTTAGAGGGTCGCTCACAGAAATCAAAGTATTGTTCATAGAGAGCTCCAGCCAAGGAGACATTTTGAATTCATAAAAGAACTTCACAGTTTGAAAAGAATGCATAGCATTATGTATTGACACCCCACCACCATAGACAAAGGAACACAATTTAATAATAGAGGATTGTGCTCATGAGATTTTTCTTTTTCTTTTTAATTGGTTACTTTAACTGACATTGTCTGCAAGTATAATGGACACCATTATTCTTAATAGTTGTGTGTTGCCAGATGTATACAGACATGATGTAGTCCATTTTAATTATTTCATTTTGCTAGACTTTTTTTTCCCTCCATTTAATGCAGTGATGAATGCAGATAGAACTTTTTTTTCTTCCTGGCACACTATGCTGGATGATGCTGGTGTCTAAATTATTGAAATTAAAAGGGCATTTCTCACCAACCTAATGTTTTCTTCCATGTTTGTGTATTAGGTATGACTACGTGGAAGTCTTCGATGGAGAAAATGAAAATGGACATTTTAGGGGAAAGTTCTGTGGAAAGATAGCCCCTCCTCCTGTTGTGTCTTCAGGGCCATTTCTTTTTATCAAATTTGTCTCTGACTACGAAACACATGGTGCAGGATTTTCCATACGTTATGAAATTTTCAAGAGAGGTGAGTGAACAGCTTACGGTAGAACAAGAATGACTAAGAGTTCATTTAGGCCGAGTGTGGTGGCTCACCCCTGTAATCTCAGCACTTTGGGAGGCCGAGGCAGGTGGATCACTTGAGCTCAGGAATTCAAGACCAGCCTGGCCAACATGGTGAAACCCAGTCTCCACTAAAAATACAAAAATTAGCCAGGCATGATGGCATATGCCAGTAATCCCAGCTACTCAGGAGGCTAAGGCGGGAGAATCACTTGAACCTGGGAGGTGGAGGTTGCAGTGAGCCGAGCACAGGCCATTGCACTCTGGCCTGGGCAACAGAGCGAGACTCTGTCTCAAAAAAAAAAAAAAAATTTATTTAACATTGTTTGATTTCACGAAAGACAAAGTGAAAAGGAAGTCAGAAGTAATGCTTTTATCCTTTTGTAAAACATATATCCTCATTATAAAAATGTAGGGAAGTACTTTAAATAAAGGTAAATTACCCATTGTATGGAGGAAGTGTATTTAAAATTGAAAAAAAAAATGTATTTCAGCAATCAAAATTGTACCCATCTGAAGTGTTGGCCAGTGTTATAAGGCAGCAGTCTCCAACCTTTTTGGCATCAGGGACCAGCTTCATGGAAGAAAATTTTTCTACTGACAGGGTTTGGGGGATGGTTTCAGAATAATTCAAGTGCATTACATTTATTGTGCACTTTATTCCTATCATCATTACTTTGTAATATATAATGAAATAATTATACAACTCACCATAAGGTAGAATCAGTGGGAGCCCTTAGCTTGTTTTTCTGCAACCAGACGGTCCCATATACAGGTGATGGGAGACAGTGACAGATCCTCAGGCATTAGATTCTCGTATAAGGAGTGCGCAACCTGGATTTCTTGCACACACAGTTCACAATAGGGTTTGCGCTCCTATGAGAATCTAGTGCTGCTGCTGATCTGACAGGAGGAGGAGTTCAGGTGGTAGTGCCAGTGATGGGGAGTGGCTGTAAATACAGACAACACTTTGCTCGCCTGCCACTCGCCTCCTGCTGTGTGGCTAAGTTCCTAACAGACCACAAACTGGTACCAGTCTGCAGTCCGAGGGTTGGGGACCTCAGTTATAAGGTATACACTCCATTAGCTTTTTAAAAAGCATTTATTCTTATCTGTCTTCTTCAAAAATAAGTTTGATCTATCCTTGAAGTCTGATTTCTTTCATTAAAAATGCATTAGCCAGCCATGGTGGCGCATGCATGTGATCAGTTCCAGCTACTTAGGAGGTTGAGGTGGGAGGGCTGCCTGAGCCCAGGAGTTGGAGGCTGCAGTTGAGCCTTGATCGTGCCGCTGCACTCCAGTCTGGGTGACAGAGCAAGACCCTGTCTCTAAATATAAATGTAAAAATAATTTAAAAGTAATAAACAAATTAACAAACATGTAACTTTATCTGGTTGCCACTGTTTTTAGCAACTGCCTATAAATTCCTTTTGTGTGTGAAATTCAGCCTTCCTATTATTTACATTTTTAAGTTGGCATTAATGTATAGAAAACCAATCCAGGGAAAGAGGATCAAGATTTGAATGTATTGTCTTGGAATACAGAAGAAAAAGCTTGTTTCGATAGAAAAAAAACTAACTACATCAATTTCAAAAGCCTTCGGTCTTCTGGGTTCATGATAACTGAGAAAAATGTAAAGGGGAGTTGTTGGGGATCCAGGAAACGTTGCGACAACTTCTTTACATTTCAAAGATATTTGGCTCTGACACCACATAAATAGGGAATAGATGGAGAGAACTTTCAGAAATTCATCTAAGCACATAAGTACTTAGAACACCTTTCGTATAGATAATAGTATACATATGATATCAGCATAAACAGAGGATGGATGTACATATTTTTAGTGATGAAAACTGTTTGACTTGTTATAGAAGTCATATTATACGTGTCTGTATATGTACACACACATATGTACACCTGCTTGCTTACCTGTATGTGGCACTATCAAAGACAAAGGTGTCAGAAAAGGGGCTAGGAATAGCCTTTTATTTTCAGTTTTCTTAGAGATCTGAAGACAGTTGAAGGAGAAAAGAGAGATTTGTCACTAACTCATGAAGAATTCTTTGTGTTCCTTCCAAAGGAACTCAGCTCCCTACGTATCTGTTAGTCTCAGATGTAGCAAAGCTTCCTATCCTGCTCTCCAAGCCCATTCTTCAGACTTGAAGTCTTCTTTTGTTCTTTGTCTTCTTGACTTCCCACATCCAATACGGCATCCACTGCTTTTTAATTTTCATCCAAAGGTCTCAAAGACTCTCAGCTTCTTTTCCATGTCACTGCCATTAACCAAATAGGCCCAGTTGTGGCCCTCCCATGTGACTCTATCCTGCTCACAGCTTCTCAAACAGGCAGGAAGCCACTGTCCTCAAAATGTCCACACTGGGTCTCTGTCACCCCACTGGGCAAGATTGAGGTCCTGCTCAAAACAGCATCAACTGCATAAAAATCATTAATATAATTCATTTATGAAAACATATATATATGTATACACACACACACAAAAGCACAGGTCATGAATGTTTTTCCCTCAAAAGCCCTTTAATGATATTATAGAATTCATGGATCATTATTCTTTTGAAGATACAGTACTTCTTTCAGGATGCAGCAATTTCAAGTTTCCTGAAAACACATAAATTACACTAATCATAGTTTAATGCAACCAGAATGGCCTTGAGGTTTCCGGTGTGAGGTCACAGTTCTAAGAGACATTTAGGCCATTCCAGAGTCCCCGGGTTGCATTGCTCCAGGGTCATCTTTGCCTGACAGTCAACAAGGCCAGCCCCGCTTCTTCCTGCCTTCCTGGAGCCATGTTGGACCGCCCTAATTCTCCTCCTAAGAGCCCCTCTTTTCCTTCTACATGTCTCTTCCCAGATGCTGAAACTTTGGGCCACCAGCCCTACATTTATTTCCAATCGCCTAAAGAGATTTCTCTAGGAAACTCAAGCCTCCCCACTGATCTCTGTTCCCATCCTTCCCTTGGTCTTCAGGCCCAGATGCTGGAAGAAGCTGCTGCTGTTTCCTATGGGTCTCAGTGCAAGGGGGACGGGGGACGGGGGTGGGTGCCATTTACTGAGGGCAGACTTGGTCACTTGATATATGTTATGTGATTGAGAGTTTGTGCATTTAATAATAATTCCAAAGAGAGTATCTTGACTGTTATTATTCTCTGTCCTTATTGTCCTTGGCAACTAAATGGTGGCATTCCTTATAGCTATACAAGTTACTCCTGTTCTTACAAGTAAAGAGGAGAGCTCATGTTCACTAACTCCAAATGCCTGTGTGAGTGCCACTTACTCCTAGGCACCCAGGGCTGTTGGCCTCACTCCTGCTCATCTCCTGTGTTGTATTCTCATCTCCTGTGTTCTCAAACTGCTGTAAAGAAATACCTGAGACTGGGTAATTTATAAAGGAAAGAGGTTTAATTGGCTCACAGTTCTGCAAGCTGTATAGGAAGCTGATGTTCACACCTGCTCAGCTTCTGGGTAGGCCTCAGGAAACTGACAATCATGGCAGAAGGCAAAGGGGAAGCACATGTCACAATGGCCGGAGCAGGAGCAAGAGAGAGGGGAGGGGAGGTGCTACACGTTTTTTTGTTTTTTGTGTTTTGTTTTGAGACAGAGTCTCACTCTGTTGCTCAGGCTGGAGTGCAGTGGCACGATCTTGGCTCACTGCAATCTCCGCCTCCCGGGTTCACGCCATTCTCCTGCCTCAGCCTCCCAAGTAGCTGGGACTACAGGCGCCCGCCACTATGCCCGGCTAATTTTTTGTATTTTTAGTAGAGACGGGGTTTCACCGTGTTAGCCAGGATGGTACACGTTTTTAAACAACCAGTTCTCATGAGAACTCACTTACTATTGCAAGGACAAGGCCAAGAGGGGATAGTGCTAAACTATTCATGAGAAATCCACCCCCATGATTCAATCACCTCCCACCAGACCCCACCTCCACCATTGGGGATTACAATTCGACATGAGATTTGGTGGGGACACAGATCCAAACACTATCACGTGTATTCACCATGGACTTTCTTAACCCCTTTTCTGCCATTGTCCTTTTGCGAGAAAGTGCTTCTTCAACTATGGTAAACTGAAACAACAGTGAATAAGGAAAATATTAAAACAAATTTTGGTGTATAGTGGACAAAATATGAAGTTACAGAATCTTTAAATTGGAAGAGATTTTAGTTTTCAAATTCTAAAGTCCAACTCACATTTGTCATGCGCAGAATTTGAGAACCAGAAATGTTGAGAGGCCACCCAAGTTTACACAGCGGGTGAGTGAATCTCAGGACTGGGATTCAGGTCTCCTGGGGCTCCATCCAGTTCTTGTCCATCGCCCCATGGAATGTCCCCATGTTTTGTCGAAATACACAAGAAAACCTGGGATCACTTCCATAGCATGACAAGGGCAAAGTGAAAGCACCAAAATTCACTTGCTTTTGAAAGTATGACCTTAATTCCTGTCATTTTTTTCTCAATAAATCTTAATCTGAACTGAAACATTTTATCTTTTTAAGAAGGAGAAAATATTAGTATCTGCATGAAACCTTGCTGTTTCATGCAGATACTAATAAACCATGGCTTACAAGAATGTAGCCAAAGCGGTTTTTTCCCCAGGGAAGAGTTTGGAGGTCTCCAGGGTAACTGTTTCTACACTGTGGATATAAAATCCTAAAGGGTCCCCAATATCATGTATGTATATATATATTTTTTCTTTGTGGATAAATGACTCAAATTAGCATAGTCGCTGTCATCTCAGAAGCCACCAGAGTAATTTAGAAACTAAGATTATAAACCATACAGCACATGTCATAATCTCTACCTGGAACTGACCTGGCGAATTGCCACGTTACCAACTTTTGAACCAGAATCAAATAGATAAGCATTTGCAGCTCTCATGGTGAAGGGTGAGCCACGTCCAAGAAGGTTTGAGAGGTATTTCAAATAAGTCAGACCTCTGCAGACCAGGTTTACTGGGCCCATCTAAGAATTCTTCTGCATCTGCAATGCCATGGATCCATGGATAGCCGATATGTGCATGAGGAGGAAAGGATTGATTTGTTTTCTCAACAGGCTGCCAGATGCACTCTGTTGGTATTCAGCCTCCTGACCTGAATCACTAAAACTAGAGACCTGCTAGTTAGTTAACTTTAATCTCTATTGATGTCTAATAAGTCGCCTCTAGTTGCCTGGCACTTTGGGAGAATGTTTAGTTAAGAACAATCTCAACAAAGCACCTTATTTAGAATTGAATCCTTGCATGTCATTGCCGGGGCCCCATCACGTCTGCCTTCAAGCCACTGTGAGAAAATGATGCAGGAAAAGAGTTGTTGAACTGAACACCCCCAGATTTGATCCTGAAATTCAAAAGGATAAAGACTTCTCTGATTCACAAGTGTCTTAAGTGTAGCTATTTGAAGATCATAGCAGCAGGTGGTATTCAGGGACTGAGCTGATGTGCTCATGTTGGTAGAGAAGGCAGTTTTGGGTTTTTTTGGTTGTTGTTTGTTTGTTTGTTTGTTTGTTTTTTGAGGCGGAGTCTGGCTGGCTCTGTCACCCAGGCTGGAGTGCAGTGGTGTGATCTCGGCTCACTGCAACCTCTGCCTCCCGGGTTCAAGCAATTCTCCTGTCTCAGCCTCTTGGGTAGCTGGGATTACAGGTGCCCACGACCACGCCCAGCTAATTTTTCTATTTTTAGTAGAGACTGGGGTTTCCCTATGTTGGCCAGGCTGGTCTCGAACTCCTGACCTCAGGTGATCCGCCCACCTCAGCCTCCCAAAGTGCTGGCATTACAGGCATGAGCCATTGTGCACACCCGGCCAAGAAGGGCAGTTTTTGAATTGTGTAGTGAATACCACCCTATGCTGGTTACCATGAATTGAAATTGGAGTCATTCATACAGGCATAAGGTCAACCTGCACTATATGCATGGATGCTCTTGACCAATTTCAATGACAAATCACCATAATTTGTAAAGTCCTGGTGGTACTGAACAGTCATTAAAATTACACATTATAAATATATGCATTACACACACACACACATCTATTAACATGCAATTTTAGAATGGCGTACTATACTGTGTCTGATACTTCGGGGAAGGTTAGGATGTCAGCATTGATATCAGGTGACTTCCGGCATCATGGCCTGTAATCACAGTTTATCGTGCCCTCACTAACAGCCACACTTTACCGGCCCACCTGTGTCAACACCACTCAGAATGAGTCACTCACCCTTGGTACATGTACGAATTACCTTTCACATTTCGTTTGTCAAAGAGGCATAGGTCACATCTGGCAGAGTTACTGAGTCACTGGTGTAGGAATCTGAAACCCAAACTGCCTCCACTGAATTCTCTCCCTCGCCTTTATAAATGTTCTATTTCACCAATAAAGGGCTGTCAGCCTCAAGATTTAAAGGTTTAAGCTTGAAGGGGCCATAATTATTTCTCTAGGGCTCTGTTGAGATTTCTGCAGCTTACTCATTCATTGTTCCCACATGATTTTATATTTGTCATATTTTTCCCTGCAACAGCAGAAGTCTTTAAATTGCTCCATACAAATGGAAAGCTAAGGTTAACACAATAAATCTGAACTTGACTTTCCATACCCATTTTACTAATATGAAAAGGCTGACTAATACATGATTAGAACAGTGGTTATACTGGCGGGCTTTTATTAGAAAGATGTTCTGTCTTTACCCAGGTTATTTCTTGGGGAAGTTGTTTAAGTGGGATTTTCACTTTACTCCTTTTTCTCTTCTACTCATAGGTCCTGAATGTTCCCAGAACTACACAACACCTAGTGGAGTGATAAAGTCCCCCGGATTCCCTGAAAAATATCCCAACAGCCTTGAATGCACTTATATTGTCTTTGTGCCAAAGATGTCAGAGATTATCCTGGAATTTGAAAGCTTTGACCTGGAGCCTGACTCAAATCCTCCAGGGGGGATGTTCTGTCGCTACGACCGGCTAGAAATCTGGGATGGATTCCCTGATGGTAAGAATGACAGGAAGCACCCCAAAAAGGGAAGGTTCTGGAGGAAGGGCACCAGTATTCTTTTACAAGTCTCATGATACATGAATCATTAAAAAAAACCTCAAAAGGACACTGGAAAACAAAGCAAAACTCTCTATATTCAGAGCAGTGATGAAATATTTGAGCTCAAGAAGACCTTAGTAATTATCTAGTCCAATTCCTTCATTTTATAGATAAGAAGCTGAGGCCATGAAAGATTACAAAAGGTTCTTTTAGCTATTTTTGTGATATAATTGAGACAAACACATAGTTTTTCTCTCTAAACTATTTTGCTCATCCACTGACCTGGCTACTCATCATTAATTCACAGATTGTAAGAGGATGGGCTCTTAGTAATTCCATTACATCAAACCACTCATTTTATAAATGCAGAGACCAAGGACCTGAGAGGTTGAGTACTTAATAAAATTTTAAGGCTAAACTATGCATCCGTTATGCTACAAAACAAAAATTTGGAAAAGGAACGAGAATGTTTGGGCATTCCTAATTTAGACAGGTTCCCTGTACATTCTCTACAGATTTTTCATCTTAGGGAATTTGAGTCACCTCAATACATCATTTATAGTCATTGACCTATGCATTCATATACCTAAAAAATATTTCCTGAGCATCTGTCATGTACCAGGCACCATCCTAGCCACAGGGTAAGCAAAACAATGAAAGATGCTGCCCTTTGGAGTTTCTCTTCTGCCAGGTAGAAGGAAACAATAAACAATGCACGTTACAAATAAATGAATTATGTGCATGAAATGTTAGAAGGTGAGAAGTGCTATAAACAAATCTCCCCAAATGAAAGCAAGAAAAAGTACAGCAGAGTCAAGGGATGAGAAGTTGGGAGTGGGGAGGTATAGGTTGAAATTTTAAATAGGGTGGTGAGGTTAGACTTTTTTTTTTTTTTTTTTTGAGACAGAGTTTTGCTCTTGTCACCCAGGCTGGAGTTCAGTGGAGCAATCTCGGCTCACTGCAACCTCCGCCTCCCAGGTTCAAGCAATTCTTCTGCCTCAGCCTCCCGAGTAGCTGGGATTACAGGTGCACACCACCACACTCAGCTAATTTTTGCATTTTTGGTAGAGACGGGTTTTCACCATGTTGGCCAGGCTGGTCTCGAACTCCTGACCTCAAGAGATCCTCCTGCCTCAGCCTCCCAAAGTGCTGAGATTACAGGCATGAGCCTCCATGCCTGGCCGAGGTTAGACCTTATTAAAGAAAATGACATTTGAGCGAAGATTTGAAGGAGGTGGAGGAAATAGCCATATGGACATCTAAATGAAAGTTTTCCATTCCACTCTTGTGAATTAGAAGGTAAATGGCAAAAATACACAGTGAAATTCTGAACAGAGGGGGATAATATCCAATAATTTGTTAACAGCTGCATTGCTTGTCTTGTGTTTAGTCTGGTTTAATATTAAGATTTCTCTAGAGAACACACACTACACAGATCAGAGAGGATGGCTTGGAAGTTCTTCACCATCATGGAGTTAGGAGATGTATAACTATCTGTAAAACAGAGTCAGATACTATTCTCAAAAGAATATTTAAATACATTGTACATGAAGAATAAGTAAAATGTAGACCGGGTGCTGTGGCTCCTACCTGTAATCCCAACACTTTGGGAGGCCAAGGCAGGTGGATCACCTGAGGTCATGAGTTCGAGACCAGACTGGCCAACAGAGTGAAACCCTGTCTCTACGAAAAATACAAAAATTAGCTGGGCATGGTGGTGCAGGCCTATAATTCAGCTACTCAGGAGGCTGAGACAGGAGAATCACTTGAACCTGGGAGGCAGAGGTTGCAGTGAGCCGAGATCATGGCCACTGCACTCCAGCCTGGGGAACAGAGCAAGAATCTGTTTTAAAAAAAAGAATAAGTAAAATGTAAAGGAGATTGCCTTAGTCTTTGAAATGACATTATTATTAGTGTGATTCAATTTAGCTATGTTCCTCAGTAGTAAACAGCATTAGAAAAAAACCAGGTTTAGAGAAGCCTTATATTGCCATTGGAATAAATGGGTGAGTTAACATTAGTTTAATATCTTCTTTGCTCTTTTACCATATAAACAGGGTTATGATAATCTTATCAAAACTCCTTTATTAAATAATGAGATTTGCCCAGAGTTCTGATTGATTTCCAAGTATTCAATCTGATAATTAGGAAAATAGTATTATAATAATATTGTAACAATAGTTGGAACATTTTACAATGGATTTATTTGTTCACAACCCAAATTTGCAGCTTTCCTTTCTAGAACTTTCATTTAAATTGACATCTGAAGAAGAGGTCCAATCAATCAACTTATTTAGAAGACTTTCAGAAAGAAGGCACATTGTTATTAGTGTCAAGGGTTTTTCAAAGTAGTAATTTTCTGGCTCTAGAAAATCACTGAGTTGAATCGAGGAACAATTAACAATAAGAGTTATCAGCCTTGCAATTTACGCATGTTTTAAACTATGGTGCCTTTCACTTGTTCCCAGAGAAAACTGGCTTTGGAATATGAAGATGTGTTTGTATATTTGTTAATATTTACCTGGCCTCATTCAGCCTGCACCTGCATAACAGCTTTCTTTTTTAGGCAAAATAAAACTGCATCTTCCTGGATTTTTTTTTTTTTTTTTTTTTTTTTTGGTCAATGGCACTAGAAACATTTGTGTCATAGTAGTTCAACATACACAGTTCCTCTGCCAACAAGATTGCTTTTAGTCTTTGATATCCTTTCCAAAAACAACAACCAGAAGGCGTGGAAGGCTTTTAACCATCAAGTGATTTTATGTTGCATTTTATCATAAACACTGAATTAAATGACTAGGTAATTGAAAGCTACCCATTGATTCAAATTGACTTTGAAGAAAAGCAGTTTACTCCAGAACTCAAAATTCAAGGCATGCGTGTTGTGAATCACACATCTCCATCTATCACTGTGTTTGAAGCTGTATGGATTCACAAGTAGCAACTCTGAAAAAATTGGTGGAGGTTTACATATGGGCTAAGACCAAAAGTGCAGCATCATTGCCCGGGTACATGCTGGAAGTGTTGGTGCTGGATGATGGGGCCTGAAGTGAATGCTTAGCTCACGTCACATCGGTGCTGATGATGTCAGCTCTCTGCCTCAGCTGGCAAAAGGGGCTGGAACTGCAATTTTACCAACATTCCAAAAATTATCAACCATTTCAGGAATACATTTCATAAAAGCTAGATTGAGTTCTGCTTGTTTTTTATTTACTTTTACATTTAATTAATCTTCTAAAGATTAATTTAGAAGAGATAGATATAAAATGCCAGATTTTTTCTGGGGAAAAGCTACAAAATGTATTTTTGGTATTCCAGATATTCTACACCAAAAAGTGTATTAATTTCAGAAAAATATAGATGGCCTATTTTGTACGTTTGAAATGAATCCCTTTTTCGTTTATTATTCAAAATACTTCATTTTAAAAAGGATACCTTTAGGCCAGGTGTGGTGGCTTACTCCTGTAATCCCATCACTTTGGGAGGCCTAGGTGGGAGGGACTGCTTGAGGCCAGGAGTTCAAGACCATCTTGGGCAACATCGAGAGATGAGACCCTGTCTCTACAAAAAAAAATTTAAAAATTAGCTGGTGGTAGTGGCATGAGCCTAGAGTCCCAGCCCTTCAGGAGACTGAAGTGGGAGGATCACTTGGGCCCAAGAGTTCTAGGTTACAGTGAGCCATGATTGCGCCACCGCACTGCAGCCTGGGCAACAGAGTGAGACACCCATCTCTAAAAAAGAAAAAAAAAAATTTAAGTACCTCTTTATAGTAGATCAGCACTTTTATTTTTTCACATAAAAAGTGGCAAAAAGCCAAATCATCTGATTCTGAGATAAGGTTACAATTATTGGAGAGATTAATGGGAAAATGCAAAGGATGTGGGATCACCATTGCCCGTTGTAGGCATATCTTTAAACAGCACAAATACTATATTCCTTTCACATCTGATACGATATGATCATTATAGCTCTCCTCTCCCTGAAGCTTGGCACATGTTGCTTGCTGAAATTCTGCAATAATTCAATTTTTGAATTATACTTCTGTTTTTGTGACCATTTTCATTCATCTCCTCGGCGCTTCGGTCCACAATAACAGAAATAGGAAATCCAATAGCTGTGTTCATGTAAATACACAAATGAGCACACACACGAGACGGATAAGAGTACTTCATCCACTCTCGCTCAGATCAATATTGCATTAGCTTGCTAGGCTAAGGTCTCGCTGTTGTTCAGGAAAATTCAATACTTCTTTGTATTATAGTCGAAAAAGCCTTTCACTCTCGTATCTTGAGGGCTCCTAAAGAGAGTGGCACGCTGTTGTCCGGGGGCAGTGTTCTAGGGACAGAAGGCAGATTTACCCAGCATGTCTTAAACATTATAAACCAGTGAGTCATGGAGACTCTCTAAATTGCAAGTCTGCATCAGACAAGTTCTCTTCTGTTTTCTCTTTCAAAGAGATTCCCCTTCCGCCCTCCCCAAAGGAATTGGGTGATAGTGGCAGGGAGGATCAGCCGCCTGAGCTTCCACAGGGCAATCACAGCTTTGCTTGCAAGCTTGTATTCTGGGGGAGGTCAGCGGCTGTGGCGATCAGAGGACGACCCCAAGGATTAGGGCTGTAAACATTTGCCCACAAACTAAAGAAAAAACATCATGAAGCCACACTAATGTAATTTAAATGAGGGAAAAAATAGTGAGGAAGTCTGAGTGGACTCTAAGGCTTTTCTTTTAATATTGCAGATCAGAAATGAGATTCCTTTTTAGGAAAGCAAAGACTTAAGTGTATGGTTCTAGCAAGGTATTTTCATGTGTATGTTATGGACAACTTCGTGCTCCAGAGATAAGAAAAAAAAAGTGTTGCATTACTACTAGGGCCACATCCAGAATGAAGAAAATCTATTAAATAGCAAAGAACCACTACCTGTAGAAGAATCAGAAGCCAGGAATAAAGCTGAAGAGAGACAAAAAACAGCAAGAGTTTCATCTTCTGAGATGCTTTCTTCTGCCAACTGAGAAGTCGAATATAACAAAATTTGCTTCCATAATGCAAAGCTATTGTCCGTGACAGCGTGATGCCCTGTAGATAATCTGTATCAGTCCTCCTCACTGGGTCATCCTCCTCATTTTCTTCATGATAAAGCAGTCTATGCACACAAACTGTGTGGTGCCTGGAGGGAGAGTGAGGGGTTGCAACAGAGAGAAAACTCTGAATTCAGTCAACTCCATTATTTTCAACACATCGAAAAATTATCAGGTATTATTCAAAGCAACCCATTGTTGCGCTAACTCAAATAGGTGAACCATTTTGGTTTACTTTAGTTATTTTATTTTGTTTGGGTTTGGGGTTTTTTCTTTTTTCTTTTTTAAAGAGAATTGGCCAAGAGCTGAAAACCTGTCGGCCAAGGATCTGTGCAATCCACGAAACAGTGGCTCCGATTTGCTGCCTACTAGGAACACAGCTGGTACTTGGGCTTCAGGGAGACCAGTTCTTGTGGGGTTCACTTTGGCAACCACACTTGAAGTCTCTCCTGGCCTTCATCAGCCGCATCCTGCATCCAAACTGCACACACTGGCCTTGAAACACCACGTCCCTGTTAAAGGCCCCTCCCTCCAGGGACATGTCTACCTAATGTGCTTCTTTAAACAAAGCAATCATTCTTAGTTGAAACGCACAGAACCATGGATTTCTTGGAGGGGAAAACAGTCCACACCATATTGTCCTTCTAAACCCAAACCATCTGGTATGTTTTTGCCATATGTGCAATGAAAAAACCTAGAGAAAAAAAAAAGGGACTTTTTTATGTGTGGCTTGTCGATGATCAGGACAGGGAAATGGAGAGATTTGCCATCCACGGGGGTTCTGCACTCTTCCCAAGGCAATTTCCAGTTTACTCATTGCCAGGGTTTGCTTAAAGCACTTCAACAAAGGTGTGGCCAGTTTAAGTCAAACAGCAAATTGTTGTTTTTTTTGTGTGTTTTTCTGAGACAGAGTCTCGCTCCGTCATCCAGGCTGGAGTGCAGTGGTGCAATCCTGGCTCACTGCAACCTCCACCTCCTGGGTCTTGCCTCAGCCTCCCCAGTAGCTGGGATTACAGGCACTGCCCACCACGCCTGGCTAATCTTTGTAGTTTTAGTAGAAACGGGGTTTCACCATGTTGGCCAGGCTGGTCTCAAACTCCTGACCTCAAGTGATCCACCCACCTCAGCTTCCCAAAGTGCTGGGATTACAAGAGTGAGCCACCGCACTCAGCCATCAAATAATTTGACTTTAACATAAATTAGTGGGTGTTCCCAATCATTCGCCTCCTCAAGTCCACTTTTTTTCCTGGTGTGCACAATCAAATGGTTGCTTTTGGTGATGTCTTGGCCACTGGAAACAAGTCACCTCTCAGATTTAGGAGAGAAGAAACTAGGACAGAAGTCAGACAGATGCATTTTTATTTCATTTAGATTATAAGTTGCCATTATGTATAAATTATTGGTATATGTAGTCTCCAACTTTTTACATGGTTACAATGATTTGTCTTCACATAAAGCCCTGAGTAGGACATAATCCATTGTCCTTTGTCCAAGCCTGTTATGTTTATCATAATAAGAATCCAGGGCTAAAAGATAGCATGAGGAAGCCAATTGCAGGTCAATCGTGGATCAGACCCCTGGGACTGATCAGACCAGAGGGTTCCCTGGACATCAGCATCCCCAGAATCTCCCCCTAGGGCAAGAGAGGCGAGGACGGGTAACTCAGAAACCTCAGTGACCACAGCTTAGCAGGAATCTTTTGGCGCTGAGCTGTGTATACAGATTTGCCCTGCCAGTGGGTACCAAGGTGCCACTTCAATAGCCTAAATCTCATTCTTTGCAATTGAAGCAAGCATTTTGATTCTGTTCCTGAAAACAATTCTGCTCACTGGGGAATGCGGTTATGCCTGTTACTGCCCTTCTGAGTACACTTTAAAATCTTCTCCGCAAACCCAATCCAATATGTTCACAGCAAACCAATTAACTTAGGGAAGCCTTGCTTTGGGTTAGAAAACACTTCTGGGTTCTACTGGGGCCCATCTTTGTAAATGCTAATTCTTGCATCTGCTGCAGGAGAAAAGACATTTTGACATCGTCTGTATTCCTCCCTTTCCAGTTGGCCCTCACATTGGGCGTTACTGTGGACAGAAAACACCAGGTCGAATCCGATCCTCATCGGGCATTCTCTCCATGGTTTTTTACACCGACAGCGCGATAGCAAAAGAAGGTTTCTCAGCAAACTACAGTGTCTTGCAGAGCAGTGTCTCAGAAGGTCAGTGTTTATTCATTTTGCAAAGCCCTGTGGTAAATACTCAATGTTATTCCTGCTCACACACCTGCGGCCACATGAAGCACTAAAGAAATGTTTTGTGAACTGGGGTGCCAGCTGTCTGTTTTTCTCTTCTAAATGTTTTTTTATGAGTATCAATAGGAAGAACTGTTTGGTGTGCTTTCTTCATAAAATTGTGGGTGAGAAGCCTGCTTGGGAGCCTCTGAAATTATGGGAGAAAGTAGGAAATGGCAAAATAGTGCCTTGAAACAATGAAATGTGACTAGAGCATCTACCTGGCACCCTCAAATGCATACAAGGCTGAGCATCATAAGAGGACAGGCATCTATCCCAGATGATAAGAACAAATCTAAAGTAGTTCACCGACAGAGCAGTCACGAAGTATGGGAAATGCACAGTGGTTTGGTTGTGGAAGATGCTGGGGGAAGCCAGTATGTTTTTTGTATTCTATGAAAAAACTCAGCTAACTCAACCCTTCCTCAAAGTTTTTGTGGTCTCTAGCTCTTTTAAAGGCCCAAGAAAAAAAATCTGAAAGAACAAAGAATAAGGCCAGGACTGGTGGCTCACTCTGTAATCCCAGTGCTTTGGGAGGGCGAGGCAGGAGGATTGCTTGAGGCCAGGAGTTGGAGCCCAGCCTTGGCAATATAATGCGAACCTGACTCTACTAAAAATTGAAAAGTTAGCTGGGCATGGGGGATTGTGCCTGTAGTCCCAGTTACTTGGGAAGCTATGGGAAGATTGCTTGAGCCTCAAAGTTTAAGGCTGCAGTGAGCTATAATCATGCCACTGCACTCCAGCCTGGTTGACAGAGTGAGACCCAGTCTCAAGAACAACAACAAAAAAGAACAAAGAAAAAATTGTTTGTGCAATTATCAGCTCTAGCTGCCAGGCTGTAAAGTAGCACAGGGAGAGGACAGGGGGTGTTTGGAGAGGTATTCTACAGATATGCTCATATCTTCTACACCAGATCTCACTGGAAAATAAAGAGGCCAGTGAAATTTCAAAATCTGATTTGTATTTTATTTAATTGATTTATGTATTTTTGTGCCTGTAAATAATTGTTATATTACAAATAACAAACCTAAGCTTAAAAATATGAAGCCATTGCAAGAAAACCTTGTATGCCCTAAAACCTTATCTGTTATTGATAGAAAATTCAGAAAATGGGGAATTTTGGTTAGTTGAGATTTTCTGGATGGTTGAGAATCTTCCCTTTAATCTCTAAAGCTTTTTTTCACTTGTGTACTTTGGATAAACATTTTCCTAAAACTGAAAGCTCATATTCCCAGTATCATCAAACTGAGGATGTTAGGCCTAAGAGAATATAGATTTTGATGTTTCACTGGCCTTGAAACACCACGTCCCTGCTGAAGGCCCCTCCCTCCAGGGACATGTCCACCTAATGTGCTTCTTTAAACAAAGCAATCATTCTTATGCTCACTGTTGTGAGCATTATGATTTTATGCTCTAAAACTGTGGTGCTTTGGGGCCGTGTGACAGTGCAGTTTACCCCCAATGCATAACTGTGTTTTGATAAACTAATTATGTTAATAGTCATGCAGGCCAGAGGTGGGGCATAAGAACAATGGAAGTCAGGAAGAGGTGGTCTGGGTGCCAATAGTAGAATCTGAAAGACAGGGAGTTAAGTTCTACCATCCATTGAGTATGAATTGTAACTAGACATAGAGTCTTTTTTCAATTCTCTTCGATATTAAAAGAAATAATTTAATACAAAAATTTTATTTTAAATGCAACTTTTTGTGTGTACCCATATGACAGGTAGAGTCACAGATAGTTACAAACACACACACTCAACTGTGAAAATAAATCAGAATTTTCATCATTTCCTGGTAAATTTCAAATAGTCTTTTTGTCAACCTAGGTCCACTTGGGAAAATTATTAATCACTGTATGATCTTCATAATATTTTTAAATATTGCCATGAAAATCCAAGTATCAGTGCTATATTCCAATAAGTCCCTTACTACCATCTTTTTAAAGAATTTTGAATGAAAGAACTCTTTGGTGTATCAAGTTAAAAAAGAAAAATGCATCTTAAATCCCCTATATTTTGATGACTGTGGGCCCTGTTTTTCCCTTCAGATTTCAAATGTATGGAAGCTCTGGGCATGGAATCAGGAGAAATTCATTCTGACCAGATCACAGCTTCTTCCCAGTATAGCACCAACTGGTCTGCAGAGCGCTCCCGCCTGAACTACCCTGAGAATGGGTGGACTCCCGGAGAGGATTCCTACCGAGAGTGGATACAGGTATGCAGCATAAGATCAAGCCTATCTAGGATTGAATAAGTTTTTGACCATCTAGAGAGGTTGTTGAAAGAAAGTGGTACTGTGCCAAATGGCCTCCAATGAGAAGATAGGTTCACGGCCATCAGGTATAAATCACTGCAAGAGAAGATAGGTTCACGGCCATCAGGTATAAATCACTGCAAAATGAGCCCATCGCTACACGATCAGAGAAAAGCAGGCCCAAGATGACATCCCTGAAAACGCATTTATCTTCTCAGATACTTATATACTACTCTTCCGAGAATGTGACTACAAGTGTCTCACTTTGATAACAGCTCCAAGATCTGATTTTTCCCAACTACACACTGTCTGTTAATGGGCTTCCTATTTTGACATGTTTTTATTTCCTGGATGAAATATATGAATCCTGTTTATAGACGTGTATGAAATAATTGTTTCCAATAATAGGTTTCTGTTTGTTCAGGGTAGGAGAAGGGAAGGAAAGGTTGGAGTGTGTTTTTCCATGTAGGTCTATATAGCACACATCCAAGAAGGGGGTTTGGTTGAAGGCACTCTCCATTGACGAGATATCCATGTTTAGGCATGAAATGTACATATTTGTGTCTTCATTAGTGATGCTACCTCTGCTTTCCTCGCTTTGTTCTGGCATTCCCTTCCTGCTGTCACTTACATATCCCCACAGACACCTCGTCTGCCCCACATCCCCACCGCTGACCCCATTTTCCAGCCGTCTAATCTACCCCCTCTCATCGCCGGCACCACTCCTAATGCCCACTTGCCCAACCTTGATATCTGGGTATTCCCACCCAAAGGCCTGATGCTGACAGTCCTGAGTTTTTCACTCACTGTTAAATGAAACATCCATAGCTGGATCTGTGGGTTAAACTGTGGGCAAATTATACAAAAGATTATTTGCTGAAGGATCCAGGCTTCCTTTTCAGGAGAATAGTCAGATCCTGTCTTACGTTTATTGCTAGATATAAAATGACTAATTCCCAGAGAGAGTTTCTAAGCAAGAAAAAAAAAAAAAACCACAAGATGATTAATCCTCTACTTTCCACATCTATTGCTGCTTCAGTCTTTTGAGCACAAATAGCAGATTTTGTTTTACTTTGGAAAGGTCAATATTAGTTTAACATACACTTAAAGTGAAATGGCCTATTACAGGAGACTGAACTCACGCTAACCTCCAACACTGAGAAATATGTAGAGAGTGAGAAAAGATGAGACGTCTACCTTGGGATTGCTGAATCCATCTCTAGATTAAGACAGAAATGAAATGAGTTTGCCAGTGTCAAAATAGTTCTTGGTAACTTGTTTTCCCACATCCCCAAACCAACAGGCAGTTCAGTATGATTGACAGATGTGCCTCTCGGGGGAAGCTTACATTTTGCAGCACTAAGCATGTTTGCATGGTAATGAAACAGGAAAGGTCTCCTTGTGTCCCTCACAGGGCGTGCGATAGGGGTGTGGCTCGCTTCTTCAGTGCCCCGCTGCTGAAACCTCTAGGGGAGCATACAGATGGGCAGGCAGTGGGGCTTCGACCCCACGGCAGTGTCTAAGGCTGAATGTTTACAGCCGCAGCCCCAGTGGGCGCGTGTTACAGGTGCTCTTTTGCTTTGCCGTCTATAGGCGGCTTGTGTTCACCAGCTCAATTAGACCCCCTTCCTTATCACAAGGACAGAGGGATTTCTGTATCCCAGGGTTTCTTGCCTTGGTGTACGGGAAGATTCGGATCACACGTGGTCTTGGAGAATGCGTGCAAGGTTTTATTGCTGGGGGAGCCGGAAGGGAGATGGTTTTCTCCTGGACTCTTCTCCAACAGCTCCGGTCAAACTCCACGTCGTTGTGCTTGTGCCTGTTGGTGTGCTCTTCTACCGGTGGGCTCTCGACGATCAGCCACTTGTGCCTTCTTCCCCCAATGTGTTCCTCACGATATCCAGCCGCTTGTATATCTGCCCGCTAGGGTCTCGGGTTATTAAAGGCCCAGGATGGGGGCGTGGTGGGCCATGGTGGTCTTGGAAAATGCAACATTTAGGCGGGAAAGCAGGAGTACCTGTCTTCACTTTGGTCCGTGGGGGTGGAGCCCTAGCCAGGGACTCTCCTTTCTCTACCCTGCACTTCCCTTCCCCCTTCTGTACCATTTAAAGGGACCGCGCTCTTGCCTTCCCAGCACTCCCGTATCAGTAATGTAGTCCCATTCTTGGTAATGTGGGGAGCTCTCACTAAGGTAGAAATGGTGGTCTTCCAGGAGCTCTGAAACTGCAACTGTAGCAATTCTTCTGCGCAAGGCAATTCTCTTGTCAGTAAAAACACTAAGACTACATGGCCTCTCACAAAGCATTTGTGAACAGAACAGATTTACATCATTCTTTGGAGTTAGACACAATCTGAGATTGCCCCAGAAGAAAAAAAAATCTCAAATCATCCATCTCTTTTTGCCAATGAGAAAACATGATCAGGAGAAGCAAGGTAACTCAAACCCCAAAAACTAGAGGGTTTTCTTCTTGCTTATGCCATGTTCTATGGCTGGGCCAGCTGGGGTCTGCTCTGTATCTTCTCATGCCAGGACCCAGACTTGGGGGACAGCGTCCTCTGAAATGTTGCCTGCCCCAAGGCAGAGTGTATTAGTCTGTTCTCACACCGCTATAAAGAACTACCCAAGACTGGGTTAATTTATAAAGGAAAGAGGTTTAATTGACTCAGTTCTGCATGACTGGGGAGGAAACTTAGAATCATGGCAGAGGGGAAGCAGGAAAGTTAAGATCATGGCAGAAGGGGAAGCAGGCACGTCTTACATGGCGGCAGGTGAAAGAGGCGAGTGAAGGAGGAACTTCCAAACCATCTTATAAAACCATCAGATCTCATGAGAACTCACCCACTATCATGAGAAGAGCACGGGGAAAACCGCCCCCATGATCAAATCACCTCCCACCAGGCCCCTCCCTCAATGCTGGGGATTACAAATCAAGATGAGATTTGGGTGGGGACACAAAGCCTGACCATATCACAGAGGGAGGAAGATTGCAGCTCATCATGATGGTTCTTGGGTCTCCCTGCTGGATAACTTCCACCCACCTTCACTGCCAAAGCATATCACAGAGCCACACTTAACTTCTGAGGGGCAACAGGAAGCTGTGGCCCCACCTGGCTAGAGGGAGGAGAGCTTAAATGATAATTGTCCTACTCATACGACACTAATCCTTTATCAAGTCCAAAGAATGTGGCCCGATCTGTCCTAAGTACTTGAATATTTTTTATCTGATCCTCACTGCAATCCTGGGAAGGAGGTATAATCATCCCCATTTTAAAAACGAGATTGCTGAAGTTCAGAGAAACGAGTAAACACTCAAGGTCACAGTTAGTGACCAGGCTTGGAAACAAGGTCTATCAGACTCTAACACCCACTTGTTTATATTACAGTATGCAGGATTTTAACCATTTATTCCCATTCATATACTTTCAAGCCTATTTTATGAAATGTCCATCACCTCCCTGCTGAATCACGTTGAGATGGGTTGGGTGCTTCCTATTTCTAAGCCTACAATGCAGGGACTTTGCTGCTCCATCCCTCTGAAAGGTGAAAGTCACAAAAGCTTAGCTTCAGGTTCACCTTGAGGTAAAATTACCGTTTTTCGCCTTCCGAGCTCAGCAGGCTCATTTACATGCTTCTTGTGTCTGTGTACAGGGTGGGTGCTGTTATCATCCACTGATCACCTAATTATGAATAATTTCATGTGTTTCCAGCTTTTCTGAAACTCCTTGGAAGTGGTTGGCTTGTTGTTTTCATTAGATAGATGTTTTGTAAATTAACCAACAAGTACAGCATAATTTATACTGAGGGCAAGAGGCACGTACCTCTAATCACAAGAACCTTAGCACACATACATTTCTATTTATATGCACATAAGTATGCAGATGACATTTGTTTTCTTTTTCAGCTTTTTCACATTTTGCATGAAATATGCCCTCACAAAACAAGTTGCTGTAGCAACAACAAGTACACAAATACTTGCATGTGTTAAATTAATAAGGCGATATTGGAAGCTGACTTTCCATCAAGACAGGAACAAGCTTCGGTTCCCATTGTTTTCCCTAGGAAATTACTGAGTGGCATTAAAAAAAAAAACAATGCATCATTAACTGTCGATATGAACGTCCACATTGGAGCTTCCTGTGAGATCCGTTGTCTGCCAGAAAGCTTAAAAACAAGTCAAGGAGCCTGTTAGTGAGAAGGAGCGTGAAGGAAGTCCCAATGTGAAGGTTTGCACACAGCCATATCCTGCTCAAAAAGCCACTTCATATCCTGAGCTACTAAAATTTCCTCATTGTCAGTGGCAGAGTTAATCACACTATGAAATTTGCCTGCCCTGCCTTTTTTTCCAGATTATTCCATTCTTTATTCTGTGTCCCAGAGCTGCTGATCTTATTATTAATTTTACCTTTTTCCTTTCTTTGTTTCTGGTTAATCATTCTAGGATGCAAAATACAGACTCCGTGTATCAGTGGTGCGATCAAAATCTTCCTCTTCAAGCACATCATTAGAACCCAGGCCATTAAGCTCATTGAAACTGAGTTTCTTTTCCTATAAAATAAAAATAACGTAGCCTTCACTCCATTCAGGCTCTCTCAATCTGTGATCTATGAATCTCAGAGAAATGCAGTTTCAGTTTTTCCTTTTCATTTCCGCAAACTAAGTACACAGTGTACTGCATCTTCTAGGGAGACGTTCTCAAAGATCCTGAACGTAGCCATTGACACGCAAAGCAGAATTTAATTCGTTAATTATTTCAATGTTTTATTAATGATAGTGTTCACCACACTGTAAACAGATTTATCCTTCCAGCTTTAATTAAAGCTCTTGGGAGTGCTTTCCTCAAAATAACTGTGACTTTTCTCTGATTAAAATGCCAGGAGACAAAAAAAAAAAAAAAAAAAAAAAACAAGAGACATAATACCTGGGTGGGATATGAACTTTGTTGTTCAAAGAAACAAAAATAGCACCAGGATTACCACACTCCCTAGTGACTTTTGAAATTAAATTACTTGACAAACCAACTCGGGCTGAAACTACTCTTCTCCAAATTTGGGGACTTTTTCTCTTGTGGAAAAAAATTGTGGTACTAGAGTATTTATGCCTTCACTTATTCTGGAGGAGCAGAGAATGGTTGACTTCTAAACCACATCCTGTTTGGGTTGGTAAATCAGCCCTCTTGTGGATTAGTCACACAGAAGGAAACCTAAAGGAAGACAGTCTGTACCTATAAGACCACATCAGCAAACCCTTGAGGCAAGAGCCTCTTCTTTCTCCACTCCATTTTCTAGTGCAGATATTAATTCTCAGGTATGAGAAGAAGGAAAGTTCCAGAAGAGAAGGACTGGAGCCAACCTGCTGAAGAAGCTTGTTTTCATGTTTTCCTTTTGCCTTATATGTATTTCTCAAATAATATTAACGTCTTCCCCATTTTCTCTCTGAAGGACCATTAATGAAAGCCCTTAGTGTGGTAGGGAGATGGGCTGAATGGAATTGAAACACACACAGTCATGTTTAGTCCTTTGAGACAATAGTGTCAAAAGAAAGTAAATGCCCTTCTTCTAAGTTCAACATGAGAAACTGGTCCAATCTAAATGGCCTTTAGGGTTGCTTGAAAGATTTTTAAATTAATTGTGACACATACTCTAACAACGAAATCTTATGTTTCCATAGCGCTCTTCCCTTATAAAAGCACTTTTTTCTTGAGACAGAGTCTCGCTCTGTTGCCCAGGCTGGAGTGCAGTGGCACGATCTTGGCTCGCTGCAACCTCCACCTCCTGGGTTCAAGCGATTCTCCTGCCTCAGCCTCCTGAGTAGCTGGGATTACAGGCGTGTGCCACCAAGCCCAGGTAATTTTTGTATTTTTAGTAGAGATGGCGTGTCATCCCATGTTGGCCAGGCTGGTCTTGAACTCATGGCCTCAAGTGATCTGCTTGCCTCAGCCTCCCAAAGTGCTGGGATTACAGACATGAGCCACCACGCCTGGCCAAAAGCACTTTTTATATACGTCCTATTTTAGTCTTACAAAGTGAGGTCAGTTGACCAGAGATTTTTACCCCCATCTTCACATGAGAAAACTGAGGCCCAGTGGGGTTAAATGGTTCACCAAAGTCCTGACTCCGGAGAAAGATATAACTTGTGAGAAATCACGGTCTTACACAATGGACGTGGATATCCTTCCTCAGACTCAGGAAGCAAGACAGCAGGCACAGAAGGAGAAGTCAAACCGTGGCCAGCGCGTGCATTGCCACTTGCCTCTGGATGTGACACCCAGCCAGGGTGCAGGTGAGGCTTGCAAAGCTCTCTGGCCACTCTGATTATGTTTTTCACTGCATGCTCTTGCGACTGAGGTATGCTGGAGAGATACTCTCATGCCAGCTATTCGGAGAAACATAACTAATCCTGGCATCAGGCCTAATGGGCCACAGACGAGGCTGTCAGACACAGTCAGGTTTGCCACCCTCGGCCCCAGGGTCCTTCCTTCAGTCCTCCAAGGTTTCCCATCCATACACTTCACCAACATCCCATCCAGAGTGGTGAGTTGTTGCTTCTGGCAACTTCCAAAATGGCTCTGTCATGATTCAAAATTTGAATTGCCTGTTACAACTTGCAGAGAATGGACATGAAAAATAACACAATGGCGTAGACCTGATTTCAGGAGCTGTGAAGGGCCTGGACTTCCTTTAAGACCAAATGGAGTGAAATAACTTATGAGCCCTTGGAAATATTTCCTCTGAAAAATGGTAGTATGATATTTATTTATCACATTTCAGGTGGGATGAGTGAGTGCTGACATATTCAATTTGAAGAATTTGTTACTTGAAACCCTTGTTTTATCTTTAAAGTTAGAATCTCCCCACATTGAAAGTAGAAACTGAAGTAATTTACCTTAAAGCTTTAGAATGTCATTTGTTTTAACAAGTTTCATATACAATTTTCTTTTCTCTTAAACTTTCTGGACAGATCTTTTTATTCTCCAGTATTAATGGGTTGAGCGTGGAAGAGGTATCGCCTGTGAAATCATTTTTGATTTTTTTCACCAAATTGCTGGTTTCTCACAGGTTTTGTCCATAGTGTTGTATTCAGAATTGGTTCCATCTGCTAAATTGACTGATCCAGAGCATACATAGGACCAGGTTATCCTGATTGTAAACACTCTGTGCCTATAAACCAGACACTTTAGGGGGTGTATTAACTCATTCAGATCATTAGTAAATTGCCAAAATTACATTAAAATGATACTTTATAAATCTGTAAGTAGAGAACTGACAAAAATAGCTCACTGGGTTACCCAAATGTGGAATGATGCATGTAAAATACAGTGTTGGCAAAACTAGGGAAAATACAGCTGTTCAAATGGATGTGGATTCCCCAGGTGTGCTCTGTGTGTGTGTGTGTGTGTGTGTGTGTTTATTGCAACTAATACTAATATGCTGTTTCAACCAAAACATTCATCTGGAAGGAAGACAATTTGCTTTAAAAAAAATTCCCCAAGGTGAGCTTTTGGTGCTTACCCTGATTCTGCATTGACTTCTATTTCCTCCATAAAATAAATGCTTTACATACTACCCATTAATGAAGCAGAGGTCTGTTACCTATGACTGAGTTTCCACCCAGGAAGTCTGTTCCATAATCTACAGTGTCCTGAGGAACTTTTCCTAATGTTGTCCTGGGACCATGGCTTTTCACATCACAGGGAGTCATTTGAAGGGAATATGTAGGTAGAGATGGATTAAATTCTAAGGTGTTTTTTTTTTTAAGGAGGGTATGATTTGGGGAAAACAGGTGCACACATTAGAGATGATTATTTGGATATTTTTAACTGATTGTTTTGTTTTGTAGAAATTACCAAAAAAAAAAAAAGAAAGAAATTACCAATATGATTTTGACCATTTTGGTCAAGTTGACTAATTAATTCAGCTTAAAAAATCAGTGCAATGATTATACTAATTTCATGTCAACACACCTTAAAGAAAATGTATGATATTTGAAAAAGCCTCTTAGATTTTGATGATGAAGCATCACCAAAAAGACAATTCTTCGAGAACCACCACTGTTCAGGTAGAATTACGCTTACAAATAAATTACCTGTGTAGCATCAACTTTCCATTTTACTTACAGTTTTGGTTTCTTACTGTTTGATGCCAGTGTCTATTTGAAACAAACACTCATAGTTATGGTCTAGAGAAGAATTATTTTTCTTTCAGGGATATCTCAACTTTAAGACTAAAAGGGATACAGGCATCCTTTTGTCTAAATCCCTTATTTTGCATAAATTCAGAGGTTAAGTGATTTGAAAGACCACAGAGGAAGTTAATGACAGAACCTGGACTAGAATCTTAGCATCCCTGCTCCTACTCCATTGTAACAAGATGAAAATGGATTTGAGTCTCTGTTGAGGCTGGTGTCCTGAAGACCAAGCAAGCATGTTTAAACCCCAGCCTATCCCTACTTATTTGCTGACTGGCAAATGACGCCTATGAAATTGAACAATCACTGCAGAAGCTTTAACTTACATGGTTGGACTACATCTAGAGCAGGGTTTCTTGGTCTGAGCAATACTGACATTTTGATTTGCATAATCTTTTTCTTTTGGAGGGATTGACCTGTGCAAGATAGGATGTTGAACAGTGTCCCAGGCCTCTGCTCACTAGAAGCACATAGCATACATACACATGTAAGTCATAAAACCCAAATACTGTCTCCAGACATTGCTAGATATCCTACTTAGGGAACAATCACCCCCACTTGAAAACCGCTGGCGTAAAAGATCCTAAAATTCATTTTTTTCATATAATCAGCCTTTTGAAAGAAAAAAATTCATTGTTGTTTGGCTGGCTTTTATCACTTCTTGACTGCTTGTAGATATTATTTGAACAGAACCGTAGTTCTTTTGTTTTCCAAAAATACAGATGTGTTTGTTTGCCTTATGCAGGAAAATAGCTTCATAAACCTTCCTGCTTATTTATCTTAGGCTTCCCTATTTTTAGCTTTTAAAAGTGAACTGTTTTTAGCTAAATAAATACAGATGTTATTTTAGAAGCCTGTACAATTGGGTCTCAAAATGCACTAATAAGGATGGGATTAAGAAAAGGAAGCACAGGATAAAATTGCAAATTATCATTGACAAGATTTAGGCAAAATAAGACTGAAATTAGCTCTTTGACACATGAACGTTGTATGTCACTGACCTTTGCCTACCTAGTTTTGTTTTTATGTGGTATGTAAATCAGAGAGTTCTTGGGTTATTTTTTTTAATTCAAATATAATCAAGAGTAAAGAATTGTGGTTGAAAAGGCTGTCTATTGGTTAATAACTTATCTTTTCATGGGAAAGATAATATTAAGTTTCCACTTCTGTAACCTAAATAGCAACACATTAAAAGCTATCAATTACCAACCAGTTTCATATCTGTGGACCAATAAGGAGGCAAAGTTGATGGTTTCACATCTGTTTTGGGTGAAAGGCTGTTCCTGTCTGTGGTATTTAAAATTTAAAGAACTTCTGTTATTATACAATTGGGAATCCTCAGGGAGTAAAATGTTAATGAAATCCATAACATGCACAGATTTTATGATAGCAGTTTTAAGAAATTCCTTTGGTGGAGTTTGTTGATTTCTGTCCCAGCGGTAATAATTGCACCTTTTACAGAGTGCATTAATGTTCACATTTAGGAGCAATGGCTACATTTATGTCGCGTGTGAGGTAACACACCAACTCCTAAGCTTTAAATACTTTCATATCGTAATTTGAAAGCACCAGAGCAAAAAAATATGTGTTCTTCAGAACTGGCAGAACCCACACTTTAAAACTCCTCTAGCACATCCACAGCCACCTTCTCCAAAGGTGAGAGAGAGCTGAACCCTGTAAATTCCAAAGCCCTGGTGTGGATGAGGATTTTGTACCCTTGTATAGTTCTCATTTTATGCACCATTTGAAAGCACCACATCAAAATGGCAATTTTGATCCACGTCAGAATAGCAATTTTGGATGCTGATCTGAAACATAGGCAGACGCAAGCATGCATGCACACACACACACACACACACACACACACACAAACCTCTACCCTCCTTCTCCACTCTCCTTCTCCTTCCCTCCCTCCCTCCCTTAGCCATCTAATCTCATTCAATTCTGGATTCAAATAAAGAGAGGAAAGTAGATTAAATTTTAAAATGCTCTATAAATCCCAATAGTAATAAAATACATTATGCTTTTATATTTCCAACTATTGAACAGAGTAAGTGTTTGAGACTAATTGCACATGTTAGGATTGAGGATGATGACATATGCACTTGTGCATGTGACTTGGGCACTTTTTTCCCAGCTCTGTTTACCCCAAGGGGTGAAAAATGCACTTATGTATGGCATTATTCTAATTGCCTTCTTTCAGGAGAATGAGATGTCTCAATTCTACCAAAGTTTTATTCTTCCTACAATTCCAATGCTTTAAACTTCTAACTACATATTTTGGATCTAGAAAAATAAATAAATAAGCTCCTTTATTCTTTTAGCTAGCCTGAGAAGGCTATCAGTGAAATTCTCCAGGGGATGGGTGATCGGACCAGACAGGTGCTTGGGTTGTTTCAAGCATTTAAAATTCTGTGATTCTATTAAAAATAAATTTACTCAATCAGCTAGTGCCCTGAGCTTGCCTAAGATGAACATATAAATATATGGAGTATGGCTGGAATTTGTCTTAAACACTATGATAATTATGTGAGGCAGCACATAGCAAATTTTTTAATTAACAAGATTTTTTTTCTTAGATCAAATAATCGTTCAGGTTGGCTTCATCGGGAAGCTTCTCTGGGGATTTCACATAGAAACTTCACTCGCGGGGCCTTTTTCCTTGGTGCTTTTGTGCTATCTTGTAAGAAAGTGCAGCCCACAGGGGGAGATAAGATGAAGCCCAAACGGTTCATCTTTCATGTCCCTCCAGTCTTTGAAGGAAATATCTGTAAGGCATGGGCTTACCCACCATTACAGACTGTTCACACCTTAAAGTCTTGCCAAAATCTGCTATTTTCTTCCTTCCTTAAGAAGACAAATACCATGTTCCATTCTGAGTAGTTTGTAGGCCATAATACTAACCCAGAAAGAAGAAAAGAAAAGGCAGCACCAGGGATCCAGCTGTATGAAGAAACTCATTATACTTGTCTTATCTGTCTAGCCTTGGTGTGTTTACCTAGGGCTAAAGCTGATGCAGGTAGATCCCATCTCAGAATAAAAGACCAAGACCCAGGTAGACCCAAAGGCAAATGGCTACAGGTGCAAGAAATTTCACAGAGCCTTAAGTTTGAGGATCTGGAAATAAAATACACATTTCCAGTGGGAAACACTCATGATAATGAAAAGAAGTTAGAAAATCATATGAAATGTGAAATACTGAAGAAAAATTTTTTGATATTTCTGGAGGTACACAGAGTTTAGGGGGAGAAGAGAAAAGAATTTTTTGAAGTTTTCCACCTTAAAAAATGGGGTGTAACATGCAGAATTTTACTGGCCAGGTTATTTAAACATACCTTTAAAAATCAAAACTAATCATTGCCAGTCTCAATCAGCAACATTTTATAGCACGTACATTATATTACTTCTTTAGTTTTAATGTAGTTTCTAAATATTGTATATATTTATAAGGATGCTGTTATTTATTTGGAAAGCTCCAATATAAAATGGCAAGAATTCATTTATTTAACAATCATTTACCACGTAAAGAAAAATCAGACAATACTTTTGTTCATTTAACATGATATTTCCTCTAAAATCAACCACTTGTAAATAGGTGAATTCATTTATTGAGCATCTTACATGACCTTCATCTGGACAGCCCTGTGTCTTCTGGGGGGAGTAAAAGGAGGCAGGAAGAGGTGATTTGGGATTCAACCTCTATATGCTGAAATTCAGCTCCGACTATCAACTTCTGTAATACAGTAGTCCAGTTTCCTTAGTGGAAGAATGTTGCTGTTCTTCCAGAAGGGTTTAATACAAACATCTATTTATCTAGTTATCTTTCTTTAAAGTGTCTAGATTTCGAATATTTATGTTTCTCATATAAAATTCATCTGAATTAAAATCTTTGTATCAAAAATAATTCAAACAGATTAAGAATCAATTCATTTCTTTTTCAATACTGGAATGTATTAAAATCATTCAAAGTGATATGTTTTAATCCTTAACTTTGCATCTAAAACTATAATGGCAACGTGAGAGGATTTCCATTGCTCTGAAAACCTCTAAGATTGTATGAAAGGAATGTCTTTTTTTTTTTTAGCCTTTCCAAACATGTGCCTTAGCCCTATTTTTTCTGTCAAAGATGCACCCCACACACACCACCACCACCACCACCACACACATACAACAGCACAGTCCTGTTCACCAAAAAGGCATTTCACCTCTTGTCACCTCCAAGTGTGTGGTTGAAATAGAGGTATCCAACCGTGTTTTAAGAACGGTTCCAGTGAATAGATGAGCCACAGCTGCCACTATGTTAAGGACTTCAGGCAGTGCTAGGGAGGAATAACACGATGTAGTTAGTGTGACATCTGTGTTTGTCCTCCTATGGTTTAAAGTTGTTGTACAGATGCATTTTTTCCATTGGGTGACCCTGGCTGAAATGCATGAGATTAGTATCGATAGATTTTTTTTTCCTGGAACATGAAAAGAATTTGAGTTCTGTCCACTGACTGCATTTGGATAGCAAAGGGAGCACATGTCTTCAGAGCACGGAATAATGCTATGCCTTGCCCCTTTCTCCCAAGAGGAGCACAGAAACCACAGATAACTGGGTAACATTTTTTCCTTCCTCATTTTCATTTTCTACCTCCACACATGGCGTTTCTATTTTGACTGCCTTTCTCCTGCCCTAGGCTGGCCTTTGCTCAGTTCCAAACATCTGCTGTGAATTCTAATTACACAAGATTTTCTTGGAGAGTCATTCTTTGAAAATTCATTTTTGCAAGGCTTTCCCCATCCCCTTAATGTGAGCTTCAAAAACAAATCAGCATATACAGCTCCTGGCTGAATGATAAGCTTCCAACAGGGAAATGCAGTTGACCAAATATTAAATTGAGAAGTTCACTTCATCTGTTCTCAGGAATGATTGGCATTCCTTCAGAGACTAACTGTTTACCCACAATTTCTGACAACCAGCTGTACCTAGGCAGCCTGTTCTTTCTCTTCGTTCTTGTCTCCAGGGTAGCATTCGTTATAACCTTAGGCTGGCAGCCGACTTTAATCTCAGTAATCCCATCAGCTCCTTGCAGGATTTTTAATGCCAAGGAGAGTTTTTTGGACACCTGCACTTCCAAGTTCTCCATCAGCACAGGAAACTCTCATTACCAGGAGAGGCCCACCTAGATCACTGGGAAATACATGGAAAATTGGTGTAAAAAGATGCTGTCAAACTTTATAGGCCAAGAGACTGATTTAGACCATCACCCTCATCTGCAAGTCTTTAGTTTCCAGAAATTCATCCTTGTGTTTGTTTTTGAAACCAAGCTTAAAGGGGAAGGTAGACAAATTAAAGCCATGATTAACTGCAAAACCAATAATCAGCAACGCATTTGTTTGTGCTGGAATAGACAGATGCTGTTTGAGTAAAAGTGTGTGTTTATCTTGAGCCACTTAGAAATCACCCAATCGTGCAGATAAAACTTTATGGGTAGCATAGAATAACAGCTTTTAAAAGAAAAATACACCTTACCTGTACATGCTATTTAATACTTTCCTAGTCTTTTAGGCATGAAAATTTCTTTAAACTGCTGAAAACCTGGAGAGGTGTGTGTGTGTCTGTGTGTGTGTGAATAACTTCACCTTGGAAAGGTGTCAGACATCCTTGCCTCACTGCACAGCCACCTCCAAGACTTCTTCCATGAGGCTTTTTTTGTGAGGCTGCTTCTCAGAGACCATGAGACAAAGAAACGCACAGATTGCAAAAGGCCTGAAGTCTATATTCATTTCCTATCCACAGAAAGCTCCAATTCCAACAACTTATAAAAGATCATATGTTAATTTGGTAAAACCATTTTGATGCGGTCACTCTAGTGATGCAGTCAAATTCTGATGTTGTTCTATTTTCAAAAATACAGGAAGGGTATGGGAGAAGTCTGAGATACCAGGTAGGTAAACATCTGATACATAAACATCCTGTGGACGTCATGCTTGCAAATAACCTTAGCTCTAAAATAAGAAGGTTGAGACGAGGTTTGAGTGAGGTATTTGAGAGCATAATAGATATAGCGAAAAATGTATTTAATCTCTGATGCCTTTGGGGGTAACTCCAGGAAGAGAACCACTATTAAGTTAGGGAGAGGTCATTTGAGAAATAAATAAAAAGGAATACTTCACACAGTGTGGACCTAGCCAGTGAAATTCATCAGTTAGCAGACTCTAGTTTTAAGTGGTGAACTTTTCAAAGGACTAGAAAGTTTATGATTTATTGTAATATTTGCAGTTAGAAATGCTAAGATAAGAGTAGTCACATTCCTAGCTTAAGGGTATAAGTCAGTTGCTCAAACACCTTAACATTGACTTTAATGACAGGCAGTTTGGAGGAAAGGAGTTTCAGATCTTGCCGGCAATGCCAGACTTACATAACATCGAATTTAAATTCAACAAACATTTATTGAGCATCTGTTAAGAATTAGGCACTATATGTGAAAATAGGTGAATCTGAAGTGAAGAAGACCCCCATTTTTTTTTTTTGAGACAGGGTCTTCCTCTGTTGCCCAGGCTGGAGTGCAGTGGCACGATTGCAGCTCACTGCAGCATCGACCTCCTGGGCTCAAGTGATCCTCTCCTCAGCCTCCCAAGTAGCTGGACTACAGGAGCATGCCACTACACCTGGCTAATTTTCTTATATTTTGTAGAGACAGGGTCTCACCAGGTTGCCCAGGCTGATCTTGAACTCCTGAGCTCAAGTGATCCACCTGTTTCAGCCTCCCAAAGTGCTGGGATTATAGGCATGAGCCACCGTGCCTGGCCTAAAGTGAAGGAGACTCTCTCTCTCCTTCAAAGGAATTATAATCTAGGTACTACTGGCAAAACTATGCGCACACATACACACACACACACACACACACACACAGAGGCACCCACTCCAATTACCCAAAAGACTAAGTAAAAAAATATTAGGTCACATTCTCATGGTTAATATGTGTACATATGCATCATCGTGATCTTCATAGTAGCCATGCAGAATGACTAAATGAGGTAAGCATTGGCATTTCTGTTTGAGAGTAGAGGAAACTAAGACTTGAATGGACTAAGTAACTTGCTTAACATTATCCAGGTCACTCCTGCAGGTCAAAGCTACAAAGCTACTTCTGGGGTCTGTGCTTTTTTCCACCATATGCTGCCTGCATCACCCCAGTTTTCTCTCTGTTGTACCAGAATGCATTGATTCATTTTAATGCAATCTGTTCACTCTGTATTGTGATTTACTATTTACTTGACTCTTTCCCTCACTGTCTAGAGGGCAGGAATCTTATCACCTTCACTCCCTTTCACCCAAGCACCTAGCACTTATTTGTGTTATGAATGAATAATAGCCACCCATGAAGTTCTCTCCACACTGGACTGGATATTAGAAACACAACTGCTCATCATTAGAAGATCATGCTCTGAACTCATGAACTTCTCCTTAAATGTTTGAGGCGAGAACAGTGTGATTTCAACAGAAGCGTGAATCTTTAAAGAAAGCATCCACAGTTTCTGTGCCATTTCATTGACAGGTTTTATTTTAAATGTAGACATCCACAGAGGATAGGAGCTGCAGCGTGTGCTGCTAGACTCAAGAGAGAAGTCTCGCTGACTCATGCAGGTTGAGGTTTTGTCTCATTCCCAGGAATGCTTGGACTCCCAGAGGCAGTGAAGCCACACATTTTAGCAGAATTACCTCAGCAGTGTGGTGCATGATCATGAACTTCAAGTTTACCTACAAGGAAGATTTCATTGTCCTTCTGTCACTAGCCAAACACTTCACAGCCTAGACTCCTGGACTACATAAAGGCCCATACAAAAGTGTTTGTGTGCATTTGTGTATGTGTGAGTGTGTGTGTTTGCAGTGGGAGAGGACACTTATCTTTGCTCTCCGAAGGAATTTTGCCATGAGATACCAGATAGAAGGAAAATATTCATCGGGCCGGGCCTGGTGGCTCACACTTGTAATCCCAGCGGGGAGGCCAAGGTGGGCAGATCACTTGAGGTCAGGAGAACTGCCTGGCCAACAGGACACAACCCCATCTCCATTAAAAATACAAAAATTAGCTGGGCATGGTGACACACCCCTGTAGTCCCAGCGACTATAATCACTTGAACTCAAGAGGTGGAGGTTGCAGTGAGCTGAGATCCACCGTTGCACTCCAGCCTGGGCAACAGAGCCAGACTCCATCTCAAAAAAAAAAAAAAAAAAAAAGAAGAAGGAAAATATTCATCATAGCAAATATTTTCAAATGTAAGCAATTGGGTGGGATTTGTGTGTGTGTGTGTGTGTGTGTGTGTGTGCGCGCGCATGTGTGTTTCTTCTGCCGTTAGTTCATCAAAGCTGGCCGCTTCTGCTTCCCCAGCCAAAGTCCAACCCCCTGTCCTATGAGGTCCACTTTGAATGGTTCAAATGACCTGTTTTCCATCAAGCCCTTTCTAGACCCTTCCAGAAGTAATTTTCCCTTCTTCTGAATCCCATAATGCCCCACTTATCACTAGGCTGACACTTTTTACTTTCAGTCTCATAACATCATTACCTCCACATAGGCTTGTGTGCTTCCAGATCCTGGCATACAGTAAATGTGTGTTGGATTTAATGGACGAAATGCTTTTATCTGGATACTTGGCATTCTTCAGTTTCGTGTAATTTCACACTTTTAGTTTGAGTGGCTACGATGTGTGAAGCTCCATGATTGGGCTTTGGGATGCAGCTGTGTGAGCAGACACTCTGGGCTCCATAGTTTATCAGTTGCTAGGCTCCAAGCAGAGGTAATAATTGCTCAGAAAGACCAGGAGTGTGAAAAAAAAAGAAGAAAAAAAAGGTCTTAATTGCGCTACGTCTCAGCTTCATTATCTATAAAACCTGTCTGCGGGACAGTTAAGAAAATGGAAGATGAGGTACAGGAAGTTAGCACTTAGTACAATACCTGACACATAATGGTTGCCCCAGAGAAGTTTTTAATAGTAACAAAAACAATAATCGTCAGCAATACTTTATCAACACAATACAGTCCTACTGAATTATGTGCAGAGATCACCAATTCTGCTACCATGTCTTAAAGTGGCTGAAATCCAAACCAGCCGTTAACTCATTCTTCTATTACTGTTACCCTCTTTGTTTTAGGGCTGACAAATATTAGGAACGGGTGACCTGTATACACACTCTATTTAATCTTACAGGGTATCTAGAGCTGTACCCTTGCAGTCAACCAGATCAGCAGCACTGAACCCAAACGTTTCTCTTGCCTACCTAACCCATGCAATTCCTACCCTCTCGGTCTTCTACTAGACGAATACTTTCCTAGCTTTCATGGATATTACACATAAACAATCAGATGGAATCAAGAGTTATATTAGAAGAGCACAATACCCACCCATGCCCTCTATGTAGTACGTGCTTGCTAACTCTTTATTAAGTAAACCCATCTAGCAAGAGCACATGCGCTGATTCTCCTATGAGGTTCTTGACCGGAAGATTTTCATCCCATGTATACATATTTGAGACTGATTACCATTGTTTTAAAACTGTAGCATACTTATTTTTTCTCTGTTAAGAAATTTCAGTTAGGCAATTTCTATCAGACAGTTTTTAAGTTAAAATCTTAGCCAAATTCCTAGGGATTACATTTGGTCTGTTCTGACAGCGTGTCCTCTTTCCAAATCAAAGGACTAGGCTCAGGTTTTAAATTAAATGTAACTTACAAATAAGCATTCAAAAAATGTTAATTAAAAGTATTAAGTCCCTGAATCTTTTACTGCCTGGAAAGAACTCCTAAGTCTCTTTGCAGGAAGGGGAGGAGGGGACATTAAAATGTCATCTTTTTGACCAAGCTGTTAAAGGTTTCCAAGGTATTCATCTGCAAGTTAACATGCAATTGAAGGAAAATATTTTAAAGGAGAAAAGATTTCACAGGTCGGCGTATGTCTTAAAAATGTAAAACAATCTTTTCTAAAGCATAGAGATGTAATCAGCCATTCTCTTTGACTCTACATAAGAGTTTCAAATTGCATTAGATGTTGATTACTTGTATTTCAGAGTGTATAGAAACCCCAGCACCATTTCATTTTCTCCCTCTTTGTTATCAGAATGTAGTGTGTCCTGGTGTCCAGATTTTTACGGGTTTATCAAGTAAGAGAGGAATGTAAATGGAATATTTGTCTGGTTTTGGTGAATACAATTGTATCTGCTCTAGATAATATGGAAAAGGAAAAAAGCCCTCAGGTTTTGCGTCCAATGCATGAAGACTGTCTTCTCATATTTGTCTTAAATGTGTTTCATAAAATAAGCTGAGCGTTTTCTGGTGGCTTGCCACAGTTCCGTGCGTTGCTCTCAAACAAAGGCCTTTCAGAGCCTGATGCTGTTTCCATCACACTAAGAAAATGCAGAGCAATGGTAGTGACTCCACCTGAAAATGGCATTCTTCACCTTCACATTTGATCTTTATGGTTTCCAGATTGGAGTGATTTGGGTAGCTGGATTCTGGAAAAGTCTCTAGCTGAAATGCTGGAGTGTTAACCTGCTGCATCGAGTCCCTTTTGTTTCTTTTGGACAATGCTACTTGCCAGTTTTAACAACTACAGCAGATTTTACTATTCAAACAGAACCAGATGGGACTCCAGTTCAAAGAACATGTCAGAATTAAATATTTCTTTTTTAATTAGTTGCTCCTGATTTATGCAAAAAGAAAAATTCACATGAGAGTGGGAGAATGTGTTATAAATCCAGATGTGACAGAGCCCATGTAAGCACTATCTCCTTTCATCTGCCAAAAAAGACGGAGGTCAGCCCTTGTGTGGGGCCTTCATTTTTCTTACTCATTTTCTTGTTGTTCTTTTGCTGTGACTGCAGTGGCAGTCAGGGAAGCCAGCCCTTCCACTGCCCCTGTGCTGTTGCAGCCTTATCTCATGTTATTCTAACTGGCTGGATCAAGTCTTCTGGTAGGAAAATTCATCTGTTCATTCACTTGGGACTGTTTTACTATGAGCAAAGGTTTTATTTGTTTCCACCCAGGAAAATGCTCTCCTTTAATTTAACTATGGAAAAAGGCATTAATTCAGGCAATTAAGACTAAAAGAAAATTCGTGAGATTTTTCCTGCCTTGCGCTGTTCTTCTACTTGGGTATTTTTATTCTTTACCCTAATTTTAAAGTGTTCAATTGTTATCCTTTGCTCAAAATGTTTCGTTGCTACCATTTTGTTTTTCGACAGCATGAATAAATTATTTGCAAAGTTTTGTTTTTCAGTGGCCAGTGCTAACTTTAAACTAATAGTCAACACAATCAGAAATCATTTCATATTCCTTATAATTATATAAAATAATGAATCTCCAAAAAGAAAAGCTATTGGATTTAATTATTATTACTGAGAAATTATAAACTATCTTTCTAATCATTATGGTTATAAAATATGAATTGGGGAATAGCATAGGTGTAGCAGCTCATACACGGGCCACCAGTCTTCTCTGGGGTATAAGTCCTGGGTCAAACACTGGTAAGTTATGTGACTCTGAGAAAGGTACATATCACTTTGTTCCTCTGTTTCTTTGTCCATAAAATGTCCCTTGTATGATTGTTGTGAGAATTGAAAGAGACACTGTACATAAATTTAACCCTTCATAAAATGCCTAACACGTAGAGGTTGCACTATGAATTTCCGGTTATTAATGGTAATTTTAGCCTTAGCCATCAGCATTTTTTCTAGGTAATACCACCATAGGGACACAACACAGAAAGAGATAGGGAGCTATGTCACTAACTCTAAAGCGACTGCATTCAGATTCATAACAGTAAGAAGTCCAGGATCCTAAGTTAATGAGCACAATGGTCAGGTACTGTGAGTTAAGCCCACAGAGCCTAGAATAGCATTGATGTTCACAGGCCCAGGCTCTGTAAAAAACATGTGTTTTATCTAAGGAAATGAGACAATTGCTTAAAAATATTTTCTTTAGCTTGTAGTGTCAAGTGATGAATTAAACAGCTCTTTGAGTCATCAGAGATGCCCCAAAGAAAATCCGACAGTCTCCCCCTCAAAAAATATTTTCCTGTTTTTAATCAGACCTCAGCTCTTTGTCCTCTATTTTTTCAGGCCATTGTATTGACCTGCCTTGGGAGTGTTAAAAGCTGGTAAACGCTCCCTTGCCAATGCTAGCTCAATGGGCAGTAATTTATTGAGTAAGACAGATTTTCATTTTAGAAATGAGGCTTTCCACGTTATGACATTACCAATATTGGTTGGTTATGTATTATTATAGAAAGCAGTGATATTCATTTCATGGCTGGAAGGCTGCGTGCTGGTGTTTAACCAGCAGTTTGCAAAGATTTGCTACATGATTTACTACACATGCTGCTTTGTCCTCAAGTGATTCCTGGTAAAATGTGTGCTTCTCCTTGCTTCTCTTTGTCTGGGGAATGTGTTTCCTGTCATTACTAAGACAATACCATGGCCATATGGTGCATGTGGATGGTTCCTGTAGATATCTTACAACAAAGAGTAAGTTGGGAGCATGGTAGAACCCAGTGCCGTGGGGAGGTGGGAGTTCGCCACCCAGGAACTGCAAACATCGCCCCTTCACCCCTAGAAGTGGTGAGGAAAACTGTTTTCCTCTACTCACACAATTTTCCCCACCCAGAAGGAAAGGCTTGGGGTTTCCTCTTCTGTATCTGCTAACAAGATCTTCTCATTGTGAGTGGAGCACAGTGTGAAAGTAAGTTGTGGGTAGACTTTCCACCACCAGTGTTAGAATTTCATATCCATATTGGAAACAGGGTATTGTGTTGGGTCACATTTCTAATCATTATAGTGCCAACGGCGCTATGTATTATAACTTAGAAAGTGGTCACCAGCTGGGCACGGTGGCTCATGCCTGTAATCCCAGCATTTTGGGAGGCCAAGGCGGGCAGATCACTTGAGGTCAGGAGTTCAAGACCAGCCTGGCCAACATGGTGAAACCCCATCTCTACTAAAAAAAAAATACAAAAATTAGCTGGGCGTGAGAGCGGGGGCCTACAATCCCAACTACTCTGAAGGCTGAGGCAGGAGAATTGCTTGAACCTGGGAGGTGGAGGTTGCAGTTAGCTGAGATCTCGCCATTGCACTCTAGCCAGGGGACAGACTGAGACTCTGTCTCAAAAAAAAAAAAAAAAAAAAAAAGGAAAAGAAAAAGAAAGCGGCCACTAGAACTCAAAAGGAGTTTGATAAAGTTCTGTAAAATAGCCTACATGCCATCGATAAATACCAGATGTTTATGTTTGTCACACACACAGAGGGAAATGTTCAACAATTTCAGTGAATGCATTTGATGTTCCATTCCATCCCTGCCCACCGCCATCATCACACCCCCTCACCATCACCCTTAATGTTAAACAGAAGTATATCCAACTCAGATGTGAAATCACATCCATCTTCTAATTAAAAATAAAGCAGCTGTGAAATAATGATATTCTTTCAAAATAAGAAAATGGTGATTAGAGCAGAGCTGATTGGGTTGAGGGAAAGCAGGTTACTTAATTATGGTTATTGTGTGTCTGAATTTTTATGGAAAGAAAGGAAGTATTGTTTAGGACGATGAACCCTCCAAAACATAGAGGGGTGGCATTGTGTAGAAGTACTCTGGGTTGTGTCTTTGTCTTTTCAGCTGCTTGTCTTGGGTCACCAGTCTTGCCTATTAGCATGTGACGTTGATGAGAACTTAGCATGATTCAAAAAGCTAAGCCACCAAGACGATGGGTAGTGTTTGATTTGGAGTGGGTTTTATGACTACTGATCATTTCAACTTCAAAACAACCAGAGCTCATATTCTTTAGAGAGCAATACATTTTTTTTGACAAGTAATGTCAATAGTGGTGAGGGAAACATAATAGGTTGTTTAGTGTCCATGATTTCATTCATTTATTTTTTCCTGCTTATCTCTGCAATTCCTGCTCCTCCTCGTCCCTGGAACAGTCTTTTCCTTTGTGTCCACTCACAAGCTCCTACTGTTTATCCCCCATAGCCATCTTGAGCATAGAAATCAGCTCCCCTCACCTCCAGTTCTCTGTTAAATTGTTTACCTTTTCCTTGATGCTGCATGATACCTGTCTGTACGGTAGTCATGGGTTCGCGTTTTGCACACTCTTACTGCTCTTTATATCCTAACAACTTAATATAGAACTTAGCAGATAAGCAGTATTAAATGCCCGCTGATAATGTTAATCCAGTTGAGTAAGATCCAATACCTAAATATTCACAGCCACTAAAAATTATGATGTAGAAAAAATAGTGGCACTAGAACGTCTATAAAACTCCATTATAAAGCCAGTTATCAGGCATAGAGGTAATATGACCTTATTTTTCAAAGTAAAAACATGCATACAAATATTCACAGGTACTTTGCATGGGAAAAGAAACTCTGCAAGGCTATGATTGGTAATTATTTCCTAATGATGGTCTTAGGGAGACTTAATTTTCTTCTATCATCTTTACTGCATTTTATGAATTTTCAGTAGGCATTTATTAGTTTTTCTGCAGGGAAAAACAGATGCTTTTCAAAGGAAATCCACACAACAATCTAGAAGGAGGTACAGCAAAAACAGAATGATGAATTCAGTGATGGGGACATGAGCTATAAAGGGGTTTAGCCTACTAGGCCAAAAAGAGGAAAAAGTCATTTCCAGTCAAAAAACAGACAGAGGTTGTTTTAGGGCAAAGGAACTTTGTATGTCAAGACATGCAGCTAGAAAAGGCTTATATTCTGTTACAAGCAACGAATATTATAATATGGCTGGGTGATACAGTTGGAAAGAGAGAGGTGTAGCAGGAGGCTAAAAAGGTAGATTGAAGCCAATGTCATGACTAGCAGAGACATCTACACCAGTGAGAAAGGCTTGTAAGGGAAGGAGAAAACTTTTCATCTACTCTTTAAGGTGTTGCAACTGGGGCCTGCAAATTAAACTGACAAAAGACAGATTAACAGGAAAAAAGGCATTAATATTTTAAATTTTACATGCACAGAAGCCTTACAGAAAAGAAATGAAAAACCAAAGAAATAGATTCAGATGCTTATACACCATTTTCACAATGGGTGATAAGTTGTGGATAAGTGACTTGAGAAAAGAAAGAGGGTTTGGGCTTCTAGGGCGGATAAGTTGTAGGAAAGTGACTAGGAGATACATACACACACACACACACACACACACACACACACACACACACATATATGAGAAACTAATGGAAAATAGGAGTTATTTTAGTAAGATGTGTTTATGCAAATTTTATCTCAGTCTCCACTGATAAATGTTGCTGTCTTCATCGTGGTAGAGTAGAGGGGGAGAATTTATGCCCCCTTCCCAAAAGGAAATGTATCTCCTGCTTTTAGGCAGAGAAGGGGAGGGCATAGAATTCTTCTTGCATCTGTTGATTCTCGATTGCCTTCAACTCGAAATAATCTTCATGCCAAAGTGGCAAATTTTGGGGGTGGTGTCTTCCAGAACTCTTCAGATATGAACACCAAGGCATGAAGTCTTTCTAGGTCTCCTGACACAGACACCAGCAGTGTGAGCAGTGATGCTTATTGAGCAGGACTTTATCTGTCTCCCCTCAAACTCTCTCAGGCACTTGAGAGTGGAGGGCAGATCCTTGTTGAGAATTCCCCTAAGGCATTAAGAGAAAGGACTCGTGGAAAGAACTTCCCTGGTCTTAGCAGTGAGGGTTGCACACTAAGTGCTGGAGAGGCTGTATGTTGTTAGAGTTCTGGGTACTATCCGGTTTTAGTTGCAGTGGTTCAAGCCCCAGTCCTAATCACTTTGTGAGGTTGTCATCCATCCTTACTAAACCCACTGGCAATAATCTTAGGGAGAAAAATGAAATGAAATTTCAAGTATCCCTGTGTGGTAAATAAGAGAATCTGCAGAGTTTTAAAGCACAGCAGGAAACTATGCAATTACAAGAGGAGGTTGCCAATGCATTTCATTGCTGTTGAGAAAAAAAAAATCTTTCTTTTTTAATGAGTGATTCATGCATATGCTTTGGGTGCCTTTGTATCTTCCTGTGTTGGATACTAGTTAATTCCAGTCAATTGCTCCTTCCTCTGATGTCAGCTGTTCCTAATACCTAGGAATCTTCTGTTTGATCACCAGTTAACTTCTTTCCTACTTAGTAATTAAATCTTACTCCAAAAACCAAAATTTAAAAAATAGAAAAAGGACAACCAGGGAATGAAGTTCTAGGGTTGTTTCAAATCAGCCCAAGCTGAATACACACTCTTGGGAATTTAATCATTTCCAAACTAAAGAGCCATCTGTAAGTTTGACAGGAAGAGTTTATTTAAATAGCTCTGCTTCATGCTTCCTCGGACTTCAAGATTTTAAGGACCCTTCAGCTTGAAAGTAGCTGTGGCATTGGGCATGACTTTAATGGACAGTCAGAAAAGCACTAAGTGATCTGCGAGCATTTGAAAACAGTTAACATTGTTCAGAGCAACCATTTTTAGAGTCCCCATTAACTTTTAGATTGCGGCATTGTGAAATCAGAGAGTTTCTGCAGCAACTTAAAATCACCTATTTGTCTGGAATATAGTGAGATTTAGGGTTGTCAGATAACATAGATACAGAAAATCCATTTAAATTTGAATTTTATGTAAGCAATGAATCAGTTGTTAGTGTAACTACAGCCCAAATGTTGTATGGAACACACTTATACTAAAAAAAATTTGGTTTTGCCTGACATTCAAATTTAACTGATGTTTTGTACTTTTATTTGCTAAATCTGACAACCTTCAATCACCTCCCCTTTTTGAAATGTGTACATGAGGGAGATAGGAAGTTTAAAACATTCATCAAAGTACCATGGTTCACTTTTGAAAAACAAATGCAAATTTTGGTAAACAAGTGTAGGCACTTGATAAGAATATGTTGGTAAAATACTTATTCATTAAATTAAAATTATAAAATCTATTGTTAGTATTCTAAAATATTAAATTCTATTAAATTCTTGTTCCTTTTTCTCTTAAATCTGGTGAAAGCACACAGAGCCTAGAGTTTATATCTTTAAAACCAGGGAAATGAAATAAAGATTATTTTGCGTTGAATGATAGTCCCATTCTTTCCAGATGAAATCTACCACTACTGCTTTCTGTAACTTCAAATTGGCTTCTATGTGCTGTTTTTCCTGGATGTAGACAACATGTTGATTTAACTACTCCAAGCGCCTTCAGGAAAAAAGCAATTCATGAAAGACAATATGCCTCCATGAGGCAGGCTGTGCATAGAATGGAAATTCTTTAAGTGTTCGTGGCCCATGGGCACTGGAGAATTAATTGAAATATTATATTCTGAAAATTGAGTTGTAATATGGCAACTGGAAAGCAAAATTCAAAAGTTGGGAGGGGGTTGGCTTTTTTTATTTGTTTTGTTTTATTTTATTTTTATTTTATTTTTCGAGTCAGAGTTTCTCTCTGTCAGTCACCCAGGCTGGAGTGCGGTGGCGAGATCTCAGCTCACTGCGGCGTCTGCCTCCAGGGTTCAGGAGATTCTACTGCCTCAGCCTCCCGAGTAGTTGGGATTACAGGCATGTGCCACTATGCCAGGCTTGTCAATGCTAGTAGTTGTAATGTGTAACTATTTTCTGTGTCCTTTAAAAAAATATTTGCCATATATTTGTGGACTTTTTTTTAAGCTTGTGTTTAAAGCTGGGCATACAATTGATGGAGCAAATAATTTTATAGGAATAATCAAATTTATTAAAATAAATTGAAAATATCACTATTATATACAAACTAGTAATGAGTTTTCTTTCAAGATTATTCTTAGTTATTAATGCTGGTAATAAGGAGAGTTAAAGAAAAAAAAACCTACTCTACTGGAAACATCTAACACATTATGAAAGAAGGAATTATAGGAGGTCAGAGTGGAAAAGAGTCTTCCAAGTTATCTAATCCCACTCCTTCATTTTACAAATGAGGGCCCAGAAGCCTAAAGATGATGGCAGAGTCTGGACTAGAACATGGAGTGCTTGCTGCTTAAATCCATTCCTTCCCACTCACATCACAGGGCCCTGGGATGAAAACACAGACCCTCGAGATTTCAGTCACCCTCTGGTCATCACTACTCTGATGCCTTCCAAGAGCCCCACCCCTCAGGATATGAGACAGGCTAGTGAGAGATGAAGGCAAGGCTGTCGTGTTGAGGAGTTTTTCCACTGGAAACTTACCAGGAGAAGGTTGCAAGCCCAAGCAGTTGTTTCCTAGAGACATCAGTCTCCCCCACCTGATGACTTGGAATCCACCTGCCTCTCAAACTGAGCTGCAAGGAGAGAGGCCACAGGAAGATGTGGGGAGGGAAGAAATCTAAAGCTGAAACAGAAATCTTTACCCTCTTCCTCTTTACTCCATCCCAAGTTATAAATCTATGGCCCCTCTCCCAAACCACAACACCCTTAGAGCTTTCAAGTCAGTATCGTTTCAGTCTGCATTTAATGTGGAAGGAGGTAGGATGCCAAAGACAGAGGGGAAATGGGATTATGTTAGACAGGAATTCAAGTCCAGGCCTCTCCATTATCCATTGTGTGAGTTTATCTTGTTTGTCTTGATTCTGTCTTTGCAAGATGACATATATGAATGTGCAGTTTGGAAAGTATGATATTGAATCCAGTTTTCTCTTTTGCACCAGGGATCAAGCAATCCTGGTTGCAACAGTGAGAAAGGTCTTTTCCTGGCCTTCCTAACAATGGGAACCAACTTAGGGCCATGCTGTCTTTTGTGGACAAAAAGAGTCAAACTCTATAAAATATTTGAAGAGATTTATTCTGAGACAAATATGAGTGAGCAGTGGCTTGTGACACAGAACCTCAGGAGGTCCTGAGGACATAAACCCAAGGTGGTCTGGGTACAGCTTGGTTTTATATATTTCAGGGAGACATGAGACATCAATCAGATACATAGAAGATGTACATTGGTTTGGTCCAGAAAGGTGGGACATCTGAAAACAGGGGCTCCCAAGTCATAGGTGGATTCAAAGATTTTCTGATTGGCAATGGTTGAAAGAGTTAAGTTACTGTCTAAAGACTTAGGAATGTCTGGGTTAAGATAACGTACAGGTAAAGACCAGGTAGCAGGCTTCAGAGAGAATATGTTGTAGATGTTTCTTATCAGACTTAAAGAGCTGTTCTATCATTAATTCCAACAGAGATGAGGGTATAATAATGAGGCTTGTCTGACCCTCACACTGTCCTATCATAGCCTGAACTAGTTTTTCAGGTTAGCTTTGGAATGCCCTTGCTGGGACAAGGTGTCCATTTAGATGGTCAGGGGACTTAGAATTTTATTTTTGGTTTACATTGATCATGCCTTTGCCTTTTTTTAAGAAGGAATGGAAGGGAGGAGTCAGGGACTGTGGACACCCGATGGAATGAGGCCCTGTTGATCCCAGGTGGATGAAAACCACAACGTGGAGCCCACAGGAAAAGATGCTTTGGGTTACTGTGCTGCAGGGATGGTGCACTGACCACGCTTGTACTTGTCTTGCAGGTAGACTTGGGCCTTCTGCGCTTTGTCACGGCTGTCGGGACACAGGGCGCCATTTCAAAAGAAACCAAGAAGAAATATTATGTCAAGACTTACAAGATCGACGTTAGCTCCAACGGGGAAGACTGGATCACCATAAAAGAAGGAAACAAACCTGTTGTAAGTTAGGCTGCCACCGTGGCAACCAATTTGGTCTTTTAAATGGATGATCAATTTTTACTTGTTTGTTTGGTAGCTTTCTGTCTGGCCTGGTTTATTTTTGAATTGATTTGAAATGAAAAGTGCAATTAGAGGTTTAAATCTAACCAAGGGGTCTCATGTTCCCAGATCCAGAAGCCGGGAGGAAATTATGTGAATGTTTCCAAAAAAAGTCAATACAGGCCAAATTAAGTGTCAGACTCAAGAATTGCTGTAAGCCCCCCATGGGGACACAGATTCTGCGTGGGATAAACACTGTCCTCTTAGAACCTTAGGAATTTGGGGTTTTGTTGTTTTTCCCCCCTCGATTTCTTCATCCTTTCATAGATTCTTTCTGTCTGTAATCAGCTAGTTTTAGAAAACATCTTTTCATCTATCTACTGTGGCTCACAAACTAATTTACAAGTGCATTTGACTGCTTCTTGTAAGAACGCGTGGAACCAAAGGTATTTCATTGTGTTCCCTCAGATCACACAAATAACACACTACCTCCGTACTGCTTTCAACCAAGGAGGCAGCACAGACCATACCGTGTCCCTCGGCGCTCTGCCCTAGCTCATTTGGAACAGAGATGTTTTTCTCAGCCTGCCTGTTTATTTGAAGTTACACTTGCTCTGATTTTCTAATCAAAAGATTTCGGAGAATTCATACTCACCATCTCCCAGAAATTAAAAGCTTGCCCTGGAGGCTGAGCAAAACACAGGAAATTGATGAGGATAGGAGCAAAGATCCAGGTAGCTTGCAATGATGGGCTTGGGAAGAGGCCAATTAACCTGTCTCTCTTTTGAGCATTCACGTACTTGATTTTCTCCTTGTGGATCTGGAACTGAGAAAAGCCCCCTGGGTGTGAAGTGAGAAAATCTATTAATTCCCTTTGATTAGCAGTGAAACCCCCACTCTCGGACAGGGCAGGCAAGATGGAAGCAGCTACAGATAGACAGCTGTTCTGTAGGAGGAAAATGCTATGGGCAGGCAAGTTCAAGGCCATTGTCTAGTCCTGGAGGACATGGAACCAGTTTGTCTGGGGTACAAGAACCTTCCTAGTCAACGCTCATGGAGATGAAGTGAGTAAATTTTGACCCCAAGTTTCATGACTGATTCTTGTTTGGGAATAAATTTCTGAAGACATACTTTAGGTTCAAGGAAATAAAAAATCACTAACTCTAATGAGGCACCTACCAGCCAAAGAACCCAGAGAGAGCCGGGAGAGCTGACCTTAGACTGTCAGGCCATTTCTTTTTAAAATAAGCGCTACTTCAGGAGGAGAAAACCAAACAACACATGTTCTTACTTATAACTGGGAGCTGAATGATGAGAACACATGGATGCATTGCAGGGAACAACACACACTGGGACTTGTCGGTAGCGGGGTATGTGGGAGGACGGAGAGCATCAGGAAAAATAGCTAATGGATGCTGGGCTTAATACCAAGGTGATGGGATGATCTGTGCAGTAAACCACCTTGGCACACAGTTACCTGTGTAACAAACCTATACATCCTGCACAGGTACCCTGAAACTTAAAGGTTGAAGAAAAAAAAAAAAAAGAACAAAATGGAACCATGAGGTGAAAGGTCTAAGATAATGTTAAGTGATAAACTTAACTGGTATTTCATTATCTTTATACTGGAATGCATGCAGATAAGAGGGATGAAAGAAAATAGCAACATGACCATTTTTTGTTAAGGAAAAAAAAACCATACGGGCTATTTCACCAACATGTTTTCTTCAACTGTTGTCCACTGGTTGTTTGCATGGCCCAGAAGAGGGGGGCTGTCGGAGAGCACCCACAGATTACAGGGGTGTTTGACAGTGCCCCCAGCTTGCCCTGGGAACCCCTGGCACACAGAAGGGCTTCAAGGGGAGAGGCAGAAGGAATAAGGAAGGAGTCGGCAGAGAGCTTGGCATCTGTTCTGAGCACTTTAGCTGAATCTAATGAAATCAGAATCTAATGAAACCAGAACATCCACCTAGAGCCTCATGATTGTTGCCCACCCCACCTTTCTCTGTACTTTAGGGGCTTTCAGCCACTCCCCTCTACCTTCATTCCCACTTTGCTCCAGGAGTGCAGCTTTCGACCACCAACAACTCCAGCAACCCTCTTCATGTTGGAGAGAATGTGTATAAAACATGATTTTCAGCAAACAGAAAACTCCCTCAGTGGGAGGAAAATGCACCTCCCCTCTGCCTGCACCAGGGCACACAACTCTCCTGCCAGACTTCTGGTCTCCCTCGGACAAGGACTCATTGCCCCCATAAGGAGAGCACCATCATTGGCGGCCCTCCTTCCCTGGCAGCTGCCCATTACTCTTTGTCACACAAAAATGCTCCCACACAGATTGATTTCCAGGGAGAGATGCTGATTTAGGGCAGAAATCAAAAGGCCATCACAGGCTGGGATAAATTAGGATATCAGATCGTCTCAAGAGAGAGATCAGGCTAAAAACTGACTTATTTAAACAAAAATAGAGACCAAGTCTTGCTCTGTCACCCATGCTGGAGTGCAGTGGTGCAATCATAACTCACTGCAGCCTTAAATTCCTGGGCTCAAGCCATCCTCCCAGCTAAATCTCCCAAGTAGCTGAGACCACAGGCATGCACCACCACCATACCTGGCTAATTTTTTTTTTTTTTTAATGGAGAGATGGAGTCTCACTATGTTGCCCAGGCTGGTCTCAAACTCCTGGCCTCAAGCAATCCTCCTGCCTTGGCCTCCTAAAGTTTTGGAATTACTGGCATGAGCCACCACACCCAGCCACAACCAACTCTGTAAAGCATTTGACCACCTTTAGTTGTGCAGGCCACTTAAATTCAATAAAGTGAAAACACAAGCCCGACTTTCACAAGCCCTTTCTCCCAGGTGGAAGAGCAGGACTTGGGAAACCATAGACCTTCATGTCCTCACCTGGAAAGATGGGGAGGAAGCTGCATGCCTCGAGTGAGCCCCGTGATGCTCCAGTTATGCAGCCTAAAAGGAGGTGTCTGACCCAGCTGTGCTGAGAAGCATAGTGCTGAATGCACGAGGCACAGGACTGAGAAACATCACCATCCCACGGGCTGTTCCCAACCCAAGGCAGAATTAAAATCCAGGAAAGGGAGGCAGAGTATTCTGTAATGGTAAACTCTCTAGTCCTCAGAGATCTTACTGGAGAATGCTGCTGCAGCCCCCCGCCCAGGCAGAGTGGCCCCCACGAGTCCTTGTGGGAAACATCCATTCATGCCTGGCATGCATTACATTTGCAGTCACATGCCTCATCTTTCTTAGAATAAAATGACTCAATTTAAAACTAAAAGCAGAATCCCAGCACTTTGGGAGACGGAGGCAGGAGGATGACTTGAAGTAAGGAATTCAACACCAGCCTGGCCAACCAACATGGTGAAACCCCATCTCTACCAAAAATACAAAAATTAGCTGGGTGTGGCTGTGGGCACCTGTAATCCTAGCTACTCAGGAGGCTGAGGCAGGAGAATTGCTTGAACCCGGGAGGCGGAGGCCGCAGTGAGCCGAGATCGCATCACTGCACTCCAGCCTGGCTAACAGAGCGAGACTCCATCTTAAATAAATAAATAAATAAATAAATAAATAAATAAATAAATCTTGACGCACAAGCCCTGGAAAAACTGATTTTTAGTTAAAAATAATTTATAACTCAGTTTTGACTTTGACCACTAAAACATAATTTTACCAATAATCAAAAAAGGATTAAAGTCACGCATTAGTGTGAGGGACAAGATCTTCCATCAAGGAATGAAGTCAAAGGGGAGAACGCTATTTGACCTAGTACTGTAGCTGCAAACACGACCTAGAATTTCAAAAAGCCAGGCCCTATAGTTTACTTAAAAAGCATCCCTTCTGGGGATTCTTGGGAAAGTCAAACAGTGAGAGTTCCCATGACACGTCTACAGTATTATTTTGGTCCTCTGGTAAAGTTAATAGTTTCACACTTTTTAGATAATAGCATGCGTTCTTTAATCAATATTATCCATATAATAGTGCTTTTAAAGACTCTAGCCTCTCAGAAAATTGAATCGATGATTAGGACAGTATTCTATATTAGACATCATTCTGATTGCTAATTGAAAAAATTAACATGGCGAGTTATTAACGCCATCTCATCCTTGATCGACAACACTGAAATTGTAAATAATTTTTACAACCATTTGTGAAAACACATTTATGGATTTAAATCCAAAACCTCTGCTAAAGAAAGGCACTTTTTTTCCCCATACAGCTCTTTCAGGGAAACACCAACCCCACAGATGTTGTGGTTGCAGTATTCCCCAAACCACTGATAACTCGATTTGTCCGAATCAAGCCTGCAACTTGGGAAACTGGCATATCTATGAGATTTGAAGTATACGGTTGCAAGATAACAGGTAAGCTGTGGAAGATTGAAGACTGAATCTTCCAAGTCGAAGATTGTCTTGTTTTGATTTATGCAAACCTTTAAATACAGGGTAAATAAGTTTGTAAATGCAATCATTTTTATTTGACAATTAAAAGCATCTACTTTGGATTTAGACAAATCCGAGTTCAAATCCTGCCTTACTACTCACTAGCAGATTTTTTTGGTCAATATACTTACCTTTTAAAGCCTTAGTTATCTCACCTGGGAAATAGTCATAATAATTTATGCCATACAGCCTAGTTGTGATGATGCATTATTAATAGATAATGGATATAAGCACGTAGCACAGCCTGGCATGTGGTAGGTGCTTGTTTACTGGTACCTTTTCCACTAGACTGTAAGCTCCATGAAGGCAAGTATCATGCCGTTCATCTCTGCTTCCTGGATACTGACTACTACTTAGTAGATTTACAATAAGTAACTGTTGCATGAAAGATTCTCCAGCAGTTTTATTTATTTCTTTGTTTCTTTATTTTGAGACAGGGTCTTGCTCTGTCACTCAGGCTGCAGTGCAGTGGCATGATCATAGCTCACTGCACCCTCAACCTTCCAGGTTCAAGTGATCCTCCTACTTCAGCCTCTTGAATACATGTGGGACAACATGAGGGCACCAGTGTAGACAACTAATTGTAACCCCTATGTTGCTTGGGCTGGTCTCGAACTCCTGGACTCAAGCTATCCTCCCACCTCGGCCTCCCAAAGTACTGGGATTACAGGTGTGAGCTACTGCCCCTGGCCAGCTTTATCTTTTTATTTGTTTTTCTTTTTTTTTTTTTTTTTTTTTTTGAGACTGAGCCTTGCTCTGTCACCCAGGTTGGAGTGCAGTGACATGATTTTGGCTCATGGCAACCTCCACCTCCCAGGTTCCAGCGATTCTCCTGCTTCAGCCTCCTGAGTAGCTGGTACTACTACAGGAGTGCACCACCACACCTGGCTAATTTTTTGTATTTTTAGTAGAGATAGGTTTTCACCATGTTGGCCAGGCTGGTCTTGAACTCCTGACCTCAGGTGATCCACATGCCTCAGCCTCCCCAAAGTGCTGGGATTACAGGCGTGAGCCACCGCGCCCAGCCTGTCCATTTGTTTTCTTGCATGACTATGCTATATTCTGCAGTATATAGCAGTCATATTAGAATTCCTTTCCATTTTAGTAAATACATTGCCAAACTTTCATTGAAACAACCACCACCAACAAAAAACCTGTACAATGTGATCTTTATAGTAAGCTTGGAAGTTCAAAGACAGAATCAGTTGACCCACTCACTAAAAAGTAATTAAAAGCAAGCAATGTCTAAAAGTCTTTGAACTACCTTTAATATTATGTTATATATGTATTTGGGGTATTTAATTTTTTATTCCATTTTTCTGTTTATCCTCTTTAGTTTAATTATTTTTAGAGGAGAATGATACCGACTTTGGAAGGAAAAAAAATCACTTTGGCAATATTCCATGAAATTACAAGCAATTTTGAGAAGAGCTAATGAACAGGAAAAACTATACTTGTTTATAGTAGAGTTCAGCTTGGAAAGTAAAAACCAACATCTGATTTTTTAATGAAAAGTTTATTTATTTCCATCCCACAGACAGACTTGTTTATTATTTTAGGACCTAAGATTTAGAAAGTTCAAGGCCTTAGAGGCAGGAATTGGGTGGAGAAGGGTTTGAAAGAAGAAAGGACATTGAAAAGTTAGATATAACCTTGGCTTTATTTTTGATCAGCAGTTAGATGACAGAAAGTTCTAGGTCATTTTCAGAGCATTACAGATTTGTGCTGTTATTCATAAATTTGTAGAAACAAGGCCATTTGAGGTTTGGGTGGAAATTTCTGGCCCATTTCTTCAACCTTATCTCATGTCATTGTATTTAAAAAAAATGAGGTAAACTTCATAAAGACTCCAAACATGTTAGTCAAAATTCTGAATTTCCAGGCTCTTAGAGATTTATGTCACATCCTTTTAGTTGAATACAATTTTTTTTATACCTAAACTGTCCTTTTTAATTTTCACAAGGATTTCCCTGAGAGGTGATGCTAGGAATGTGAGCAAAGAAGGTAAATAATTTGTTCAATTTTTAAAAATAGTTAAATGATCTAGTTATGTAAACTTAGATGTCTAAAATAGCATATCCTAATATTTTCATACATAATTAAGTAGCTATTTTTCAAATAAGGTGCTTCCTTTCAGTTCCTAGTGCTAGTCTCTTAATCATGGTCTCCACTATACTTTTAAATATTTTCTCTCTAGTAAAATGTCTCTAGTCTCCAAATAATTGCCAGAAGCAGGTTTTTGGAGAGGCTAACACGTTACGATAGTCACATGGACAGAAGGCAGGCAGACATATCCAGGCTTGACTGTGGACTGTCCACTTAGTGTATGCATGACGGACCATGGATAAGACATTGAGACTCACTCTGATCTCCGTTTTCTGGTCTGTGAGGATCACCTTAATGCAACTATAATGAGGAGTCAATGAGAGGAAATTTGGAACACCCCTGGCTTAAACTAAGTGCTCACTAAATGGTACCCGTTAGACTAAAATAGTACATGGCACTCAATATATTGAACCTAGCATATGCCCCAGCAAGCAGAGCCTCTAATAAGACAGTAATTTCAAGTTTTTCTTCTTGATTATCAGAAGCAGATAATTTTCATTTTCTTGAAATGAAAATCAAAGGTCCCCTTGAGTAGAGATTAATGAAAGGAGGACTACAGTATTCCTGCTGGACTAGATGGTCCAGGAGAGCAGGGGACCTGTTTGCCTCATTTTCTGTTGTGTCCTGTATGCCTGGAACATAACAAATGCTTGGTGGTTACTTTTGAATGAAGGAAGTGCAGTTTTATGCACGCCTTCTGAGAAACAAGCGGCTGGACCTCAAATTTTCACCCTGCTGAGTAGTCACAATTCAATCTGGATTTTGTTTAAGCCTACCTAATGAAAGGTTACTGCTTGAACACATCACTTGGCTTCCAAAGCCACTAAAGCCCCAAGTTTTACCCTAATTTTTTGATTCAGAAATTATTTTTTAGAAATATAGTAATCCTGGACTGGGCGCAGTGGCTCACTCCTGTAATCCCAGCACTTTGGGAGGCCGAGGCAGGTGGATCACGAGGTCAGGAGATTGAGACCATCCTGGCTAACACAGTGAAACCCCATCTCTACTAAAAATACAAAAAATTACCCAGGTGTGGTGGCATGCACTTGTAGTCCCAGCTACTCAGAAGGCTGAGGCAGGAGAATGGCGTGAACCCAGGAGGCAGAGCTTGCAGTGAGCCGAGATTGTGCCACTGGCCACTGCACTCCAGCCTGGGCAACAGAGCAAGATTCCATCTCAAAAAAAAAAAAAAGAAAGAAAAAAGAAATATAGTAATCCTGGAAAATTCAGAGTTTGTCACCATATAGAGATATAAAGAAAATAAGATTGGAACAAACCATTCTGCTTTATAGGTGATTGATGAAGGGCATTTTCATTATTTTGACAAAGTAGGCTTCATCATTTTGGCAGAGATGGAAATCACGTTGGGCAATGGCTGCTTAACACACTCTGAACTCTGCTATCTTCTGTTATTAACCAGAAGTCTGTTACCCAGCGCTTCAACACATATTCATGTGCTCCTAAGTCAATCAGAATTCACAGTGATGATCTCAGACACCATAATATCCAGAGGTACTTTCTGAGTCATCAAGGAGAGATTAAATTATGCTCATTCAGGGTCTCCCATCGAATGCAGTTATTACTTTCTCATTCGTTGGAAATTGGTTAACTGGATATTTGATTTACCAGTATACCTCAGTTTTTCCATTAAAGCTGAGTACAGAGATTTACTGTAAAATAATATCACTGAAAATAACGACCTCAATCCTCCATTACAAAACTCATTTCTCCCTTCCATCCTGAAGTGGTCTTAAGCTTTCCAAACAAGGCTGCCAAGTGAAATACAAAATGTCCAGTTAAATTTGACGCAGACAAACAAGACATAATTTTTCAGAATAAGTATGTCCCATGCAATATTTGAGACATATGTGTACTAAAAAATTATTCATTATTTCTCTGAATTCTAATTTCACTGGGCATCTTGTTTCTTGTTTTGTTGTTTATTTGCTAAATCTGGCAACACTATTTCCAAAGGGTTTGACCTGCACCGGGCTGACCTGTACCAGCCTGCTATGAAGGGACAGAGTTAAACGCTAGCATCTCATTCAAACCTTGAATTAATTGTTAATGTAATTTTTCTGCAAATTATTGTTAAAAGTGAGTCACATAGTTTTCAGTCAAAGGTAAATCAAGTTGCCTCTTCATTTTTTTTTTTTTAATGAGGCAGCTATATGGAAGGAATAACAGTCTCACTTTGCACCATGGATATGTTGGCTAAATGGGGACAGGGCATCACTAAGTCTATGAATACAGAAACTGTGCCCCAGCCGAGTCTGCATTAGAGAAAGGGCATTAATCTGGTGACGGTTCTGCTCTCCTTACAGTATTCAAGTTAATTATGTTTGCCTCCAAATGGTAACATCTGGTCCCCATTACCAGCTAAACATTGCCTTTCTAAAAGCTTGTTTGGAATCAGGCAGGTATGAACACCGTGGCCAAAAAATGGCACTCTATTTTTAACACTACAGTTTCATAGTCCCTTAGTAAAATTGTTTTTGTAAATCTTTTTTTAATCCCGACTGAGTATATTCTTGGTTTCCAGATCCCAGCCTGGAGCAAATACTGTGGTTAAGTTACAGGAAAGGGCAATTGAGAAAATGACAGCTGCCTTTCATTGTATTAAGTTGATTCATTCAACAAATATTTGTTGAGCAAATACTATGTATAAAACAGGGCATGAAGAGTCATATAAAACAGAAAAATATGACTTAGTTCGTGTCCTCAAAGAAGTTAAAATCTGGGGAGGCAGAAAGCAGCATTCCAAAGAACTAAATGTGCTCATCAGCATTTGAGGGCTGGATATGGTGGCTCAAGCCTGTGACCCCAGCACTTTGGGAGGCCAAAATGGTAAGATCTCTTGACCCCAGTAGTTTGAGAGCAGCCTGGGCAACATAGCGAGACCAAAAAAAAAAAAATTGCCAATCATGGTAGCATCCACATGTAGTCCTAGCTACTCAGGAGACTGAGGTGGGAGGATTGCTTGAGGCCAAGAGTTCAAGGCTGCAGTGAGCCATGATCACACCACTCCACTCCAGCCTGGGTGACAGAGTGAGACCCTGTCTCTAAAAATAAAAATTAAAAAAAAGGCCGGGGTGTAGAGGGGCCAGGCGCCGTGGCTCACACCTGTAATCCCAGCACTTTGGGAGGCCGAGGCAGGCATCACGAGGTCAGGAGATCGAGACCATCCTGGCTAACACTGTGAAACCCCTCTCTACTAAAAATACAAAAAATAAGCCGGGCGTGGTGGCAGGCGCCTGGAGTCCTAGCTACTCGGGAGGCTGAGGCAGGAGAATGGCGTGAACCCGGGAGGTGGAGCTTGCAGTGAGCCAAGATCGCCCCACTGCACTCCAGCCTGGGAGACAGAGCGAGACTCCTTCTCAAAAAAAAAAAAAAAGAAAGAAAGAAAGAAGGGAAATGCAGATAAAATGGTGTGAAGAGGCCCAGAAATGGAAAACTGTGTCCAGTTGCAGAGAACAGAAAAACTGAGTAAACGATGTGGCATTTGAAAACAGGTCAGGATTTTAAGCAGTTCAGATAATGGAAAAGGGTAACATGACAGGGAATTCCTTGTGGAGGGAACAGAAAGAAAGCTCCCAAACTCCCAGAAGTAAGGAAGTTCTTCATGCCAATTGGCACTGGTTAAAGGAGTGAATGGGGAGAGGCCTTGCAAGGACATGACATGGAAGGCCTGCATGCCTGACTGAAAATGACGTGCGTAATTTCTAGACAAGAAGGCACTGAATGTCTGAGTAAAGAAACGACATGATCTGGACCATAGAACTCATGTGGAAAGTATCTGAGTAATGAATTCTTAAGGTTCAGCTGATAATGTGGACTTAGTTTAATTGCATTAGATGTTTGCCTCTCACTTAGGGGTAGTTATATTTTTAGGCTAAATTTTTATTATATAACGCAGAATTGAGTTGCTTCAAAGAAAAATAGGTTATCATTCTTGCACATGTTCTTGATTAGGATGTACAGTTTCTAAAGGAAAATACTTGAAGTGTTGGACATTTTGTCATTAAGCCAGCGTTGAATTCATCAACAACTGATACTCTCCTTGTGCTCAGAAGCTCCTTGGGCTGCTTTAGAAGACATAAAAAGGTCTATGATGCTGTTCATTGCCTTTGAAGATCTTATAATCTAGCTGTGGGTACATGACTAACAATCTTAAAGCCTTAGAGAGCAGTGGAATGCTGAGCTCTGTGCTACTTACATCATATTTCTGAGAAGGGAGAGCTCAGAATAAAAGCTAGAGTAGCTTGAAAAGTTCTCTTCATGAGTCTTAAGCTGGGTTTTGAGCAAAGGCAATGATGAGGATGACGTCTAGACTGTATGAGAAGAGAATTGCTTAACTGAGATGTATTGTCAGTAATAGAAAATCAAATTAGGCAAATGGGATGAAGTCAAAATGAGGGTCTTGAATGCCAGATCGAGTTTTGATATCTTCCTATCAATAATGGAAAACCATGGTACATTTTCAAAAGATATCTCTTTTCTATTGTCGGGGTAAAATATACATAACATAAAATTTACCGCTTTAACAATTTTCAACCACTTTTAACCATTTTAATTTTATCATTGTACATTTTTAAGTGTACAATTCTGTCGCATTAAGTACAGTCACATTGCTGTGCAAGCATCACCACTATTTCCAGAATTTTATAATTGTCTCAGACTGAAACTCTGCACCCATGAAACACTAACTCTCCCAATCTCCATTTCCCCCAAGCCCTGGCAACCACCATTTTGCTTTCTGTCTCTACGAATCTGACTGATCTAGTGATAGGCTACTCCTATCCATGGAATCAGACCATATTTGTCCTTTTTTTGTTGGGCTTCTTTCACTTAGCAGTGGAGATTTTTGAGGATGAGAATGACATGCTTAAAACAACATTTTCTGAAAATTTAAGTAGCAGTTGGTGTAGTGGAGATTCAAAGTGGGGTCTGGGAGGCCAACCAAGAGCTGATGTAGCACCCTGGCCAGAGCGCTCGGATCAGGATAAATCCAGAAGAAAGGAAGGTAGCAACAAGAGTTCTGTTGCTTTCTTGTACTTAATAAAAACAACAGGATTTGGCAGCAAAACGGAAATGACGAGATGACTAGGCAGGAAGTGGATGATTGGTGATGCCACCAATTAAAAGACAGGGTTCAGTGAAAAGATGCAGTATCCAGGGGAAAGGACTGTCTTAGTCTGCTTGTGGTACATTTGAGATGACAGTGAGACATTCATGTGGAAAGTCCCCAATGCAATTAGAAATAGGGGTGGGGAGAACAGTTGTGGGGGATCATGGTCACTATTCTCCCACACTCAATTCAAATGCCACCTCCCCTGGGAGGTCCTCTATTACCTCTGCAGGCTGAGTATGCATTCGTTCTCTTTACCTCTGCATCACTGTCTCTTTACCTTTGTTTTAGCAACCTTCCTGCTATCGGATTGACTTCTATGCATATCTCCAATCCATCATAAACTATGAACTTCTCTTAAGCAGGGCCAGTACTTGATCCAGGGATGAATTCTGGATACCAAAGAGACTGAAATATGAATGTTAAACTTAGAAGATGTCAAAGCGGGGGAAATGTATGTTCTTATTGAAGATTTGCCTTACTGGGATGTGAGTTTAGAGACGGGAATTCTGACAGAGCAGGAGGAAGGTTTGAGGGAGGAAAGATTTACTGTAAAATAATCCAGAGACTGAAAATTGTATATGATTGGGTACAAAATCATGTCTTTATTCCATATGTTGTATTTTATTTCTTAGCATGGAGTCGCCCAGGAAATCATTTTACATTATCTGTTTCATTTCACTTCCCAGATTATCCTTGCTCTGGAATGTTGGGTATGGTGTCTGGACTTATTTCTGACTCCCAGATCACATCATCCAACCAAGGGGACAGAAACTGGATGCCTGAAAACATCCGCCTGGTAACCAGTCGCTCTGGCTGGGCACTTCCACCCGCACCTCATTCCTACATCAATGAGTGGCTCCAAATAGACCTGGGGGAGGAGAAGATCGTGAGGGGCATCATCATTCAGGGTGGGAAGCACCGAGAGAACAAGGTGTTCATGAGGAAGTTCAAGATCGGGTACAGCAACAACGGCTCGGACTGGAAGATGATCATGGATGACAGCAAACGCAAGGCGAAGGTGAGGGCTGGGGACTGGGAGGAGGTCATCCCTTATGTCCTTGACTTCAATCAAGGGCCTCTGGCATTCTCCCGAGGAAGGGCTTCTTATTTCCTTCCAGCCATGACATTAGAGGAGGTGTGTGATGGGGTCAGTAAGACCCTTGATTCTAGGAAGACAGGAATATGGCATGAAAAGTGATGTCTGAGATAACATGCAAAAGAATTGCATTGCTGGTCCCATTCCCTGGCTGTAGGGATGGACAGACAGCTCAACATGCAGACAGGAGACGGGGAAGCCCAAGGCTGACAGCAGCCATCCAGCCAGCGCTCAGAACCCCTTGCAGATACCACTCAGTCGTTTGGGTCTGCCCTCCCCCCATCTCAAACCTACCCCTAGTTTAAGTGCTTTGTTTCTTTTATAAATTTTTATTGTGGGCCAGGCTCAGTGGCTCATGCCTGTAATCCCAGCACTTTGGGATGCCGAGTCGGGCGGATTGTCTGAGCTCAGGAGTTCGAGACCAGACTGGACAGCACGGTGAAACCCCATCTCTACTAAAATACAAAAAATTAACAGGGTGTGGCAGCGTGTGCCTGTAGTCCTAGCTATTCTGGAGGCTGAAGCAGGAGAATTGCTTAAACCCGGGAGGCAGAGGTTGCAGTGAGCTGAGATTGCACCACTGCTCTCTAGCCTGGGTGACAGAGTGAGATTCCGTCTCAAAAAAAAAAAATTAATTGTGATAAAATACATATAATATACAATTTCCCATCTTAACCTTTTTAGTGTGCAGTTCAACAGTGTTAAGTATGTGTATATTGTGCAACCAATCTCTAGAACTTTCTCATCTTGCAAAACTGAAACTCTACACCCATTAAGCAACAACTCCCAGTCCCCCTGCCCCCAGCCTCTGGTGACCACCTCCACTTTCTGTCTGTGTGAATTCAACCATTTTAGGGACCTCATACTGTATTTGTCTTTTTGTGATTGGCTTATGTCACTTAGGATAATGTTTTCAAGGGCCATCAGTGTTATAGCATTGTGTCAGAATTTCCATCCTTCGAAAGGCTGGATAATATTCATTGTGTGTTTATACCACACTTTGTTTATCCATTCAGCCACTGATGGACACTTGAATTGCTGTCACCTTTAGCTATTGTGAATAATGCTTAAGTATATTTCTTTATGCGTTGAAACCTTTTAAGATGCAGTAGGCTCTTGATAATCCAGTGAAAAGAAAAGGAAATCTCAACACAAAAACATTCCATTCCAACATCCACCAAAACCCGTGGTATAATTTTTTTCAACCAACAAATCAACCTCAGTCATTATGTTTTACTTAGAGTGATGGCTAAATTTATTTGCGAACATGCAACAGCAACTTGGAAAGGATACCCTGGAGTGTGCTGGGTGGCCCAGAAGCTGGTTTAGGATTCAAATATGGACCAACCTACAGACAACTAGCAGTTTAAGTTCTGTGTTCAGTGTGGGAATTATATTCAGCGATGGTATTTCTCACACCAATACAATTGGCCTTTTGGTCTTAGCCTTTCCATCCCTGCTTTGGCCAGGACCTACTCCTCTTGTGAAAAACAGATTTTAGCTTATTGAAGGGAATATTACCCTCACTCCCACTCTAAGCAAGTGTGGGAACATGGCTTAATATAGTGACTCAAGCCAGAGGCATTGCAGGCAGCAAAGAAGCCAGGCTGTGCTGCCAGCTCCCACTCCCTCCAGATGTGAAGGCTCCAAGGAAACCTCCGTGTCCCCGACAGGCCACCGGCTACCACTAGAGCAGCGGGCCACTGGCAGGGCTGGGTGCCATCAGAAATATCTGAATCTCTCTCCCATCTCTCCCTTCCTTAACTTGTGGTTTCTAAAATATTTTCAGTGTTATATTTATCTCTCTGTGCAGCTACCTTTTTTCTTGTGTCCCTTTCATTTTCCCCTTTTGTGCCTTGTTTGGGGGGAAGAAAAAGTAAAATAAACATCAGAAACTGGAGTTCCTTCTGAGTGGATCTGTTCTGAGAAGCAGTGAGCTCTGACTGCATCAGAAAGTGTGAATATGCTGCAAATCAACAACTTCCTGCTGCTGGCGACGGCGGCGTGTGCTGGTGTGACATGTTCTTCAACACTAGGGCTCTGAGAGAGAAAGAAAACAAGTCACCATATGCTTTTGATAGGATGCATCACATGCTTCCCCGTCTCTATATAATTCATGCGTCTGCAACCAGATCTAAAGCTATCACTCTTCTGTAGTAAATCCAGCACTGAATTCCATGAGAAGCCAATATACATCTTTCAACTTTCACAAAATACTCAATTCAAGATTGGATGAACGTGTTAGGGTTTATTTCTAAAATATGGTTCTATCCATCATTATCATCTTCCTATGATACTGAAAACTGTAAAAGCTTCTTCGTTGTTTACATACAGCCTAATCTATGATTCCTTAACACACCCTTCCACTGAAATAAAATCTCTAAGACGAAAAAAGAAATGGGTAAAAATCTTCCATTTTAGAGCGGCACATGGTTTTTAATCATATCAAGATTTTAAAAACATGCTATATTTAATTTTACAAGTGAAGGCTACCTCTTAAGATGCCAAGTACCTTTTATGTAAAAGTAAAATGAGCACTCTGTTTTGTGAAATCCACAGCACTTGGATGGATTTAAATTTTCAATGCCCTTTCCTCACTCTCTACCCCAAAAATAGTGGGTAATGGGCAAGCTATATCAGAATCTTTGAATTAACTAGACTTTTTAGCAACAGAGAGAAGGTCGAAACACTCAAAGTCCTCATCTTCTAAAACATAATTAGCAACAGAACACAAAGAATTCATAAGTAAGTTTATTATATCAGTTAGCCTAGTTCCATATGGGTTTTCATTGCTAATATTCTTCCCAGCTCTGCACTGACAGCTTTTATAATGTATTTACATTGTGTTAATTCTTTGCTCAAGTTAAAATGAAGAGATGAGCCTGGGATTCCATAGATATAAATGCTTTTCTCCTATGATCTTTGGAGGTATGTTAACATAGACAGAACTTGCATATGTAGTAATGGTATTTTCATTATAATTAGTATCCTACTGACAATAACTTAATTGGGCCTCACAATAATATGTGTCAGAGTCTCAATTACTGGCAGCAATTGCAGTTCTATAAAAGTGCAGAACCCCGATAGTGAATTTACTCTTGATAAAAAAAAAAAAAGAAATTTTAATTGGAAGAGGCAGGCCTATATTAGCAATGCATTTTTAAACTCCTAGAGGCTTTTCTGAGTTGGAAAAGGCCAATTAATTTACTTCTAGAACTCAGAAACCTGCTGATTCTGTTGCAACCTACCCAATCTGTCTTCACTGACATGCTTCCACTGTTTTGTTTTGACATTTCCACCACCGAACAAGCACATATTAGGCTGGTTTATGATGTCTTGACACAGCTACTGGGCATGGCTCCCACTCCTGACTGGCATGGCCTGGGGCCGGCCAGCCACTCCATCTGATCTACCAGGTCTACTAGCCCAATTTGCATCATATTAAAGACAAATTAATGAAACTAAATGTGTGGCCTTGGGCATAGATGTTTCTTGGACCGTGGTGTTTTCACCTATTAAAATCAGGAGACTGGGCTGTCTCGAAGGCTCACGCCTATAATCCCAGCACTTCAGGAGGCCAAGGCGGGCATATCACCTGAGGTCAGGAGTTTGAGACCAGCCTGGCCAACATGGTGAAACCCCGTTTCTACTGAAAATGCAAAAATCAGCCAGGCATGTTGGTGGGCACCTGCAGGCCCAGCTAGTCTGGAGGCTGAGGCAAGAGAATCGCTTGAACCTAGGAGGTGGAGGTTGCAGTGAGCTGAGATCGCACCACTGCACTCCAGCCTTGGTGACAGAGCAAGACTCCATCTCTAAAAAAATAAATAAATAAATGAGGAGACTGGACTAGATGGTTTGTAAGGGCAGAGGCAGCATCGTGGTGTGGTTAAGGGCGCCAGTTAAGGCCAGCTAGGTTTGAGTCTTGGCCCTGCCACTTGCTGTGTGTATGGCCATGGGGCAAGTGATTTGACTACTCTGTGCCTCAGTTTCCTTGTCTGTAAAAGGACCATAATACAGAATTTACCTCATGGAGAATTTACCTTCATTTGTAAAATTAAATGTAACATGTTTTTAAAATCTCTGAATAGTTAAAAAATATGTGGCCAGGCATGGGGGTTCACGCCTATAATCCCAGCACTTTGGGAGGCCAAGGCAGGCAGATCACTTGAGGTCAGGAGTTCAAGACCAGCCTGGCCAACGTGGTGAAACCCCATCTCTACTAAAAATACAAAAATTAGCCGGACATATTGGTGTGCACCTGCAATCCCAGCTACTCAGGAGGCTGAGACAGGAGAATCACTTGAGCCCAAGAGGCACAGGTTGCAGTGAGTCAAGATCATGCCACTGCACTCCAGCCTGGGTGACAGAGCAAGGCTCTGTCTCAAAAAAAAAAAAAAAAAAAAAAAAAGGCTGCTCTAAAATGGACCATTTTATCAGTTTTCTTTTTCACCTTAGAGATTTTTTTCAGTGGAAAGGTGTGTTAGGAATCATAGATTAGGTTCTATATAAACAATTGAGGAACTTTTATGGTTTTTCAATATCATAGGAAGATGACAAAATGAGTTGTTCTGAGGATTAAATGAGTTAATAGATTTTAAGCAGTTAGAACAATGCCTTACTCTATCAAACATCATGCAATGTTTGATATTTAAAAGGACATTCCTTATGATGAGACAATTTTCTTTTCCTCCTCCCCCTCCGCCTTCTCCCATTTGGAATGGGATTAAGAATGATGCTGGAGAAGAGGATATAAGGAGGCTCATCCATTTCTTGAAAAGGAAAACTGGCCTAGTCATTGCTCCATCTTCTCAGAATTCCACCAAGGATTTTGATCTTCCCGTGCATGTGAAAAGGAAACAAAGCCAGCAGCAGCACTGGCAGTGGGTGGCCAAGCTCCTGAAAACTGTCACAGGGACTTCAAGCTAGGAACACACTTCAAAAGAGGTGCCAACTCATGCCAGGTGCAGTGGCTCACACCTGTAATCCCAGCACTTGGAGAGGCCAATGCAGGAGGATCATTTGCAGCCAGGTGCTTGAGACCAGCCTGGGCAACATCATGAGACCCTGTCTCCACAAAAAATTAGCTCGGCGTGGTGGCGCATGCCTGTAATCCCAGCACTTTGGGAGGCAGAGGCAAGCAGATCACTTGAGACCCTAAGTTCGAGACAAGCCTGGGCAACATGGTGAAACCCCAACTCTGCAAAAAATACAAAAGTTAGCTAGGCATGGTGGCGGGTGCCTGTAGTCCAAGCTACTCAGGAGGCTGAGGTGGGAGGATCACTGAGCCCAGGGAGGGTAAGACTGAAGTGAGGTGCAATCACATCATTGCACTCCACCCTGGGCGACAGAGTGAGACCCCATCTCAAAAAATAATAATAATGAATAAATAAATAAATGCCATCTGTCACTTCTTAGAGAAGCTTTAATTGTTTTTTTCCTTTCTCGTTTATGAAAGAGATGTACCACAAAGTGGTAGAATGAAGCCAATTTCTCTGCCTTATTCAGAGTCCTGAAGGAGGGAAGAAACAGTTGCTAAAAGGGAGCTCTGTTTTTTTTTTTCCTTAATGCCCTGTGTTTTCCATGCTTCACAGTCTTTTGAGGGCAACAACAACTATGATACACCTGAGCTGCGGACTTTTCCAGCTCTCTCCACGCGATTCATCAGGATCTACCCCGAGAGAGCCACTCATGGCGGACTGGGGCTCAGAATGGAGCTGCTGGGCTGTGAAGTGGAAGGTAATTATGATCTCCAGAGTTACTTCTCATGCGTTTTTAAATTTCCTCTTCCATGCATTTATGCCCCTGATGGTGCCTTTGCAAATTGCCTACCCTTTTCCCTTGGGAGGCCCCTTATCTCGGTGCCTGCCCATCAGTGAGACTCAAAGCTCTGACACAGGTCACAAGGCAGCACCTTCACAGTCCTACTTTTGTCTTGGGTTGTTTGCATGACTCTCCTCGGATTATATGAGATTGTCTCTCTTTACTTAAAAAAAAAGATAATTTATAGAGTTGAAATTCATAGAACATAAATTTCACCTCTTGAAGGGGAACAACTCAGTGGCAGTTAGCACATTTACAATTCAGTTGTACCAACTACCCTCTTTCTAGTTCCAAAATATTTCCATCACTCCAAAGTAAAACCCCTTACCCAGAAAGCAGGCAACTTCCCTCAACCCCTGGCAACCACTTTTGCCTTTTAAATATTATTTAGAGGTCTGTGTCTGATCCAGTTTCGGTCCGCAGTGTCGATTATCAGCACATAGAAACAGAAAGCAGCGTTTGACAGACTAAGACATCAAGACATTATTCTGGATGAATATCTTAGGCTGCTGCAGAGAAACAGAACTTTACATGAGACAACGTGTCTGAAAGTAGACTGACATTACTGCCTACACTTAGATTATTATATGACGGTCATATCAAGTACAAATTCAGTCCACGCACTGACCCCATGGCTGCACTCTCTTTGAACATATGATGAATGAAATGAATGTTTTGAGTGGGTTATTGTACCGTTTAATATATTTATGCACTAGAATCCCCATCTGCCTTAGATTTGGGCATAACTGAGTAACCTACACCAGTTTTTCTATCCCCATAGAGGTCTTGCTCCAGCCTAGCTTCAAGAATGACTATTGTAGGCATCCAGATGTTAATCAACCGAGCATATATGCTCACAGTTGTTTTGAAGAATGCTTTTTAATGTCACCTTCCTGCAATTTTAAAATTATTTGTGTCTTGAGCTACCAAATATAATTACATTCCTGAGCACATTAAATACCATAAAACTTTTCTTATGAATGACAGAATCTTGAGCTATCAATCACCATACCCCTGAATAATTCATAGCTACTTTTCAATGTGTTTATTTAAAAGCAGGCCATTTTCTCCTATTCTTCACCGTGTGGTTGTTTCCATATCTGTAGTCATGTCCCAAACCCCTAAATTATCCAGGCACTATCAACACAGACCAAGAATGTCCATGTGCCAGGGCTTTGGCAAAGGATGCCAAGAAAAAGAAGAGATGGGCAGACTCCACTCACTGCAGATGCGTTCGTTCAATTCACGGAGAAATGTGGTCATCTGGAAAAGGAGTCTGCTCCCTGGATGCGAATCTGTAGCCTGGATTCTGGAAGGCGATGCTGATTTAGGAGGTGGAGTGAATGGAGAATTGAAAAGACAGCCTGGTGGCAGTTTTGAAAGCACGCTTGCAAAAATTGTAATGAGAACATGATGACAGTGAAAGAGATCTGACCTAACTGACTCCATCTTGCTTCTAACCTCCAAGCTGTCCTTGTTCATTCCTGGGCATAGGCCAAACTAACTTTAGGAGGAACTTATAGTTTAACTTTGAAACAAAGACAATGACAGCTCTTTCCCAAAACAAACCCCCTTCCTGCCTGGGGACTAGATTGCCTTCGCAAGACTAACAAATTAGCCACAAAATTGGAAATTATGGTTTAGGGGGAAAAAAATGAAATTATGGTTTAGGGGTCATGCAGCTGGAGGCTGCAAGACTCTGAACCTCCCCAAATTGCTTCTGGGAATAATGTCACTGTTGTAAAACCTGAGATCAGTGCTTCAGATATTTTCCAGACCCTGTACTTGATGGATCAGCTGGCACCACCCAGATCGATAAACTGGCTCATCCTGTCTTGTGTCCCTCACCAGAAACTGACTCAGCACAAGAGGACACCTTTGACTCCCTGTGATTTCACCTCAGACCTGACCAATGAGCACCTGCCCCTTTTCAACCCCTGCTCAACAAATTACCCTTCAAAACCTAAACCCCAAGTAATAATAGAACCCCCATCTCCCATACAGTTGTCTCTGCATGAATTAAACTCTTTCTCTATTGCAATTCCCCTGTCTTGATAAATCGGCCTTGTCTAGGCAGCAGGCAATGAGGACTCATTGGGAAGTTAGAGTTTCCACTCTCTAGTGTCATCTCTGTAGTGAGGTAGAAATGATCGGTGAAGGGATTTGCCTACAGATGTTTCCAAGCACTCACAAAAGTGAGGACATTGCCCTGGGCCGTATGTGAAACAAACATCTGGGGAAAGTAATGTCAAAGCTTTTTGATATGATTGGTGAAAAGGAATGCTTTTCTTCTCCCTTCAATCAGTTAACAGGCCCTTATTAAGTATCTACTGTGTGCCTTGTTCTAGGGGAGACACCTAAGGGAATGCAGGAGAAAGATGCAGTCCACTCCAGCCTCCCAGGAGTGTCTGTCCTATTTTGTGCTAGCACTTACATTTAAGAAATAAACAACCACAGGCCGGGTGTGGTGGCTCATGCCTGTAATCCCAGCACTTTGGGAGGCCAAGGCGGGCAGATCACTTGAGCTCAGGAGCTTGAGACCAGCCTGGCCAACATGGTGAAATCCTGTCTCTACTAAAAATACAAAAATTAGCTGGGTGTGTTGGTGGGCGCCTGTAATCCCAGCTACTCGTGAGGCTGAGGCAGGAGAATCTCTTGAATCAGGGAGGCGGAGGTTGCAGTGAGCTGAGATCATGCCATTGTACTCCAGCCTGGGTGACAAGAGTGAAACTCCATCTCAAAAAAAGAAAAAAGAAATAAAGAACCATAGAAGATAATATATTTTCAAATAGTAAAACTGGAACATACATATCATTTGCTTCCTCCTTTTTTTTTCCGTTGAATCTAGTGAATCTAGGGACTACCTCGGGCCATTTACAATGCGGAACTCCCCTTTAGAAACAGCTTGATGAATGCAGAAAAATCAGCAAAATGAATAGAGTTTTAAATACTTAAAGGTAGCACATTATCTGGAGCAAGGAGAGCTTAGGGAAGAAAGACAACTATCTGGCTTGCCAGAGGAGATACTACTGTTTCAGCAAGAGCAATAAATACAGGCCAGAATTCGGGTGTATGTGTTTTGTAAAAAAGTCTGGATTGCAGGCCTGAGTGGCATGTATGTTATTTGCACTTGGTGACTTCTTAGTTATTACTGGTGTGTATCTTTGGGCCGTTGAAGAAGTTGAAACTTGGCTCTGTTTCTCCATGTGCCGTAACTCTGCTTGGTGTTTCAGCACCATTCAGTGTCAAATTTTTACTAAGAAAGCAGCAGTTACTGACACATTCCTACTGGCGAGAAGAGAACAGGCCCCAGCCACCAACATCTTGTATGGTTCTCAGCCATCACGAGAACTATCCATTATCTCAAGTCTTGTAAAGTGAAACGTAATGCCAAAAACTGTAAAATATTAAACAGATTGCAAAAATGAGTAACAGGCTAAAAAAAATATCTGAACGAAATTTAAAGGACTTCAAAAGCAGTCTTTGTTGGGAGGCCGAGGCGGGTGGATCATGAGGTCAGGAGATCGAGACCATCCTGGCTAACAAGGTGAAACCCCGTCTCTACTAAAAATACAAAAAATTAGCCGGGCGCGGTGGCGGGCGCCTGTAGTCCCAGCTACTCGGGAGGCTGAGGCAGGAGAATGGCGTGAACCCGGGAAGCAGAGCTTGCAGTGAGCCGAGATTGCGCCACTGCAGTCCGCAGTCCGGCCTGGGCGACAGAGCGAGACTCCGTCTCAAAAAAAAAAAAAAAAAAAAAAAAAAAAAGCAGTCTTTGATTAATATTGGATACCTTTCAACTGCAAATTCAAAGATATGGGAATACCTGTGAACAGTGGAATGCAGTCCTATGAGAGTTCATGTAAAATGACCCCGGGACATCTGAGACAACTTCTCTCACACACCTGCCCTGGAGAGAGGGCTCACAGTTTGAGAAGCTACTTACAGAGAAATGGAATCACTGTTTTTTTAGTTTTTTTGTTTTTTTTTAAAAAAACACTATTGCACTAAATGTGAACGTTGACTCCCTTTGGGGAAGAATTATAATATAAACTTAGCAAACATAGTCAATACTAAGAATATAAAAGAATTTATGACAAGTGAGTGCTCTAACACCTTGAAAATGAAAGGGAAAACGTTTCAAGCAAAATCTCTGTCTTCAAAGTTCTCAACTCCAGGGTCCTGAATAAATAACCAGTGAGAATTCAAGAGCTTTTCAGAAGAAGGATGTTTATGTAGATAACAATGTATAAAATGCTAAGGCAGACAACTCTACTCGGCAGATACGAATCAAATACCAAAACAAAGCAGCCTCTGCTATTATATATTCTGCAGAATCCAAGTATATCTAGCTCCTGAAAGAGAGGCAAACCATGCCCCTGGTCTTCTTACCGCAGATTAAAGTTTTCTGCATAAGCGTTAGCAGATCCAACAGCCAGAGGCTTGAGAATACATTTCCAAGGTGTGAGATAATAATCCTTGGATCTTGTTTCAGCCCCTACAGCTGGACCGACCACTCCCAACGGGAACTTGGTGGATGAATGTGATGACGACCAGGCCAACTGCCACAGTGGAACAGGTGATGACTTCCAGCTCACAGGTGCAGAAACCATCTTCATCCCATTGCTGTACCATTTCAGTTCATGTCTTAGTTGGGACCAGCTAACGCCTGTGTGTGTGCTTGTAACTCCGCATGGCAGAGAGCTGCCCAGGAATAGAAGCTGCCTTGCCAGAACACGTGCATCTTCATTTCCTCATGTCATCTGGATAGATGAGTTGTTCTTAATAGCCACAACCATTTGTAACAATAATTTGAGCCATTTCGAGAGCCAAAGGCTAGGATTATCTTAATTGAATAAGAATTTCCCCATGGCTAAATGTACTAAACCGATCCTTATTTTCATTATTTTCAGACCCCCCCCCAATAACACGTGCACCACCCCTACGTAACCACACACTTCAGAATGTTTATTTTCATTTTCTAATGAGGACAAGTTTTTTTGAGTGGATCCTTTATCCAACAAATGGATAAAGTTAGGCTTATATTTGAAGTGCGGCTTTTAAGTTGGGATTTGGTAAATCATTGTACATTAACATTTACAAAGGCAGAATTAGCTGCTATTTCACATCACCACCGACCAGCAAATGCATCAGAGATGTTGTGTGCCAAATGTCTCACTAATTAATCTAGAGTATTACTCTCTAATCTCCTAAAACCCTAAAAGCTAGGAAATGACCTTCTCTTCCACTTGGAATGGCAGAGGAAATATTAGGCAAGTGGAGAAATGGGATTATACCATTTGGAAATTGGCCAAGGCACTAGGGTTTTCACCCTGTGGTTGCAAAAGGTATCGTGGGACTTTTACTGCTCCCTGGGTCAAAACGCAGTTTCAATAGCATCTGACTCTCATTTGAGATTAAACATGAGCTTTTGAATGCAGGTCTGCATTTTTACCCAGAAGGGACTCGGAGAGCCCACATAATTAATTTCCATGGGCAAAACTGAAGGCGTTACCATGTAACTTCATAATAAAGCCATGTTATTGGCTAATGCATTCGTACAAAATCTGGAAGGAAGTGTCCTAGAGTACATTTCCAATTATTTCAAAAGCTCTCCTCTGAAGGAGTGAGAGGGCTCTGCACTCTAAGATGGAATAAAGAGTAAAAGAAAGAAAAAAAAATTGAAAATCTGTCCCAGAAATTTAGTACTGTGAACTGAGTTTACATTTAAATCCCACCTCCTAAAGCTGTCTCTCTCCAAATTTCCAGGATAATCATTTACATTCATATGGCCAATAAATGTCACATTGCTATGAGCTTTTGAATGCAAATCTTGTATACAAGCAGCCACAAGCCACAAAACTTAGATTAATTAATGCAGAGACATTTTCTGTGTAACATGTCAAGTTCAAGTTGAAAACTCAACCACTGATATAAAAAACAGAGTACTATTCCATGAACCAAGTCCTCTGGAAGCTTCCCGGGGTTGCCTGTAAACACTCTGCCACAAACCTCAGGCTTTTTACAGACCCCGTCACACATCCATAGTGAAATTTCTCATAAAAAAGGAATGATTGCAGGATCCCAGTGTGCCCTTTCAATTGCCCTCTTGTGGAAGGGGTTCTTTTCTTCATAAACCCTAAAGTGGTCAGTTAATATTGATTAGAAACAAAGCCTCAGATTTACTCCTCATATCAGAACAACCAGCCTTCTCATTTTTGCATTAGTTCATGACTGAATCAATTGAAACTGAAGGCTTTGAATGAAATAGGGCGAGTATGTTAGCCTGGAGCAAATTGTGTATGGCAGCGAGTTACAAACCACAGAAAATGGGTCATTTATAGTGGAAACACTGACAACCTTTCAAAACTATAAGGTTTTGCTTTACCTACAGTGTTTCAATTATTTCTTTGGTAGATAGAAGAAAGTTCATTCTGATTTTTTCTTTTTACATATTAGCATGGTGAAAAAAAGAGTTATTCCCAGATCAGCACGTTTGTCTCAATAATTCTATAAATACTCTCATATACTAAGAACCGCTGAGGATGTTGATAAGGCCTGCCCCACACCTCCATCAAGAAGAAGCCATTTTGGAAGACATTCTCCTGCTTCATATTCATTATTGCAAGAAGGCAGTCTTTTTCTTTTTAAAACATATTTTACTTTACAAAACCATTTGCTATTCTTTTCTGAAAATGGATGTGCTCACATGCCATTGTTTGCAAGAGGCAAAAACCTCACCTAACCCAGACACCTTTTTATATGGAAACTACACATCTCCTATGCTCACAAGCAATTTTGCATCCTTTTTGCTAATTCTGGCATAGGTTTTGCTGTCAGGACTACAAACGTGGATGTTTAGTGTGATGAAACCAAACCAAGAGCGTTATTGCTTTAACCCTAATAGGTAGAACATGGAAATTGGGATCAATGCTGTCTTTAGGGGTTGTCTGTTCCTTAGCACAGGTGGTGTGGATTTAATTTCTTCTCCTGGGGTGACCTACTTGTATCTAGAGGGGAGAAATATTGTAATGAAATGCTCGTTACTTACAAACCACACCAAATTCCAGGTGTACTGTACCAAATGCATGGAAATGAGTAGAATGTGCTCTCCCAGACCTGCTAGCCAAGGTGAAAATGCTTCCCTGAAATTACTCATTTGCAAATGCCTTTGAAGTCATTAGATAATACACTTGGCCTCAAAGGCACCAGGCAGCCAAATTTTACGTTGGAGCTGTGTGTACCCAACCGTGGAATTTGCCTCCCAAACTATAGCAAAACTGATAATGCATATCGGTTTTAAAAAGCGAATTTTCACCTTGAATCTTTCTCCTATAAGACCACTGGGAACAGAACGCTAATGTATCCTGGCCTCCCTCCAATTCTGCCATTATAGATTCACCTTCTTAACCCATAATACATATAATTCCTTCTTCCTAGTGCCTGCCTTATTGAGGCCATGCACACATGTGACCACTCATCCAGCATATTTGCTGGGAGAACTGAGGTACCATGACTTGGTGCTGCAGTTGATTAGCCTAGAAATCTTAAGACCATTCCAAGAGCACGATTTTATGGCCCTCTGATTCATGCTATGGATATGTAACATGATTTCTGATCTGTGGGAGCTGCCAGATAGGCCTGTCCCAAATAAAGATCGTCACAAATCTTTACTGAATGATATTATTGGGAAGTGCACAATTATGGCACCCTGTAACCACCTCCAGAACTTTCCATGGTAGGCATGGGCCCACCCCATTCCCTTACCCTGAATTGGTTCAATACTGTATCTGGACATAACAGGTTACTTCCAACCATAATCTGCATCGTGGATAGACATAAGGAAAAACAGCTTTCTCAACCACCTACGTAATAACAGCAAACCACTGTTTCCCAAACTCAGTGGGTTAAAAGACTCACCTGAAAAGCTTTCAAAAATACAGATTTTGGCTGGGCATGGTGGCTCACACCTGTAACACCAGCACTTTGGGAGGCCAAAGCGAGAAGATCACTTGAGGTCAGAAGTTTGAGACCAGCCTGGGCCAGACAGTGAGATCCCTGTCTCCGCCAAAAAAAAAAAAAAAAAAAAAAAAAAAAAAAATATATATATATATATATATATAGAAAACAGCCAGGCATGGTGGCGCACACCTGTAGTCCTGGCTACTCAGGAGGCTGAAGTGGAAGGATCCCTTGAGCCCAGAAGTTTGAGGCCACAGTGAGCCATGATGGCGCCACTGCACTCCAGCCTGGGTGACAGCAAGACTCTGTCTCAAAAAAATACAGATTTCAAAGCCTCACACCTAGAGACTCCAATTCTCATTTAGGTCTGGAGAGGACAGGTGGATGGGAGACTGCAATTTCAACAAGCATTCTGGTGATTCTTATGGTTGGGCAAGTTTAAGAACACTACTTTAAAACAGAAGTATAATGATGAACAGTGGGAAATGGGTGAGTAAAGAGGTGGAAGAGAGGGTAAAGCTAAGTCTTAATAGATAAGGTTACAGCCTGTCCCCTGACCAGTGAGATGCAGTAGGCCTGCACTAATTGGAAGTTCACAGCACTCAGGGTGTTATTTGTTCAGTCTTCCAATTCCTTGGGACTATGAAATATTTCTCCTGTTCCCCTTTTCCTGCTGCTTCCTGCAGCTTCTCCAAACCACATACAGGGCAGGGTATTTGTCCTTGAGAAAAGTAAACAGCTCCAGTAGCCAAACAGAGGAGGAACCATAGCATCTTACTTTAAACCCTCAGTTTTCTAGTTTTTAAAATAGATTGTGGGGACTAGCCTTGCAACTTCCCTAAAGGCACACACCTGAAACCTTGGAAAACGATTTGAAGCTTAGAGGTTGAGGTCAAGTTTAATACCCAAGTCACCGAGAAGGTGGCTTTGCTTTTTCAGAGGCCTTTGCTTTTCACTGTTGCAATTGTGTGCCATGCGTCGTCTGGGAATCAGTGAGTGCCCGTGGAGTGAAGTCCCAATTTCTGGGTGCCTTCTGGATGCTTTGTAAAGAAAGGTGTTAGGATACGTTGTCTACTTGAAAATTGCAGGCTGGGCACAGTGGCTCATACCTGTAATCCTAGCACTTTGGGAGGCTGAGGTGGATGGATCACTTGGGGTCAGGAGTTTGAGACCAGCCTGGCCAATATGGTGAAACCCTGTCTCTACTAAAAATACAAAAATTACCTGGGCATGGTAGTGCACGCCTGTAATCCCAGCTACTCGGGAGTCTGAGGCAGGAGAATCGCTTGAACCTGGGAGGCGGAGGTTGTAGTGAGCCGAGATTGTGCCACTGCATTCCAGCCTGGGCAACAGAGTGAGACTCCATCTCAAAAAAAAAAAAAAATTTAAAAATTTAAAAAAAAGAAAATTGCTAAGAGATTAGATTTTAAGTGTTCTCACCAAAAAAAAAAAAAAGCCTAAAATAGGTTTATGAAGTAATGCATATGTGAATTAGCTTGATTTAGCCATTCCACTAAGTGTACCAAAACATCACGTTGTATGCCATAAATATATACAACTTCCATTTGTTAATTTAGACAATTATTTTATTTATAAATTTTTAAAAGAAATGCGTTAGGTAAAAAAAAAAAATAATGGTTTATTTGAATTTGATATTGTGGTGAGCAAAATTGAAGGGAAACAATTGCTATCATTGAAATTAAAAGGATTTTTCTATGGAAAATATTTGCCTCTGATAGACATTTGTAAGCATACATTTTTCTCCTGCATATTCGCTACTGTTTTCTTATTTTTGCATGTTCCTGTTTTTGTTTTTCAGGTGGCACCACTGTGCTGGCCACAGAAAAGCCCACGGTCATAGACAGCACCATACAATCAGGTATCAAATAAAATACGAAATGTGACAGATTCCATGTACCTCTCTTCTCTCCGCGGCTGCGCTCCTCGCTTTCAGTTTCTCTGAAAGTCCTAGAAGGAGAGATGCCACACAGCATCTGGTCTCCAAGCATGAGCCATAAATATTGCTTTCCTTTCATCCACATGTATATGCAGCAGGGAGTGAGATTTCCTTCTCCATCAGTAATTGCCAAATGGTGACAATCCCAGCTCTCCACTGAAGGAACGGAGTAACATACTTTGTTTAAACGCAGCACATCTAGGACATGGATTGTGTTTGCAAACTACAGGAGAAGGAAATCTCACAGGCAGCACAGCCCGACTATTTATTTTCATCCCAATCCTGCAAAACCCAGGCAGGCAAAGTTTGTCAGTTTTGCCTGCCATGGAGTTGGCAGTTTTACAACAGTGTTTCCAGTGGGCGTGCCACAAAACGGGGTTCAGGAAACCAGAGTTTATAATTGTGCACAGAGAGAAGCACACCCTTGGGAACAGCACCTCCTCATCCTTTTATTAATAGAAAAGCGTAACGACTTTTAAAGCCCTCGGTTTGCTGTCGATCAGGGGCCAGTCACGGTTAAACGGTGGCCTTCCTCTCACTGGCCTTTGTGTTTTGTTAGTATCCTGTGAAATTCTTCCCGGCAGACGTACATGAAGGGAAACAGTCAGTATAAGCAATCAGAGGTTTTAAATACTTTAAAGTTAATCATTAGACTAAGGTGAACAGGTCAGTTTTCCAGCTTTCTCCCATTTCCTCTATTGAAGCTCACTCAGTCTTGGCTTCTGCAGTCATTTATTAATGGGGCGTGTGGTGTATATCAATGTTTCCTCTATGGTATGACACTACCCAGCTAGGCAGAAAGTAGAAAGGGCCGCCCTAATTAGTATGCTTCCTTAAAGGACGCTGTCACTGTTGACCTGATTAAACTGCAAAACAAACTTCTCTTTGGTCAAACTTAACCCCCAGCTGCCCTGTAGCATGTTCAGGTTGACAAAATTCCTGCTACCACACAGCCCAGACACCCTCTACAAAACCAAGAGATGAAACAGAAGAGTCACTGCCTAAATTCAGAAAATGGTGTCGTCCTACACACATCTTAAGTTGTAAAATGTGGCTTTCAAAGACTGCGCAGGCACCTCCCATAGCTGAAGGTATCTCATGAAAAAAGCCGTGCCTTTCCTTTTCTTTGTACCTTTCCTGAAAGTTCTCAGCCCTCAGGAAGATTTTCTGTGGATGAAGGGTAGTGACCACCAGTTGGTTCTCTATGTCCTTTCTGGGATAGGGAAGAGGGGTGAGGTGAACAAATGAAGTTCTGATCATATAACAAACATTTTAGCTGTTGTTGCAGTTTCTTCTCTTACCAGAGAGGTAATTAAAGCCACTATGAAGTCGCCAGCTAATTTGTTTCATCTCATCTCTCTTCTCCTTGACTATGAAAGGGGGTAGGGATCGTTAAAAAAAATAAAAGTGAACAACAGCTGTGTAGAAAATGGAAAGTTCTATCAGATTCCAAATCTAGGTAATCTTCCCTGAATGTTGAAGGTCAATATTGTCAGAGCAGGAGCGGTTTTGTTAACACATTTGATTTGTGCACAATCTCAAGGTCACTCAAGGGATGGCTTCTCAGAGGGGCCAGTCGGTCCTGTCACAGAGTCTACTGTGGTCAGAGGGCAGGTATGCAAATTGCAAACAGTAGGACCCGTTGCTATCACCATCTGAACAAGTTCAATCCAAACCACGCGGGTCTACTGATCAGGGGTGGTCAGGTCCGGTTTGCATTTCACAGTCAGTGCAGAGTTCTTTTCAAATTGACTTGCTTTCCTGTTTCTCCATTGTCTGAGTCATGAATCTGGACTCCAAGTGCTCTGTTTGTGGGTAATGGGCTGTCTGACCTTCCTGGAAGGACTTCTGTTGATTGTCACCTTCTGGCTAAGTCAATGCCCAGAATATTGCATGGGGACTTGAGCATGCTTCAAGCCAGGGGTCAGGTCTAACTCTGAAGAGTTGACCCAGTGGCCTGAGTCACCTGATACTTTGATCCACACTGTTCTGCAGGCTCCAGATTCTTCAAGCATCATCACAAGCAGCAGTCAATGAGACCTCAAAACCTTCATCATAATTCCATTTTGCTATTATAGACTCAACTCAGAGTCTTACTATTTCATCTTGCTGATTCTCATCAATATAATAAACTCCATGGGCATATAATATTTATATACTTTTATGTAATCAGATGCATAAAAGCTGGTTAATGCTCTGCCAGCAAGTGATGGGATCCTTACATTTTTAATCTAGCTCTCTCTGGCGAGAGCTCTAACCCTCTGAGGCTCCTCCAGCATTCCTGCAGCAGTTCGGAGTATATTCATCACCTACGATTGTATGGGCCTGAGCACCTCTGCTTGTTTAGACTGAAAGACTAGTCTATGAACAAGTGAGTTAAACTGCTCTATAGAAGTTTGGAATACCAGATATAAAAATTAAATCCTTATGCATACATATGGTGCTAATGATCCAACTTCAGGCAAGATGGGTTGGGCAAGCACAGCTGGTACTTGCTCTCAGAGGCTGTAAATTTGTTTTAAGTTCAGAATATTGTTTCCTGCTATTTTTAAGAGTCAAGAAGGGATTTAGCTGGATTACCCCCATTGAATTTAATGAGAGTTGTGTGCCCCGCCAGGGCTTGGGTAATATTTTGAAAACGTAAACGTCAGTAGTCCTATATGTTTGTTTCATTCATTAATTTGCTTTTTTCTCTCCTTTTCTCTCTCCCTTTCTCCTTTCCTCTGTCCTTCTCTCTTTCTTTTCCCTTTCTATAAATGTTTATGGGTGGTTTGTGTGTTTGTCTTTCTAGCCAGGCTGGAAGTTTCCACATTGAACCTCTCACTCCATAACCCTCCCCAACAAAAGGCATTGATCTAAAAACATATCCTTTAAATAACCAAATTGCCACAAGTTACATGATCAAGACAAGAAGATAAAAGAGCAGTAAAATACAAAAACTTAGAGCGGTTCACCTGGTTAAATGTACAGGATGGGGAAGGACATTGGAAGGTAAAGGCAGACTGTCATTCTCTGAAGCGAGAAGTGCCTGAAACATTTTTTCAGGCAAAGCGGTTCCATGTCCTGGTCATTTCAAAAATATCCAAGTTCCTACATTTTATGGTATCATCAGAATATGAAGAGCCAAAAGAATGGATGATGTCATTTTCTGTTCTATAAACAATAAATGTAATGTATTAACAAAGTAAATACAGGCAGAACTGTGTGTGCTGGGGTGGCTTTCTTTATCCTGAATGTGCATGTTTTATAAAGTACATTTAAGGAGAAAAATCAAAACCACACACACATTAACATGTTCCAATATTAACATTTTCTAACATGAGATTATGCAACAGTACATTTCAGGGTCATGGGCGTTGGCATCCAAGGTTGCTCAATCATTCAGTCACCGTTCAGTTGACTGTACTTCATCTACATAATTCAATCTTGCTGCGGAAAAGAGTGGTAAATTTTGGAGAGGGTTTCCCATGCCTTAAGAAGTCCTATTTCATGGCTATGATAGACTAGACATGAAATATATCTCTCCGATGACACTACAGCTGTGAAATATAGCCTGTTTGCACTAAATGAAAGTACTCACATTTTACACATCACATAGCTTACTAGTTTACTTTCCCAAACTGGCTCTGTCTACCCTTTGGGAGGTCACATTATCATTGGGAGAATCCAAACTGCTCCATTTGGACAGTTTTTATGGTGGATTCCTTCCAAAATTTGACATTAGCTCTAGAAAAGGGTTCCTTATAAACTAAAAATGCAAAGTAAATCATTCTTATCTATTCAATAAATCTTCCCATTAAAATTCCTCCTGCCATTGGGGGAGGGGCCATGGAGACAAGGCTCAGAGCAGAAGGCGAGATACTTTGTTAATAAACACAAGCAAGTTAAAGAAGCTCAAAATGAGATAAGGTCTTGGCCTGACCCTAATACAGCATCTAATACCAGACTTCCCTTATTGTTCATAGGGATTCTTTTGAGGCTTATTTTTAAGTTCAACGGTCCAGATGCCCCAGGCGCCTTCCTGTTTGTTTCAATGCTGCCACCTCGTGGACTGCCTAAAGTCAGTGACAAGCCTAAAGGCCCTTCGTCACTGGAGAAAACAGCTGCATCTGCGGGCTTCGTTCTTTATAGGAGGACGAAAGGAGGGGGCAGAAGCCCGAGAATTTCATCTTTAGAATTTTTTTTATTGTTAGCTTATGTTTACCAAAACAACAGTCATACTTGGAATAAGTAGCAATGATTTCATTTTTCCCATACTTAAAAGTTAAGCTCCTTTCAAAAAGAGGCTGTGTAAAATGTCAGGCTGTGGGTTTTAAAAACACCATAGTCCAACAGCACCTTGTAGGGCACACACAAGGCAAGTCATTCCCGTGAATTCATTCACGCTGTCTTTTCAGATTCCTAAGGAAGCCTTTTGAACATTAAAAAAAAGAAAAGAGAAGTAAAAACGGGTAGCTATTGAAATGGGCTTTGGATTTAGATGACCTTACATTGAGGTTTTAAGCCGGGTGAACAATTTATATGTAAATTTAGAAATTAAAAAAGCAGAAATTTATACTTAAATTAATCGACCTTATAGAAGGCATGGAAGAAAAAAAAATAATCCTAAAATGCTTAAGAGATTCTAACCCTGACATTAAAGACCTGAAGCATGAACTGGTGAGGTGGAAATAGAGAAAACCTCCTGGGTGAGGCATTTCGCCAAGTTACTTTCCACTTTTGAGGCTTCATGGGTCAATCTCTAATTAAGATTCTTTTCATTGGTGGGTATCAACTTATATGATTTATCCTCAAGAACAGAATGGCTTTCATATTAAATACTGTGGAAATGGGGAGAGTGCAGCAAATGTAATACACGTGCTTTAGAAAATAGCCTTCCTGGAGATTTTATGTAAACCCAATTTGACAGGCAGTCCATAATCCTTTTAAAGCTGGATTTTTAAAGAAATTACTAAATGTGGTTTTGCAAACATTTTGACATCTCCATGCATCTTTTGGTTTCTTGGTAATCCTGGCTTTCCTGGAATTTTCAAACAGACATAAAGTTGTATAAATCGTGCTTTCCATGAGTGAACCAAGGGCCTTTGTGACCCTAAATGATCAAATTTGCCTTTCTTTGCTTGTCTCTTATTTTTACTTCCCACCCACTGAAGAGTTTCCAACATATGGTTTTAACTGTGAATTTGGCTGGGGCTCTCACAAGACCTTCTGCCACTGGGAACATGACAATCACGTGCAGCTCAAGTGGAGTGTGTTGACCAGCAAGACGGGACCCATTCAGGATCACACAGGTATCACAGAGTTCACTTCGGCTGCATGGCTTTGCAGATTCTCTTTGATTCCGAGGCTGTGTTACTGGGAGGGTTTCTAATGTCTGTGAATTTAGGGCGGGTAGGAATTACTACAGGCGTTCACATGTGCTATTATTTTCTAGAATTAACAATGTCTCTTTCCCTAGTAGCGAGAAGCATAGGGCAAATCATAGTAATGCCCCTTGAAGTTGGCCACTGATTGGCCTCCTTGAAAACAGCAAATTGGGCAAGGATCTATGAATTAGCATTCATCTTATCCTTTTTTTTTTTTTTTTTTTTTTTGAAATGGAGTCTCACACTGTTGCCCGGGCTGGAATGCAGTGGCACTAGCTCCACTCACTGCAACCTCCGCCTCCTGGCTTCACACGATTCTCTTGCCTCAGCCTCCCAAGTACCTGGGATTACAGGCATACACCACCACACCCAGCTAATTTTTTGTATTTTTAGTAGAGACGGGATTTCACCACATTGGCCGGGCTGGTCTCGAACTCCTGACCTTGTGATCCACCCACCTCAGCTTCCCAAAGTGCTGGGATTATAGGTGTGAGGCACCGCAACTAGCCTCATCTTATACTTTTTCTGAACTTCTTATTTTGGGCAATTTCAAACATATTCACAAATGGAAAAGAAATAGTAGAATGAATTCTCTATGTGCACGACCCTGCTTCAACAATTATCAGATCATAGGAAACTTAATTTATGTCTGTCATCCCTGACTCTGAATTATTTTCAAACAAGTCCAAGCATATATTATGTCCCCTCGTTTATTTTACAACTAAAGAAACAATTCACAATGCTTGCTCTCTCCCGACCCTTGAAGGGGAGGTGGGGAAAGACGGTGTGGAATTCTTATTCACTGGGGAAAGATTGAAAGTGTAGTGTATTTCCTTTGAGCAGGTAGAAACCTCACCATGCCCTAGATCACAACCCTCCCACCACCTCCTGCCTTACTTTCTTCCTAAGATTAATTGGTGGGGGAGGAATGGGTTGGGGGACAGAAAAAGCTGGCAGCTTCTCCAGTGAACTCTATTATCTGCCCCCTTCCTGCTACCCACCTAGTCATTTCACTGCCCAACTTGAAGTACAGTATAAAGGACCAGCAGACTGGACGTGGTGGCTCACACCTGTAATCCCAGCACTTTGGGAGGCCAGAACAGGAGAATCAGTTGAGTTAGAGAGTTAGAGACCAGCCTGGGCAACATAGCAAGATACTGACACTACAAAATAAATTTTTTTTTTAAAATCAGCCAGGCATAAGGGCGCACACTTGTAGTCCCAGCTACTCAGAGTCTGTTTTAGGATCCTTTGAGCCTAGGAGTTCAAGGCTGCAGTGACCTATGATCACACCATTGCACTCCAGCCTGGGTGACAGAATTAGAACCTGTCTCTAAAGAGAAAAAAATAAAAATTAAAAATAAAGAAATAACCAGCCATGTCTGGCCCAACACACATGCACACACACACACATACACACACACACATATACACACTCACAACAAACGCCCAATCCATGAACTTCTGCACCCACTCAGAAATACTTACAGAGCACTGCTTGCTCAAGTAGTGGCTTCCCAAAAGGTACCCCAGGGGGGCATTTGCTGATGCTAGGAAATCTCATTAAATTCTCCCCATCTTGGCTCTTTGGGTGAGTGAGTCAGTGGACTGAAGGCTGGGCCAAGGGTACTTCATGCCTTTCCCATTTTGTGGTTCACTTTTCTCCCAGTGAATATAACCATTAAATAGGTTGAATAGGCCTCCTTCCACCACAGCCACCTCCTTGCCTAATGAGAATGACAAGGAAATTGGATAAAATTGGACTCCTTCAAATCTGAGACACTTTCAATTGAATCTTAAGACAGGCAGTTTTAGAAAACTTAAAATACTTTGACTGTAAATGGCACTGTACATATAAATGGCATCAAATTAACTAAATGCAATTAGCCAAAATGAAGGCAGTAATGGTGGAAAAATTGATGCAAAGTGAAGCAAAATGGCTCAGTAGGATCTGACATTCAAAGGAGGTTAAAAGCTATGTTAGCCAGAGACAAAAGCTAAAAGGCTTGCAGAAGTAAAGTGCTAATTGAGAAAATGAAGACAGAGTTCCTGACCCAGAACTGTGATAAAACCCTTGAAAGGGAAAATATCAGTGCTTTATGTGTTAGAGTATCAGAGAAGGAGAGCTTGTCGTAGATTAACAGCTGAGAAGTGCGATTCCTTCAGAAGGGTTTGACTCTTTTGTTCTCTCAGCCACCCAGATTTACTTGGCAGTTGTGCCAGGTCAGCTCCGACTAGAAAGAGCCCCTGCAGTTCTAGAAACACAATCATTTGTGTAGAGAGATGGGTGAGCCCGACATCTGAAAGGCAGGAACTACTTGTTAACGGGAAAAAGATCCAGATGAAAAGAGCCCTTCACGAAGCTCCCGCGCATAGACTGACATTAGAGAGTAGATGGTGCTTTTTTTATAATATTATTTGGTGAAACTTTGCAAGCCAGACATTGGGTTGTTTAAAAAGAAAATGAACACTAGCTAGGTAAAATATCCTGCTGCTTATCGAAAGGCATCCCATTTGCTTGGTTTTCTGCATTTGACCTCAAAGAATGGAACTAGGTACCTCCTTTCAGAGGATTCCTGAAGTCTGGCATCTCTCCCTGGTTCAGTGAACAAGTGGTATTTGAGAAGCTCTGTTACAGGGCAGATGCTGACTTGGGCACTGGAAATACACGTGTAAAGGAAGAGGTCCCTACGCTTGAGGAACTCGCAGTCTGATCATGGTTGGGAAGCAACCACAGTGCAGTTCAGTGAGGGCTTCCAATGGCAGAGGCCAGTGACAATGGACCATGTAAAAGATGACGGAAGAGGGGTCAAGGAAAGCAGCCCTGTCTCAGACACCGGCTGAGCTAGGCTTATTTTACTGGCTCATGTTTGGTGTGCTTTGCACAGGTTTTTGTATGGGAAGCAGTTAGATAGAGGCAGAGTGTGCATGACTTTGGGAACTACCTCCTTGCCTAATGAGATTGACAAGGAAATTGATGAAATTGGATTCCTTCCATTTTCACTGAGTAGAGCAGAAGTTTGTGGATCGGGTGTTTATTGTGAGTGAGTGTGTGTGTGTGTGTGTTTGGCAGGACACTGCTGGTTCTTTATACTATACCTTAAGTTGGTGATGCAGTGACCAGGAGGAAAACAGGATGGGGGTGGATAAAAGGTCCATTGGAGGGGCTGCCAGCGCTCCCTCTTTGTGAAGAAGTGTGGATAGGCTGCAGGCAGTGAGCAGCCTCTGAAGAATTCTAAGCAGAGGAGCAACACGAGCAGTTTTAATTTATATATATATATATATATATATATATTTAAGACAGGGTCTCTGTTGCCTAGGTTGGAGTGCAGTGGTGTGATCTTGGCTCACTGCATCCTCCACCTCCCAGGTTCAAGCGATTCTCCTGTCTCAGCCTCCTAAGTAGCTGTAGTCCCAGCTACTTAGGACTACAGCTATGTAGGAGCTACTACAGATGCCCGCCACCACGCCCGGCTAATTTTTGTATTTTTGGTAGAGACATGGTTTTGTCATGTTGGCCAGGCTGGTCTCGGACTCCTGACCTCAGGTGATTCAGCCACCTCGGCTTCCCAAAGTGCTGGGATTACAGGCGTGGACCACCGCGCCCGGCCACACGAGCATATTTAAAGACCACAGTGTGAGAAGGCAGGGACCATAAGAACTTCCTCAGGCAGAGGATTCTTGAAATCTGGCATCTCTCCTACTGCACTGAACAGGCATCATTTGAGAAGCCCTGTTACATGGCAGGTGCTGTGTTGGGCACTGGAAATACAGGTATGAAGGAGGGGGTCTCTGTGCTTGAGGAACTTACTGTCTAGTTGTGGATGGGAAGTGATTATGGTGCAGTTGAGTGAGGATGTCCTATGGGAGAGCATCCCTCTACCTACGTCCACTTCTCTCCTTCTTTCTAACACCCATTCTCTGACTAGCCTCAATAAACTTTGAGCAATGAGCTCAATAAGTGGGATTAAGACATGGCAGCAGCATTGCCAATTTCAGTCTTTTTTCCGTAAGATTGAGGGGACAGAGGCACGATGGGTGTATTTTTTTCCCATCGTGGTGGATTCATCACAGTGAAATGGCACCATCCCACAGACAAGTAATCACATCTTGATAAATTAGTGGGCAAAACAAATCCTAAGTGTGAATGGATCAGCTCAGTCACAGAGGACACCTGCAAGGTCAGAGAGCGAGAGGGACATTCATCCTGCAGTATCAAACCTACTGCTAGAGCTGCCATTTGTGAACACCCTTCCTTTATGATTCCACCCGTTGGTTTGAAGAAGGGCGGGCTCTCACATAAGCAACCAGGTAAGGAAAGGAAGCTGCCCATGAACACGTCCACATCCACCTGGACACTGTTGACACAGGCAAGCGGAAAGGAGTATGTGCCCACGTGTGCACAGTGAGAAAGCACCTTGCAAACACACAAGTCTCTTGGGCAACAAACACAACCTCTTGCTGCCCACTGAGGCCCGAGCAGCAGATTCACACTTAATCAGGTGAGGTGTTAGAGAAGATGATTTCTATTTGCAGAGCCAACAGTGAAACATGAGCTGTGTTGACCAGGTGGTGGCAGGAGGAAATGTTCCCAGTGGGGGTCATTAAAAGCGAAGCCAAGAGAAAGTCCTCGCAGTTCAGCAAGTGTCTAAGTTGCCAAAATGGCACGTTCTAATGAACCTCAACAAGGCAACCTTGCCTCTCCTTGAGCCAGAAGCCCACATCAAATAGAAGCAGGGCTCACAGTAGAGATTCAAGCTCTCAGGTGTGTTTAAGGAATTCGAAAACCATGAAAACAAACTACGGGAAAAATAATCTGAACTTGAAAAGTATAAAAAAAAAGATTACTACATTATTAGGAAAAACTACAGGTTTATGATTATCAAGCAGTCATAGTGACAGAAATTTCATTAATCAGAAGTCCTGCTGCTCAAATGATAAATAAAAATACATCTCAATGATTTCATTTAATGCATGTGTTCACATGGGTGCCGCAGTGTGATCTTAAAGTTGCATAAAAACAGGGTTTCTTGGGCCCAGCGTGGTGGATCATGCCTGTAATCCCAGCATTTTGGGAGGCCAAGGTGGGAGGATTGCTTGAGGCCAGGAGTTTGAGACTAGCCTGGGCAACATAGCAAGATTCTATCTCTACTTAAAAAAAAAAATTAATCTTTTTAAGAACTAGCTGAGCATGGTGGCATGGGCCCGTAGTCATAGCTACTCAGAATGCTGAGGCAGGATGATCACTTGAACCAAGGAGTTTGAGGCTGCAATGAGCTATGATCACACCACTGCATCCCAACCTGGGCAACAGGAGTGTCTAACATAATAAATAAATAAATAAATAAGGTTTCTCTAAGAGCCAGGAGTTTTCAGTCCAGTCTATGCACAGACTTTGCTTTCAGTTTGCTTGTGATGGTGCAAATGCCAGCTTGAGGCATAGCATGTGTCCATATGAAAATGCATTCCATTATAAGTAGTATCCTAATTAGTGCCACTCAGCCTTCCCCTAATCAAATGTCCATTTTGCAAGAGCTGAGAGCAGGGCCTTAGGTGCCCATGAGGTCCCCAAGTGTGCACACTTATCCCTTTCCACTACGTATTTGGGTTCTTGGTGCTCAGCGCAGGAAGCTTTTGATTAGTGAGACTTGAAAGAAGAGAGATAAAAGTGTGGTAATCCTGGCCACTCTCCCTAACACAGTTCTTTGTCACAGCAGGAGATGGCAACTTCATCTATTCCCAAGCTGACGAAAATCAGAAGGGCAAAGTGGCTCGCCTGGTGAGCCCTGTGGTTTATTCCCAGAACTCTGCCCACTGCATGACCTTCTGGTATCACATGTCTGGGTCCCACGTCGGCACACTCAGGGTCAAACTGCGCTACCAGAAGCCAGAGGAGTACGATCAGCTGGTCTGGATGGCCATTGGACACCAAGGTGACCACTGGAAGGAAGGGCGTGTCTTGCTCCACAAGTCTCTGAAACTTTATCAGGTATGACCTCTTCCCAAGGCTGGGGAGGGCAGTGGCTGCAGGAATGCTGAGATGATATGTTGGAGGCTGTGCAAATGAGACATGGGAATTATTCCGAAATTATTTCCAGTGTTTCCCAACCCTGAGATATTGCTGCAATGATAACCACCTTAATAGCAGATTTCACAGTCTCCTAGATTGCAGGAATAGAACCAATTTGCTGAGAAGGAACACAAAGGGCTTCCGTGTCATCTATTTCTGGGCTTTCACAATGTATCATTCCTTTTGTTTGCTGCTTTCTCCCGTTTTAAAGTTTGTATTATAAGAAGAGAGTGTAAGGAGAAGGTGCATACCATCACCAGGCAGCTAATGTGGATTGATGAGTGAAGTCTGTGTTACGCTGAATCTGATGAATTTAATTTATGTGCCGTAGCTGGAGCTGAACAAGCATTTGTAAACACTGCCATGTGAGATGAGCATTTCAATACTGTGAAAATGATCTTATTTTGTTAGGTGATTTTCGAGGGCGAAATCGGAAAAGGAAACCTTGGTGGGATTGCTGTGGATGACATTAGTATTAATAACCACATTTCACAAGAAGATTGTGCAAGTAAGTATGAGCTGCTGTAGAAACCAATGGAGTGCTTGCCCAGGGCAAGACTCTTGCCAATATGATGGTCTTTGTTTTGCTCATTTCTACCTAGAATTTCGGTGTGGCCTCTCGGCACATCATAGGAAATGCGTATTCTGGTGCAACAGGGCATACAATCAGCCCAATTTACCTGTGTCTGCCCCGTCACCTACCCTAGGTCCTTCATAATGGCTGCTTGATACCTATAAAACTCCACAAATAATGCAGAATCCAAAGATGATAGCTAAGAAGACCCAGCTTACAAGCTATAGATGCCATACCGAAACATTTTGATGAACAGTGGAAAGTCAGACATCTGGATAATTCCAAATATCTGGGTGTATAAACAAAACAGCAGGCCTCTGAAAACTTTGATCAGAATAAGTTTAATTAAGAATGCATTGTTAATGAACCATAGAAGCCATAATTCTTTGCTTTATCACAAGTAGATGTTTCTGACTTTTAAAATATCTGAAATGACTTAAAGGACTTCAATGAGATTCAGAGACTTGGCCTAGTATTTCAGAGTTGGTCTTTATGGGTCTTGTACTAGGTGGATGTAAGACATAGAAAACCAATTCATATTCCCTAGTTCTTGATATATAATTACAAATAGCATTACTAATGGCAGTGTAATAGCACAGTAATTAGTCTTCAGCTCCATTTGCTACATTGAAACTTTTGTTATACATCATTATATAATAGGATGTTAATTATAACAAAATGGGATAAGCCTATTGGGCCAATTTAAGACAAAGGAGGTCTGTTGGCTGTAATGGGGGTTTTGGTCACTTCAGCAACTTACAAAGCTTTTATTATATAATATATTGAATATATATAATCCCTAAAGCGGCAATAATTTGATAGGATCCATCGAAGAAATTGGGCAAAAAGAAAGGAGCAATGAATAAAGGCTTGCTTCTTCATACTATTAAAGGGAATCTGCTTAGTGCTGCACTATTTAGCAAATCTTCACAAGAATGATAAGGCTTAATAGTTTAGTTGCAACTCCTTTACAAATTACCCACATCCATATCTACACTGCTGTAAAAATGTGTATTTCATGTAGTAACACAGTGTCTGTGATTTCTTCACTTCTCCATTCCAAAGTGAGAGTGATGATGGTGATGTTTTGGGATGTGAGAACAAACTCCACAGACTAAAACAAAGAAACGAAATTAAATTCAGTTCAACAAGTTCTAACGAAATTCAATTCGGTTCAACAAGTTCTAACTGACTACATACCATATGCAAAGCAGCATGCGGATGCTCCAGTGAAAGTACATGGCTGAGCCGGGTGCAGTGGCTCACGTCTGTCATCCCAGCACTTTGGGAGGCCGAGGCAGGAGGATCATTTGAGATCAGGAGTTTAGGACCAGCCTGGCCAACATGGCAAAACCCCATCTCTACTAAAAAATACAAAAATTAGCTGGGCGTGGTGGCACGCAGCTGTAGTAATCCCAGCTACTCGGAAGGCTGAGGCAGGAGAATTGCTTGAACCCAGGAGGCGGAAGTTGCAGTGAGCCAAGGTCATACCATTGCACTCCAGCCTAGGCCACAGAGCAAGACCCCATTTCAAAAAAAAGAAAAAAGAAGGAAGGAAGGAAGGGAGAAAAGAAAAGAAAGCACATAGTTGAGACAATTCTATGGGACTTTTTCTTTTCTTGTGATTTGTCCATTTAGCTGTAGTTGCTGCCAGACATTGTAGTGGGAAATTCACAACTACGGCTCCATTAAACCACTTTGTTTATTTGTTTATGCTGCTACCAATAAAAATATGTGTAAGACAATTGTACAATGATTCATCAAATATGCATCCTTGAACATCTGGGTGTGGATGCTATGAGATTATCAACTATTTATTAATCTTTCATTCATTCATACATAGAACAAATATCTATTAAAGCACCTATGATGTGCTAGACACTGTTGTAAATGCTGGAATACAGCAGTGGACAAAGCACTCAAAAATTCCTGCTCTGTACTTAGTACCACAGGAATACTGGAACTCTACTTCTTCAATAGCTATTTTATGTATTTATCTATTTTTGTAATACACAGGGCACAGTCTCTTGCCTCAAAGAGTTGGCATACTATTCGAGAAGCCAAACTAACGCACACTAAATTTAGGAAGCAGTTATCTACAAACTATAGGATGGTCACCATATGTACGAATCTACTTCAGTAGAACCTATATTCACCAGATTTTTTTCCACATTTCAGATGCCAAAACCATGTCTCTTCCCCCTTCTCTTCTTTTTTTTTTTTTTTAAATTTGTTGTTGTTGTTTTTGCTTTTTTGAGACAGGCTCTTGCTTCCGTCACCCAGGGTGGAGTGCAGTGGCACCATCATGGCTCACTGTAAACTCCATCTCCTGGGCACAAGCTCTCCTTCCGCCTCAGCCTCCTAAGCAGCTGGAAAGCTAATTTTTTTATTTTTGTAGAGATGGGATCTCACTATGTTGCCCAGGCTGGTCCTAAACTCCTAGCCTAATGTGGTTCTCCTGCCTTGCCCTCTCAAAGTGCTGGAATTATAGGCACGAGCCAGCATACCCAGCCCACCCTTGTCTCCTAAAACAACAGATTCTGCTAGCAGCAGTGCTACCTGGATTTAGATATGGCACCTTAAAGGCAGTGTTGTGATGTCACATTACCAATTTCCCGGTCATTTAACATTGCCTCTTTATTGATCTGTTTGGTGATTTCTGATTGAACTAAAAAATCCAAAAGGAGCCCAGTAGACACGTGTGTGTGTGTGTGTGTGTGTGTGTGTGCATGTACCTAAAGGTTTGTGTAGTTTGGTGCATTATATTTTGATGGCAGTTCAAATATCTCTTTCAATTTTGTTTGACTTGTCAGAACCAGCAGACCTGGATAAAAAGAACCCAGAAATTAAAATTGATGAAACAGGTAAATTTGTCTTGCTGACCAATTTTTAAAAAATTTTACTATGGCTTTCATTGTGTTTATGAAGAAACTTTGTGGAACTCTAATACACTGGTATGTCAAAAAGTTCAAATAAAAAACATCTATGCCCATGGCCCTGGGTTGGTGCTGTGGATCGGATTGTGCTCACAGAGTACCCACTTCCGAGCTGCCCATAAGACTTGGGGAGCCTCGGTGACGGGTCCTGCTTGTACACCTGGTTGAGCCTGGGAAGTGTGCTCACCCTGGCCCTTCCCTGCCCAGTCTAGAGGTGGAACATAAAGGATAATCAGCTCAAACACACTCAGTTTATCACTACAAAGACAGAAAATTAGTGAAGACTATTTCCATACACAGTTATTTGAAACCAACCGAAATTCTTCTGTTTGTTGATATCCAGCTAGGATCTTTAAGAGACCAGAGCCCAATTTCTGAGATAATCCATTGTGTTTGATTCATCTTTTCCCATCTTCCTCTACTAGAACCTTGGTTTTGTGATGATGATGATGATGATAAGAAGGATTTATTGAAGAGTTAGTATGTTCTGAGCACTTTACTTACCTGATCTTTTTCTTTTCTTTTTTTCTTGAGACAGAGTCTGTCTCTGTCACCCAGGCTTGGAGTGCAGTGGCGTGATCTCAGCTCACTGCAGCCTCCACCTGCCAGGTTCAAGCGATTTTCCTGCCTCAACCTTCCGAGCAGACTACAGGCCCACACCACCACACTCAACTTATTTTTTTGTCTTTTGTAAGGTGGAGTTTCACCATGTTGCCCAGGCTGGTCTTGAATTCCTTAGCTTAAGCAATTCCCTGGCCTCAGCCTCCTAAAGTGCTGGGATTACAGGCGTGAGCCACTGCACCCGTCCTACATACCTTATCTTATTTAATCCTCACAGCAGCTCTAGGGGTTGTATTTGTCCCCATTTTACAGATAGTGAGACTGAAACTTAAGTAGCATAGCTAATTAGGTGGTAGCCTCACACTTTAGCCTGATGAACTATAAATGTGTGTTTTTGCTGAACGCTGCTTTGTGATCAAATGCAAGACCTTTGATCAGAGTTAGGCCTTGCCTGGTATTAGTCTATTCCCAGAAGTTTCCAGATCTCCCAGCCAGCATTGTGGGCTGTTGGACACTTGCTCCACCATCACTCACAGCTGCTGTGTGGATGGTGCTGCACCCTTATCATCAATGCATGTCAGCATCTGTTGCCCTTAGAAATGGGATCCTACTCTATGGCCAGCCGTGGACTTCATAGAGACAAATAAATATTGCACCTTGCTGTTAGTAATATGAACACATTACCAAGTCCACACAGAGATGTAAACTTTATTAGAGGTTGTTTCAAAACAATATTTCATCAAGGGAGAGAGTATTAATATGCCCCAAGGCTTGTTTTCTCTTGGTTAGGGATTTGCATCTCATATTTTTAGTTTTCTTTGATTGGAATCTTTGTTGATCAGAACACCATTAAGTAAACCCCAGGCATATTGTGCGTTAACATTTTCATCCCGTTTCTAGTACCAGGTAATTAGGCTCAAAGCTCCCATGTTAACAATTTCTCCTGTTCCACTCCAAAGAAAACAAGTCCCCAGTGACTGAGCTGCAGAGCAGTGCAACTGTCTCCAGTTAAACTACCAGGGCTGCAAAGATGCTGATTATTAGTAAATGTCTTCTATTTGGCATGACAGACATGGTTTCTCGATTTGAGCCACACTCTGTTTACATGTCAGCAGCAAGCATTCTCTTGTTCTAAAAAATCACTCCTTCTTTACTGAAACTACTGTAGACTTTGGGCAAAATTCGTTTCACTTGAAGATTTTCCATATGGGAGAACAAACACATGCATAAACCATGCCAGATCCTGGAAACAGCACCACGTAGAAGGGCAGCCATGAAGGTTTTTCTTGTGCCTGTTTTGGGGTTAGGTACATGCACTGGGAATGGTAAAATCCCCTTGCTAGACTAATGTGTGACTAAGCATTTTGCAAAACTTAATGATCACCTATCTAGCCAAGGACTGTAAACACAGATTACAATCTAGGACAGATGGGGCTGCATGAAATCTGAGTTAGATGAGCAAGGAACCTCCCAGTTGATCCAGAATGGGTTGTTTCCACGTGCTAAGCAGTCTGTCAGAAGCCCCAGCGCCCACTCCCCTCTACCACCTCCCACACTTCTGTTCCCAACAATGAGTCAGATATGACAGGCAAAACTGGGGTGTGTGATTTGCTCCTGTTTCGTTCCTTTCTATTTTTCTGTCTGCTTTCATCTGGTCTGTTGGCGGTGCTCACGGAGACAATATTGTTTTTTTCCATAGGGAGCACGCCAGGATACGAAGGTGAAGGAGAAGGTGACAAGAACATCTCCAGGAAGCCAGGCAATGTGTTGAAGACCTTAGACCCCATCCTCATCACCATCATAGCCATGAGTGCCCTGGGGGTCCTCCTGGGGGCTGTCTGTGGGGTCGTGCTGTACTGTGCCTGTTGGCATAATGGGATGTCAGAAAGAAACTTGTCTGCCCTGGAGAACTATAACTTTGAACTTGTGGATGGTGTGAAGTTGAAAAAAGACAAACTGAATACACAGAGTACTTATTCGGAGGCATGAAGGCAGACAGAGATGAAAAGACAGTCAAAGGACGGAAGTGGAAGGACGGGAGTGAGCTGGGGAGCTGTTGATCTTTCACTATACAGGCTGGGAAGTGTGTTGATGACCACTGAGCCAGGCTTTTCTCAGGAGCTTCAATGAGTATGGCCGACAGACATGGACAAGGAGCTGTGTTCACCATCGGACTCATGTGCAGTCAGCTTTTTTCCTGTTGGTTTCATTTGAATAATCAGATGCTGGTGTTGAGACCAAGTATGATTGACATAATCATTCATTTCGACCCCTCCTGCCCCTCTCTCTCTCTCTCCTCTCCCCTTTGTGGATTCTTTTTGGAAACTGAGCGAAATCCAAGATGCTGGCACCAAGCGTATTCCGTGTGGCCCTTTGGATGGACATGCTACCTGAAACCCAGTGCCCAGAATATACTAGAATCACCGCATTTCAGTGGACTCCTGAAGTTGTACTTGTGTATAATTGCCCGCGTCGTGCATAGGCAAAGAAGGATTAGGCTGTTTTCTTTTTAAAGTACTGTAGCCTCAGTACTGGTGTAGTGTGTCAGCTCTGTTTACGAAGCAATACTGTCCAGTTTTCTTGCTGTTTTTCCGGTGTTGTACTAAACCTCGTGCTTGTGAACTCCATACAGAAAACGGTGCCATCCCTGAACACGGCTGGCCACTGGGTATACTGCTGACAACCGCAACAACAAAAACACAAATCCTTGGCACTGGCTAGTCTATGTCCTCTCAAGTGCCTTTTTGTTTGTACTGGTTCATTGTGTTACATTAACGACCCACTCTGCTTCTTGCTGGTGAAAGCCCTGCTCTTTAATCAAACTCTGGTGGCCCACTGACTAAGAAGAAAGTTTATTTTCGTGTGAGATGCCAGCCCCTCCGGGCAGGCAAGGGCTCTGAAGATTTGGCAACGTGGCTTAATTGTTCTGCTTTTTCTGTAGTTCAATTTCATGTTTCTTGACCCTTTTGTATAAAGCTACAATATTCTCTCTTATTGTTCTTTCATATGGAATGTATTTTCAAATGTAAACTCTCTTCTCTTTCTCTCTCCTATCTCTCTGTCTTTTTTCTCTCTTAGAATTGGAGGATTTGCCATTGTCCAGGAAAGAAACTTGCAGCTTTAACCTGCTGGGAATGGCAAACGATTTTACTAGACTTTATGTTTAAAAATAAATAAATAAGGGAAATTCCTAACTTTGCCCTCCAAAGTCTAACTTTGGTTTTCTTGTTAACTGGTTAAAGTGACAGTATCTTTTTTCCTTATCTATTCTATTCAAAATGACCTTTGATAGAAATGTTGGCATTTAGTAGAAATAGTGATAAGTTGAGGAAAGAAATAATACAAATTGGCTTTCAAGTGAGACCCAAAGGAAGAACTGGATAAAATCTTCCAAATCCAAAAGCATGAGATTTTTCTATCCAAATATGCAAAAATGACCCAAGAGAACTTTCTTATTTTGCTACTGAGTCACACAAGGGAAGTGGAAGGAAGAACAGTTAATTTAAGAATGAAACTATAAATCCTGATGCCTGGGGGTCAAGTATTTTAAGATAAGAGGGGGAAAAACACATAAAGTCAAACAAATGTTTTAAAAATTCATAACAGCAACCTTGAAAAAATAGACTTAAATGAATGCTTCTAGAAACTTCCAGCGGCTCACAAAGAATAAGCCTGCCTTAGGGCTGGCAACATCTAAGCCTCTAACAGCACAGGGAAGCAAATATCTTACCAGGCAGCCTATGAATTAACCCAAAGAAGCTTTGGTTGGTTTTGGTGGATTTTTATCATGCCATGTTGGACATGAGATTTTTTAGATCTTCCTTCCCACATTGCTAGACGTCTCACTCAAAGACATTTGTTGGGAGTCACATTTGCATCATAGACGAGACAGTCCATTCATCTTAGTTAAATTGGATTGAGAATGCCTTTTGTTTCCAGGAAAATATTGATCACCATGAAAGAAGAATAGTTTTTTGTCCCCAGAGACATTCATTTAGTTGATATAATCCTACCAGAAGGAAAGCACTAAGAAACACTCGTTTGTTGTTTTTAAAGGCAACAGACTTAAAGTTGTCCTCAGCCAAGGAAAAATGATACTGCAACTTTAAAATTTAAAGTATCTTGCACTGATAAATATATTTAAAAATTATATGTTTATAAAGTTATTAATTTGTAAAGGCAGTGTTACAAAATGTTCAGTTTATATTGTTTTAGATTGTTTTGTAATTTTTAAAGGTGTAAAATAACATATTTTTTCTTTATGGAAATCTATAAAACTTTCTGTAGTAAAATGTTTTCATTTTACTGGTATATTATTGCTTCATGTTTTGTACCATCATAAGATTTTGTGCAGATTTTTTTTACAGAAATTATTATTTTCTATGACAATATGACACTTGTAAATTGTTGTTTCAAAATGAACAGCGAAGCCTTAACTTTAAATGACATTTGTATTCTCAGACACTGAGTAGCATAAAAACCACATAGAACTGAACTGTAACTTAAATTCCAAACTATGACTACTACATTCCAAAGAAACAGTTGAATTAAACATTTTCATAAAATATCCCACACCTGATGGCTTTTATTATATTAGCACTGTTCTAGTTAAAGAAGTTGGTGACATGCCACTATCCAATAACTTCCAAGATTTTTAAAAATTCTCTTTTTTAAAATATCCTGATAAGGAGAGAAGATTAAGAAGACATTTTCTGAAAGTAGAATCTCAACTCACATTGGACCCTGTCATGATAAGGAATACGGAATTTGACGTTAGGAATGGGAATGATCCTAAATTGTGTGTCAAATGTTCTATATTTCATTTGGTAAAGTTTCTTTTATCATATTCACTCATAACTTGGTAAGTTTTGTTCTTGCAGAAAATAGTAATGAACCTGACAGTATTTATTCATGCACCCACGCTGCATTTAGGTAATGGGAAAAGTTGGGTATGACATTACAACTGGCTGTTTGGTAATTCTTAGGAGAGTTTTATTCCATCTAGGACCAGAATAATAGGAAAAATAATAACAATAACAAAGACAACAGAAGTGTCAAGTCAAAGGGGCCCTTTTTACAACAAAACTGGCCTAGCTTAATTTCTATTACTCACAGACCAATAAGTCTTTCTCTACCACCGTCCTCTGACTGTAGGAAAACGTATTCCTGGAAGCACAGGAACTCCCTGAGGAGTGGGCTGCTTTGGACAGCCAGGCTCCATTAATCAATATTTCTTCCACTTCCTGCTTTTCTCTGGACACTTATGCCTTTTTGCATTTTCCAAGATTAACCAAGAATAGAAAATTTTCCCTAATGCATGGGTTTTTAGGTCTCTCTACTCACAGAAAAGAGTCAGAGATAGAGAATCACTTTACTAAAGTTACATTTTACCTAAATTCATGGATGTTTCCAGAAAAATATGATGACTTCCAAGGAGTCTATTAGAATGAATCCACACATACTTTCGGAAAAATGCTAAGGGCCATGCACTAATACTATCTCTGTTTCATTGTTTGAGAAGAACTTCAACATGAATGCTGTTCACTCTTTTCCCTAGTTAGAGACTAAGCTAGGCTTTTCGTACTAGGTTTAAGAAGCTAAATCGCTGTATAATACTTCCCAGATTCAGGACTGAAACATTTAACTTAAAACATAAAAATGATTTATTGTTGTGTCTCCTGTCTTCCCTGATAACTTATTAATTGCCACTTGGGCTGAACTGCACTGTATTTTTATGCAAATCAAATCGGCATTCCATAATGTTCCTGCTTCCCAATGGTAATTATAACAGTTTGTGTTGCATTAAAAAACAGTTTTGCCAAGAATTAGCTCTATTTCCCTAATCTATATCCACTAAGGGATCTTAAGCAGAATTTCAACTTGGGGATTGAGAAACCTAGATGAAGGGACTATCACGTTGAGTAGAACTTAGCAGCAAGAAGCATGGAAGACAACAATGAGAACTGACTTTTTCCCCGCAATGTTCCAAAGAAACATTGAAAGATGATTCAGAGGAGAACATCACATTATCATATGCATGTAAGAAAGGTCCTAGGAGCTGATCCTATCATTTTAGGAGAGAAAGAGTATAGGGATTTCTATGGATGGCATTGCACTGCTATTTGTTGAAACACTAGCTGTTTTCACAGCAGCTCTGTGAAAGGTAAGTAAGTTAAGTTTTGTAATTATTCATTCCACTTTATAAATGAGGAATCCAAAGTTCAGAGAGGTTGAGTGATGAGTCCAGGATGTATCTGGTCTCATCTCTCCTCCATTCCACCCACCGTTCCATAGTTCTGCATTAACTTGGGAGAGGTTCACATGGGGCCCGGCTGCCCAAAATGTGTCCCAAGAGGCAGCAATAGCAGCAGCATCACTGGAATCCTGTTAGAAATGCAGAGTCTGGGGCTGTGTCCCAGACCTGCTGAGTCATTTTAATAAGATCCCCAGACCACCTGTCATCACATTCGGATTTAAGAAGTCCCCACGTGGTCTGCTGCCACCTGAGCCAGGTGTGCAAAAGTTTGCATGCTTCAGATGGTGGTGTCTGAACACAAAGCACTTTTCAGAAGCGTCTAAATACAATGCAGCCTGGAATAACAATGGTAAATTTAAAATCTCACTTAACCCAGAAGTGCGCTTTGTGGTCATTCTACCTGATTACTTGTGGGGGGCCTAAAAGTGGGCTTTTCTGATAGAGAAGAGAGCCTGCTGATGTGGTAATTTGCTGGGTTAAAAACTTTAAAAGTGTAGCAGAAGCATAGCAAGTGCTCTTTTCCTTTTCACAGTGCAGTCAGTGGAGAAAGGGGAATGCACACCAATATGTGAATATCCAATTCCTTCTATTCAAAACATGTTGCCTTACATAGCACACACAGCTTAATACCTTCCAAAGATATTAAATTCCTGAATGGTAAAACTAGATGGAACTCTATTTAATCTTTCTTATTAAAGAAAGTATCAGATAATAGAGCTTTGTTGTCAATAGTGGCTCCCAAGAGAGGGTTTTTCTATGCAGAAAAATTGTCTCATCTCCACATCTAAATGGAATTGTCCTGTAATGATGCAGGCGTTCACAAGTGTATAATATTCATAGCCAATAATCTAATTTTATCACTGCCCTGTAAATGGATTTGGAAAGTCGCTTGCTCTGGCAGAATGTTGGACTGGAAATGGACTCACTGTCCTGGAAGGGGCTTCTGAGTCTTGCCTTTGTGAAGCTTGGACAAGACAATGACTCACCCGGATGAGGAGCAGTTCTCTGTTCCTCATAATGCTCCTTTCAGTGATCTGGGCATCTCTGCCCCATCATTTCTGACATGAGCCAATTCCACACCCTTTTCTTAAGGCCCCGTTATCATTTTTTCAGATAGATGATGTTGGCAGTGCTCATGATCTTGATGTCATCCTGCCAGGGAGCCATTCCATCACCTATCAGGATTATCATTGCTCTAATTTTGTCCAACTTCTGAAATTTTTCAATGTTGATTAAATTGCTCCTTGACTATGGATACGTGATATATTCAAAGCAGACTCAATTATTATGCTCTGATCTTTTGCAATTCTGCTGGAATTCAAGCCCTCCAACTATAAGAAACTCATTTTTAGAGTCTTAAACATGATTTCTGTTAGGTCAACTTTTAATTTTATTTATATTTAAGTCACCCAAATTCTCTTTACTTGTAAGAAGAAATACTGTTTCTGTTATGCAAATAACAAATTATCCCTTCTATTTAATTTTACCAACACATTAGAAAGTTAGGTGGCTGGAGAGGTCCATGCAGTGGCAACAGTGTGATCTCTCCCTTGTACCCTAACACGCAGAGTCACTACAGTAGATATTTATGTTCCAACTACTCAGGAAGCACATTGTCAAATCCACTCTGCATAAATTTCTTAACTCCTTAATATCATAACCACTACAATTTCCTAAAGGTTTGCTTTGTACCAGACTTTGCTAGATACCTCAATTAATCCTTCAAGCTACCTTGTGATTTGGGCATATAAAAATAAGTTCAGAGAGGCTAAGAAAAGTAACTAATGTCACACAGCTAGTTGGTAAGGTGCATTTGCAAGATTCAAACCCAGGTCTGTCTAACACAAAGCTTACAATCCTAATAGCTACCCTATGCTGCTTTCTCAGTGTAAAGACATGGTCTTTCAGTTGCTACAGAAATGCTTTGCAGTGTGTTAAACTACGATCTCACTTTACTATTAGGCCTGGTATTAGTCAAGTTAGGTTAGGCTATAAGGTAAGAAATAAACTCCCAAATATTAGTGGATTAATCTATAAAGGTGTATTTGTTGCTCACACAATTTCTACTATGGGTCTGGTGGCTCTGCAGGGCAGCTCTGTTCCATGCAGCGATTCAAGGATCCAGGCTGGTTACCTCTTGCTGCCATACTAACCAGAATATGTGACTTCTAGTCTCTGTGCAAGAGAGAACTAGAAAGATGCTTACTGTCTCAGATGCTTTAGCCTGGAGTTGGCACAGACCCTACCACATTTCAAGGGCTCTGAGAAAAGAGGTGGAGCACTTGTATATTCAGTGAGCTGTTGGCATCTCTGCCACAGCTTTCTTTTTTTTTTAATGAGACAGGGTCTTGCTATGTTGCCCAGCTTGGTCTCAAACTCCTGGGCTTAAGCAATCCCCCCTCCTTGGCCTCCCAAAGTGCTGGGATCGGAGGTATGACCCACTGCACCCAGCCTCTGCCACAACTTTCAAGGGCAAAGCCACACTTCTGCCATAGAAGGGTAGATGAGATAATTCGCTATGCTTGTCACGTAGGGAAGTGAGGTTCTTCTCCGACTGGAAACCAACCATAATTTAGATGGAGCAGTCAAACAAGATGTCAAATGAGATGAGATGGCTCATGTCAAAGATGAGCCTCCTGAGTGTGGGACTGTGAGGGGCATCCTCCATGTGGAAGCAGGTCAGGAGACAGGAAGTGAGGAATCGGCACTAAGAGCCTTTAGAATTACTTAAGCCCTTTGGGTTCAAAGAAAAAGGCTCTTAGGAGGCACCATGTGAAATGAGACAGGCTCTGAGTCCTGGGAACCAATGTTTACATTTCTCATGTGTGCTCGTGTATTTCCACTTGAGTTTCCCTTCATATTTAGTCATTTAGTATTCAGTAACTTCAGTAATATGCAGTGATTTTAAAGTCGCCATGCATCTCAGCTTTCCAAATGAGAGGGGAAAGATTTGTGTTTATATTTGGGCCAAAACCTAAGGAAGGAAGTCAAACAATATGTGGAACCCAATATCCACAATATTTGTGAATATTCCCATCCACAAGACTTCCTGTCTCCACTACCTATTTTATTTCTTTCCCTAGAATTTATCACCTGTTAGTACAATATATACTTTACTGACTTATTTTATTATCTATCTACAGTATTAAAATACAGATTCCATGAGTGCACTGATTGTCATCCATTTAGTTTAGTGCAGTATCTACAACACATGGAATAAACAGTACCTGGTACATGAGAGATGTTAAATCAGTATTTGTTGAATACCGGAACCATGGTTTGAAACCAGCCTAGGTAATATAGCAAGACGCCACTCTACAAAAAATTTTTTTAAGTTAGCCAGGTGTGGTAGTGTGTACCTGTAGTCTTAGCTAATTGGAAGACTGAGGTGGGAGGATCACTTGAGCCCAGGAGTTCAAGGCTGCGTGAGCCATGATTACCCTACAGCACTCCAACCTGGTGACAGAGCAAAACGCTGTCTTAAGGGGAAAAAAAAAGAAAGAAAGAAATGAGACATCAGGAGACTTTTAAAGTTGGGTGCAGGTTTAACCTACCTGGAGATCCTTCTTTTTCAGCAAGATCTTGGAGGATTACAGTCTCCATGTTTTTGGTTTTTGTTTTGTTTTGTTTTGTTTTCTTAAAAGAAATTTCTTGGCCGGGCGCGGTGGCTCACGCCTGTAATCCCAGCACTTTGGGAGGCCGAGGCGGGCGGATCACGAGGTCAGGAGATCGAGACCATCCCGGCTAAAACGGTGAAACCCCGTCTCTACTAAAAATACAAAAAATTAGCCGGGCGTAGTGGCGGGCGCCTGTAGTCCCAGCTACTTGGGAGGCTGAGGCAGGAGAATGGCGTGAACCCGGGAGGCGGAGCTTGCAGTGAGCCGAGATCCCGCCACTGCACTCCAGCCTGGGCGACAGAGCGAGACTCCGTCTCAAAAAAAAAAAAAAAAAAAGAAATTTCTTTCACACCCTGCTTGTTCTGGAATTACTCTGTACCAGGATGACACCTCCTCTACTACTTATCTCTTCTACAGAGACAAGCAGTCCTCCTGCCTAAATTTCTTCTTTTCTTATCTCTATCCATCCTCACCACACAAAACTTATTGAGTGCAAAATCACTCATGGCTTCATGGCAGCTCCTCTCCCAGCAGCTGGGTGAAGACCAACCTTTTGGATATTGTGTTGAACATGGCATGAAAGGTTAGCTCTGTGAGATGCCAGCATTAAGGATAGGTTTTAGAAACACAACCAGGCCACCTGCAGGATCAGTTAGGGAGGCAGACAGCTTCCTGAGTGGCATTATTTCAGGATTACTGAAAGGTCTCCAAACACCTAGCTCTGAGCCCGCCTCTCATTCAAAGACAGATTAAGCATACACTACTACTTTCCCTATTCCCTAGATTTTATTTTATATATAAAAACAATACCTTAAACATAATAAAAGTGTAATGAAGCTTAAAAAATAAATAAGTACAATAGCAGAATGGAAATGAAAAAATACAGGCAGAAAACGAGTAAGATAGACTATGAAACTTTTGAGTTAGTAGCTCAAATAGTAAACTAAAACTATATCCTATACAAGCAAGGAAGAAAATTAAGCAGACAGATCTGAGTGCAGTGGCTTACGCCTGTAATCCCAGCACTTTGGGAGGCCCGGGTGGGCGGATTGCTTGAGTCTAGGAGTTAGAGACCAGCCTAGGCAACATGGTGAGACCCTGTCTTTATTAAAAAAAAAAAAAAAAAAAAAAAAAAAAGCCAGGTGTGGTGGTGTGCACCTCTGCTCCCAGCTACTCGGGAGGCTGAGGCAGAAGAATTGCTTGAACCTGGGAGGCTGAGTTTGCAGTGAGCTGAGACAGAGCGAGACTCCATCTCAATAATAATAATAAGAAGAAAATTAAACAGACAGGGAGATAGAGAATGCTTAAAGATGGGTTACAAATGGTAAAAGAGAAAATATTGAAAAACAGAAATTGGGGGAAAAAAGCCCTGCATCACAAAATTTTCCTCTACTAACTGTGAAAATGAGACTAAAATAGCAAAACCCAGCAAAAATCATCACCTAAAGCAATTGAAACAGGTAATGGCTACAATCAATTTCAATGTACTTTCAAGCCTGAAATCCAAGAAACACAAAACTCTTGAGCCGGCAGGGAAGTGCCACACGGCCTGGCTTCTCACCTGATTCTGTCCCTCTGAGGGACACGTACAGCTGGATCAAAGAAATCCCGAGTCCTCACTGACAGTCAGCACGAAATCTTGAGTTACTCTGACTGAAAGGATGTCCTCATCCTCTTCCTTTCCTGACTGAGGAGAGCTGGAAGACCACTGGGAAAAACTGGTAGGACCTAGGGGGAGGCGGACACCATAAAGCTCTCTCTGAATTAGGGAAGGCTTCTGAAGCCCAGGGGTTTCCTCACCCTGAGAATGAGCTACACCCCACCATTAGGTGAAGGGTAACATGGTGATGCAGAGCTGTCTGGTTCACTGATTTCTTCCTTTAATAATTGTATCCCATGGCCGGGCACGGTGGCTCACGCCTGTAAATCCCAGCACTTTAGGAAGCCAAGGTGAGAGCTCAAGGTTGGGCGAGGAGTTCAAGGCTGCAAGGAGCTATGATCACACCACTGCACTCCAGCCTGGGCGACAGAGTGAGACCTTGTCTCTACAAACAAACAAACAAATAAAATTATATGTATATATATATATATACACACATATATATATGTGTGTATATATATATACACATATATATGTGTGTATATATATATACACATATATATGTGTGTGTGTATATATATACACACATATATGTGTATGTGTACACATACACATATATGTATATATATATACACACACACATATATATGTATATATACACACACATATATGTATATATATACATATAGGATGTGTATATATACACACACATATAGGATGTGTATATATATATATACATCCTAAACTTTCACCTGCACAAATGGCTGCCTAGAACAAAGACAACATTTCCCAACCCCCTAGGTGCTATGTGGCCATGTGATTATATTTTAACCAATCATGTGGGAGAAATGATGCTTGAACTCCCATTCCTGTCTCTAAAAAGTGAGATCATTCCCTTTCCTTCCCCTTTTTCCTTCTGCACTGAATAACTGTGGATATGTCAGTAGGAGCTGAGCGTCATTGTAATGTATAGAAAGTTTAACAGACAACCAGGTAGAGGCATTTGAGATTCCTGACACCACAGAACTGCCTGGTACCACATCTGTGCTGCCAACCTGGGCTGTTTTATGTTCAGTTACAGAGGAGAAATATAAACTTCTCTGTCATTTAAATCATTGTTTTGTCCTTTGTAGCTAAACCAGTATCACATCTAAGAACTGATTAGATATCAAATTTGGGACACTTAACAAAATCTTAGAAGAGAAAACTGAGCCCAGATAGTCTAACAAAGACTGAGCACCAACCACGATGATCTTGTCTCCTTCCTTTCTTGTGTTCTCACACAATAAGTCAGATATGGTGGGATGAGAGTCGAGAATTACCCACTCCCAATCAGAGCAAAGAGAAAGTCCAGGCAGAGTTATTTAAGAGTAAATAAGATTATTAAAAAAGCATCTTGGCACCAGGCAAACAAATAACAGCAAACACAAAAACATCATGAAGAAAACAAATAGCACAATCTAGTAGAAAACATAAATCAAGAAACAGGAATTTACTGATAATTGCTTGATGCTACATATAGAACATGAATATAATAAAAACTTATAATCAGATAATAAAATAACAGGATATGACAAAAATAGGGCTCGCAAACAAGACAAATATGAGGACCAAAATAGCATTATTAGGCCGGGCGCAGTGGCTCATGCCTGTAATCCCAGCACTTTGGGAAGCCGAGGCAGGTAGATCACCTGAGGTCAGGAGTTCAAGACCAGCCTGGCCAACATGGTGAAACCCCGTCTCTACTAAAAATTAAAAAAAAATAAAAAATAAAAAAATTAGCCTGGCATGGTGGTGCACACCTGTAATCCCCGCTACTTGGGAGGCTGAGGCAAGAGAATCGCTTGAACCCAGGAGGCGGAGGTTGCAGTGAGCTGAGATCATGCCATTGCACTCCAGCCTGGGCAACAAGAGTAAAAATCTGTCTCAAAAAAATAAAAAATAGCATTATTATAGATTTAATAAATAACAATCAAAATACTGCTTAAAATAGAATTACTGACTTAAGAGGAGGGATTTTGAGATAATTATGATAATTTCAGATAAAAATATATTACAGCAATTTGATTAACACTATTACAAAGGGAAGGAAAAAAAGCAATCTAACATAAAGATACTTTGTGTCCCTAAGTTAAAGAACTTACCTGAGGAGAGACAATATATTAAGAGTTGTGACACAAGTAAATTGTCTTGAAATAAAGGTGATAGTTAACCTGCTGATTGAAAAGAATATTATGTTTCAGTAAAATGTGACATAGAGTATTCAGCTCTGAGCTATATGCCAGTTAGGCTATTAAGCTCTAAGAACATTGAACCAAAGAATGTTTCAGACATCCAAGCAATAAAAACAAATTACTAAGAAAGAAGGGAAAAAAAAAATCAGTCCATCCTCAGTCTTGCCTAGAGTAACATACAAGACTCCATCCAAAACAGTGGAGTAAAATCTACAAAATTCCAAAGAAAAGAAAGTATGATACCAAGAAAACTCTGCTAATCTAGGATGTTATTCAACAATAAAGGTAATAGGCAGACATTCTTTTTTAAAAATGTCAAGGAGTACAGAATTCTTTAGATGCTATTGAAAGAGCTATTGTCAAATTCAGACGATCCAGATATAAATTGAAAACAAGGAAGGCTGACGATGCAGAAAGGGGCAAAAGGATGACTACTAAGCTATCTATGTGAGAATCAAATTTACACTACAGAATGTGAATGCTATAAATCTGAATAATGTAAAAATACTAGCGTATTTCAAATAAACATGTATTGGTCAGGATGTGAGAAGAATGAGGCCAAGGGAGGTGAGATTGCTGGCATTCTCTTTCCAATGTCCTCTTCTTTAAGAGCAAGAATTCAGTCTATATTATCTTAAAGTGAAACAATTGTTTGTTTTTCTAATAACTCTAAGGTCTGAAAATTTATCCTAATTCCTTTGCTGAGCATGAAGTGGTCTTTTAGTAAGTAATATTACTAACAGTAAAGAAACATTTTTTCAGTTCAACATTTCTTTCATTTTAATTTAGTGTTTTGCTATGAACTTTCAGTAAAATTAAATTGGATAATTTTCATTAAAATTGCGTCTATAAGCCAGGCGCAGTGGTGCTTGCCTGTAATCCCTTCACTTTGGGAGGTGAGGCAGGCAGGTTGCTTGAGCCCAGGAGTTCGAGACCAGCCCGGGCAACATGGCAAAACCCCCAACTCTATAAAACATACAAAAAAGAAAATAGCTAGGCATGGTGGCATGTGCCTGTAGTCCTGACTACCCAGGAGGCTGAGGTGGGAGAATCACCTAAGCCCAGGAGTTCCAGGCTGCAGGGAGCCGCGATCACATCACTGCATTGCAGCCTGGGTGACAGAGTGACATCCTGTCTCAAAAAAATTAAAAAAAGGTATCTATAATAAAATCCCATTGATGTAAATGAAATTATCAAGCCAGGCGTGGTAGCTCATGCCTGTAATCCCAGCACTTTGGGAGACCGAGGCGGGCAGATCACAAGGTCAGGAGTTCAAGACCAGCCTGGCCAACACAGTGAAACCCTGTCTCTAATAAAAATGCAAAAAATTAGCTGGGTGAGGTGGCGAGCCCCTGTAATCCCAGCTACTCAAGAGGCTGAGGCAGGAGAATGGCTTGAACCCAGGAGGCGGAGGTTGCAGTGAGACAAGGTTGTGCCACTGCACTCCAGCCTGGGTGACAGAGCGAGACTCTGTCTCAAAAAATAAATGAGTAAATAACTATCCATCCACTCATCCATTTATCAATATAAATTATACCTTTAAATTACTGCTTTAATAGTAGGAATGTTGATGAATGTTGATTTTTACCTGTCTTTTTCTGTACTTTTAAAAATTTACAGTAACATAAGAAAGAAACTGGTATCAGACTGACAAAAAAAAAAAACAGAAGTGCCAATGCAATTTATTGAAGAGTATTGTGTGCCTGCTTTATTATATATTTTTCCTTTTCCCCTCATTTTAAGCGGGCAGCCAGCTTTGTAATTCCTTGCCTCCAGCATTTTTGCTAGATGACAAGCAGCTGAAGTCAACTTTGTAAAAACATAAATCCATTGAAAAATTAATGTTAAGTATCTCACAGCAAGTGAGGAGAGAAGAATGATTTGGGAGGCAAAGAACGACGGGACTGAAATTCACTGAGAATGAAAATGGAAGGAAGGTCTCTGGGTTCCGTACGTCCCCATGGCAGCACCTAAGAACAGGAGTGAGCTCCACTGATGTACGCCTCCCCATCTGCCTAAAACTCCTCATGCCCTGGGAGTGGAAAAATAAGAGAATTTTAAAACAAAATTCAAAATTATATTTATTACTTTCTAAATAAATCAACTTTATCTTAAAAATAACTAAAATCACTTTCCTACGTTTCATTTCCATGTGTCAGCTATCCTGTTAAGGCATTTGCATTACAAAGAAGGAACTGCATTTGCTGAGCAAAACATTGGCAGGAACAGGTTTATCTCATTATCCTTGTCCCACTCATTACCACTGAAAGAGAGTGTGGCTATTAGAGGACGAAATATCATGCCAGGAAGACACACCGGAAAGGGAGGAGCCCAGGAGCAGGCTGTGATATGTTATCCCAGCCAGAAATCAACTCTGGAGTTAAGGAAACCTGGGTACCTGGAGAAAGTATCAAGAAAAGAAGGAGACTCCACAAAGGGAAAGGAGACATGAAAACCAAAAACAAATTGCCTGTTTACTCACTCCTGAAACAGGTCCCACTAGGAAGATGAGTTTTTTTTTAACCAATAAGTTGTCAATCCACAATCAGATTACACAGCGAGGCAAATGTCGGAATGACCTGGCCGAAAGTAGAGGCTGGGTGAGTTGAGGAATGAATGAGGAGTGAGTGATTGGAAAATGGCACACTCTAGAGAGTATAAGGCACCAGGAAGTGGGGTCTAGATGGTTATATTTGGCTGACCAACACTATGGATCTGTGTCTGTCACAAGAAAGCAACAACTGCTCATAAAACCCAAATGTGAGGAGCACTTGAGGATAGGAGTTTGAGACTAGCCAGGGCAACATGGTGAGACCCTATCTCTGCAAAAAGTTTTTTAATTAGCCAGAGCCAGTTGCAGAGGCTCCCATCTGTAATCCCAGCATTTTGGGAAGCTGAGGCGAGAGAGTCACTTGAGCCTAGGATTGCAAGACTAGTCTGGGCAACATGGCAAAACTGATTCTCTACAAAAAATATGAAAATTAGCTGGGTGTGGTGGCACACACCCATAGTCCCAGCTACTTGGGAGGCTGAGGCAGGAGGATGGCTTGAGCCCAGGAATTCCAGGCTGCAATAAGCTATGATCTCACCACTGCACTCCAGCCTGAGTAACAGAACAAAACCCCATCTCAAAAAAAGGAAAAAGAAAAACAAAAAAACAACACCCAAATGCTAAGAGCCTCAATAACATCTCTGTTTTAGAAACTACCCTCAAAGCAACTCACTCTAGAAAATAAATATTTGCATCAGTAAGTCAGGCTCAAGCCTATCTTTCTCTATTGAGGGTCCAGAAATGTCACACTTACTCTCTCTTGGTATATACCTGACAGCCTCTGGCTGGCTGACCCTTTAGGTTCTCTTGCAAGTCGAAAGAAGGCACCACTCAGTCAACCTCACTCCATGATCTCAGCACCATTGTCAAATCCCTGGCAGCATTTTGGGCTTTCAAGTTCATCTTGATAGTGGCATTATTTGTACCATCACCTGACAATGGTACCCCAGGAAGTCATTCTAGTCTGTAACCCCTGCTTGTAAGCTCCTGCATTTACATGCATTTTGGCTTAAGGGAATATATAACAGGCAAAGCACTTTTCAGTGAAGCACCTTAGAAAAGGAGTTTTCAAAAAGAAATATTCTTATTAGGTCCAATTTTCCCATCATGCTCTGAGTTCCCTTTGAAGTCAGCGGAAGCCCTCCTTGGTGGTGGCACAGCCCGAGCACAGTGATGCATCAATGTGGAATTTGTCTGCTTGTCTCCAGAGCCATTCCTCGGTCCCCGGGGTACAGGAAGATGCAGCAAACATTTTAAAAACACGGATCCACAAATTGACATCTGCAAATGCAAAGTATTCTTGTTACGAAATTGCAAGGTAAAGTGCACCTCCTAATGCACAACAGCCAATTTTTCAGGCTGTGTTACAGTCACTTGAGGCTGTTACTCTGAGCTCCAGGGAACACACTCCACAAAGCACATGTCACGCATTACCATTAAGCCTCTCTAACCCAATCTTGGCAGGAAGCTGAACGGAAACTGTAAGTGAAAAAAAGCTCCAAACACAAAGATCTATTATTTAAATGAACTAGAGTGCTATAGATCATGAAAGACAAGCTATTCCATTTCCCTTCTGAATTAAATGATCTCTAAATGAAGTAAAACAATGCAAAATGTTAATATTTGTATAGTGACACTTCAGCCAATTCAGCCACTTCTCACATCTAGTTAGTCACGGGGCTCTTGAATGATCTGCATTGTACAAACCTTATTTCTAAGTCCATTCACTTCTATTTGAGCAGTGGAGATAAACGTCTTTATTAAACTTTGCATTAACTCTTCATAACTTATGCTAACTTGCAAGCCAACCCACACTATTCTTAATCAGTATATTCATATTCGTATTTCCTCATACAAAAGGAGGATGGAAACCAGAAATATATCAAGATAATTTACTGTGGGCCCATTCTTTGCATTTGTTCTGATCAATAATATTCAAGATATCATTTGTTAGAGCGGAAAGGACAATGGCTTTGGCCTCCGGAGGCCTTGGTATTTATCTAAATCCTCCCTTCTCTCCTTTCTTTCTTCCTTCTTTCCTTCTTTCTTTGTTTCCTTCTATTATTCTTCCATTTCCCTAAATATATTCATTAAGTACCTGTCTGCACAAGGTGTTACGTGATATAAAAAGGGATGTGAGATCTAGATTAGGCCCTCAAGTGATTTGTAGATTTGTGTGGGAAAGATGAGTGACAGGAAGAAGAAGCTATAACATGGGCTTTGAAACTTAGCAGCACTTTGTGTAAATAACCAATTTAATTGTTCATTCTTCATGCAATTTTTTTCAAGTTACTTAATTTTGCTGAGTTTTGGTTAATGCATTGATAAAAATGAAGACAATACCATGGGAACCAAAAACTGGTTGTGAAAACTAAATTGACAAAATGTCTAAAACACTCAGAAAGTTACACAATAATTTCTTTCTTAAAAAATTCTAGACGTGGCTGGGTGCAGCAGGTCATGCCTGTAATCCCAGTGCTTTGGGAGGCCAAGGCAGGCGGGTCACCTGAGGTCAGGAGTTCGAGACCAGCCTGGCCAACATAGTGAAACCCCGTCTCTACTAAAAATACAAAAATTTGCTGGTCGTGGTGGCACATGCCTGTAATCCCAGCTACTCAGGAGGCTGAGGCAAGAGAATCTCTTGAACCCAGGAGGCGGAGGTTGCGGTGAGCCAAGACTGCGCCATTGCCCTCCAGCCTGGGAGACAGAGTGACACTCCGTCTCAAAAAAAAAAAAAAAAAAAAGTCTAGACTTGAAGTCAGAAGAGCTGGGTTCCAGTCATGCACAGTGGCTCACACCTGTAGTCTCAATGATTTAGGATGCCAAAGAAGAAGGATCTCTTGAGGCCAAGAGTTCAAGACCAGCCTGGGGAACATAGTGAGACCTTGTCTCACAAAAATGTAAAAAGATTAGCCAGGTGTGATGGTGTGTGCCTATGGTCCCAGCTACTCAGGAGGAGTTCACGGCTGCAGTGAGCTATGATGGTGCCACTGCACTCAAGCCTGGGCAACAGAGCAAGACCCTGTCTCAAAAAAAAAAAAAACTGGGTACAAATTCTGACTCTGCTACAGGTGCAACATTGGAGCAGTCCTGTAACTTCTGCGGGTCCTAAAACCTCCCTCAAATAAAGGCAGAATTGAATTAGCCTATCATGAACACCTCCTTCTTGCCTAAAAAGTACTGTCATTTATTCCAATGGAGATACAGTGGAGATGTTGGCAGAGGAATTACTTGGGTTGATTAGAAAGATTACATTGGTAGTAGTCTGATAGGGGTGCACGTAGAGTTAGGAGAAAAAGACAAGGATGTCTATTAGGAAAAAGTTTGGAAACTCTGATTGGTGACCATGAGAAATAAAAGAGTAGATGCAGGGACATCTGCAAGTGCAAAGTATTCTTGTTACGAAATCACAAGGTAAAGTCCACCTCCTAACGCACAACAGCCAATTTGTCTGTCTTACAATCACTTGAGGCTGTTATTCTGAGCTCCAGGGAGTACACATGGAGGTAAAACATGAAGACATTAAAAGACAATGGAGGCAAGAAGACTTCAAGAAGATGCTTACTTCTCAGTTTGGTTGGCCAGAAGTATAGCAGCATCAGCCATTCTAAAAAGAACAACAAAAGCAGTAGCTAACTGGGTGCAGTGGCTCACTTCTGTAATTCCAGCCACTCAGGAGGCTGAGGTGGGAGGATCACTTGAGGCCAGGAGTTCGAGGTTAACCTGGCCAACATAGTGAGACTCCGTCTCTAAAAAAATTTTTAAAACAGAAAAGCTAATTTGGGGAAAAAGTAAACGAGGGCAATTTTAGGCATACTGAATGTGGGATAGCAATAAAATATTCTTTCATTTCACTTTTTACTTTTCAAAATGTGAATTGAATCGTCATCCCTCTGCTTTAAAATATTCAGATTTCCCATTGCTTTTAGAATAAAACCTGGTCACCGTACCCTGGTCTAGTGGTCCCCAGTGAGCCACACCTCCTGGTCTCTGTGCCTTGTGTGTTCTCTTTAAACATTGACTCTGGGCTTGGCTAACTGACACTAAGTGGCTGCTTAATAAGCATTTTACACATGGGCACTGTCCTCTGGACAGCAGTCACCATGCTGTAAAGAAGCTCCAGCAAGGCCAGGCGTGGTGGTTCACACCTGTAATCTTAGCACTTTGGAAGGCCAAGGCAGGTGGATCACTTGAGCTCAGGAGTTCAAGAGCAGCCTGGCCAACATAGTGAAACCCTATCTCCACTAAAAATACAAAAATGTGTCAAGTGTGATGGCGCACCCTTGTAATCCCAGCTACTTAGGAGGCTGAGGCAGGAGAATCACTTGAATCTGGGAGGCAGAGGTTGCAGTGAGCTGAGATCGCACCACTGCCCTCCAGCCTGGGCAACAGAGTGAGATTCTGTCTCAAAAAAAAAAGAAGCTCCAGCAAGATGAATGGGCAGTGAGAGGTCATGCAGCCAGGGACCCTAGAAGACAAGAGACCAGCTTGAGCCTTATAGCCCCAAGGGAGATCTCAGATAAAGGAAGCCACATGAGTGATGTCAGCTACCCTACATGGAGCAGAACTAGCCCGTGGGTGCAGTCAACCTATTCAACTGCTAGAAATAATACATCATTCTTGTGTTAATCCACTAAGTTTGGGGATAGTTTGTTACACAGCCATAGGTAACTGAAACCTGTGGTCTATAAGTTCTGCATGATCTGAGGACTTACAGATACTACAGTATACCTACATTAATAAATAATAACAGGGCTCCCTATCTGTTTCATTTCACCTCATGCCGTTTTACGCCGTGCTTGCTGAGGTCCAGATACACTGGTCTTTCAATGCCTTAAAAATGTCAAAAGCGCTGCCTATGCTTTCCTTTCTTAGTTAGCTCTCCCATGTGTCCCATTCACCCAGTTGTCCCTTATTAATTGTCCAGGTTGCAATTTAAATATCCTTTCCTCTTAGAGGTCTTCACTGACCCCTCAACTTAAACTTTGTCCCCTGTTACTCTCTTTAAAAGGCCCTGTTCTTGAGGCTGGGTGCAGTGGCTTACGCCTGTAATCCCAGCACTTTGGGAGGCCGAGGCAGATGGATCACTTGAGGTCAGGAGCTCAAGACCAGCCTGGCCAACATGGTGAAACCCCATCTCTACTAAAAATTCAAAAATTAACTGAGCGTGGTAGTGGGTGCCTGTAATCCCAGCTACTCAGGAGGCTGAGGCAGGAGAATCTCTTGAACCCAGGAGGTGGAGGCTGCAGTAAGTTGAGATCACACCACTGCTCTCCAGCCTGGGCGACAGAGCGAGGAGACTCCATCTCAAAAAAAAAAAAAAAAAAAAGAGGCCCTGTTCTTTTGCCACACTGTACTGATTAAGATATTAATGATATGCTGGTTTAAGTAACTGTTTGCATCTGTCTCCTGCTGAGCTGTGAGAGCGGGGCAGGCAGTGAGAATGTAGGGAATGTGGGTCTCGAGCTCCAGGGGAGGTTGATGTGGAGAAACAGGTCAAGCACGGAGGCATTTCCGGGTGGAACTGACAGACAGGTGTAGTGCTGGTAGCAGATGGGCCAAGAGGCTGGGGTCCGAGAACAGTCAGGAGCAACAGTCAACTTTGAAGGAGCAAGTTGACTAAGAGGCAGGAATGTCCATGAAGTATGACAGCCGCCAGTGAGAAGACCTAGCCTCACAGCTGGGCTAAGAACTAGGAACGCAGTTCCCAGGAAGAAGCTAGAACCGGTGTCAGCCAAATCCCCACTTTTAAAGAATCTCCCCTCCTTGAGGCTCTCATTAGAAGTTCCAAGAGCCCCCCAACACACATACAGTGAAATTCTCTGCATCCTCCACGCCCAAGTCTCTCCTGAGTTTCTCTGGGATGCCTCTCTTTGTGATGTTGCTTCCTCTGAATTCTCCATCTCTCTGGAGCCTCACATCCAGTACCTCATCTCTTCTTACCCCATCACAACTAAACAGGCAACACCGCCCGGATAAAGAACACAACACCTTTTGTTTAATCCCCCTAAGTAGCCATGCACACAGGTCATTGTTTAAAGCAGAGTTTTACTTAAAGTCTTTAAGTAAAAATGGGTGTGCTGTGGAATAGGGCAGTAGGGAGTTGACAGAGGAGTTATTAAAAGCCACATCATTATCAAATAACTGAAAGCAGAACTGCATGATCCATCCCCTCACCTTATGCAGCTATTTCCAACATGGGGGACACCTCCATGGGCTTCTCAAGAAAGCCCCGGCACCACAAGGCACTCCAAGCTACTCCTCTGCTAAGGTGCTTAGAACATTTTCTCTTCTTTCTTGCATTTTCCACCCTTCACTCCTTCCCACTCCAACCCCTGGAGTCCGAGAGCAGGCAGGATATTTATTTAGTATTGATAATATAATTGCTATTTAAGACCTTGCCATGTGCCTGGTACTATTTTAAGCACTTCACATGCATGTATTATTTCATCCTTACAACAAGCCCACTGGCTAGATATAATCATCATTATCACCACTTGCAAAGTATGAAACGGCGGCACAAGGAGGTTAAGGAATATGAAGGAGATGGCCCAGCCAGCATGTGGCGGAGGCAGGATTGAGGAATTGGCAGTATGACTCCAGGTTCATGCTCTCTGCCTCCCCTAACCAGCTATACCAGGGACTCTTACTCTCTCTTTTTCTGACATTCCAGGCCCCAAACTAAAAACTCCTCCCATTTTTTGGTACCCAGCAATTCACCTTTTTTTTAAATGAGTATTTTTATGTATTCATTTATTTGCTTGTTTGTTTCTTTAATTTCTATTGGTTTTGGGGGGAACAGGTGTTTGGTTACATGCGTAAGTTCTTTAGTGGTGATTTCTCATTTTGGTGCACCCGTCACCTGAGCAGTGTACACTGTACCCAATGTGTAGTCTTTTACCCCTCACTCCCCTCCCACCCTCTCCCCCCGAGTCCCCAAAGTCCATTGTATCATTCTTTTTTTTTTTTTTTTGAGGCGGAGTCTCACTCTTTCGCCCAGGCTGGAGTGCAGTGGCGCGATCTCGGCTCACTGCAAGCTCCGCCTCCCGGGTTCACACCATTCTCCTGCCTCAGCCTTCCGAGTAGCTGGGACTACAGGCGCCCGCCACCGCGTCCGGCTAATTTTTTGTATTTTTAGTAGAGACGGGGTTTCACCGTGTTAGCTAGGATGGTCTCGATCTCCTGACTTCGTGATCCACGCGCCTCGGCCTCCCAAAGTGCTGGGATTACAGGCGTGATCACGCCACCGCGCCCGGCCAGTCCATTGTATCATTCTTATGCCTTTGCGTCCTCATAGCTTAGCTCCCACTTACGAGTGAGAACATACTATGCTTGGTTTTCCATTCCTGAGTTACCTCACTCAGAATAATAGTCTCCAATCCCATCCAGTTGCTGCAAATGCCATCATTTCATTCCTCTTTACGGCTGAGTAGTATTCTATGGTATATCTGTTTATATATCTATATCTATCTATCTACCACATTTTCTGTATCCACTCATTGATTGATGGGCATTAATGACTTCTTTTCCTCTGGGTAGATACCCAGTAGTGGGATCAGCTTCTTTTTTTTTTTTTTTTAGTCTTGTCCTAAGGCAAACCCATAGGCTTATTTAAGGCAAAGCAAGATTACAGATCTTTAATATTCTTCATTGATCTCTTCTCTGTGGCTCTTCCTTGGAAGAATCGTTTTGAGCTAATTCTTACTGTCCTACGGCAGGGCAGGCTCCTTCCTAAGCCAAGGTCAAGCAAACACTTACCAAGACGCAAGGAAGAGGTAAAGGTGCCTTGGTGCCCCCTCTCTCCGTAAGTGCAATTAGACAGTTGCCCATTTCAATCTGAATATATACAGCTTGACTAACTGACTCGCAGCCATGCCGTCCATTCATTTCCACTTGAATATGTACCATCCCCTGAAGTTTATTATAAAAAAATTGACCCGTACCAGGTTTTTCACTATCAGAGAAAGAATCAATGCAGTAACCTTGAAATAAAATTTTAAAAAATTATGAATGTCTGTGGCAGTCATTTTTCACCATTTTGTGGCCTTACATTTTTGTGGCTTTTGCTCATTTTAATATGCTGCTTGGGTGCCATGATCCCTTTTTGACAGAGAAAAAACAAAGGTGGTAACCACCTGACCAAGTTCACCCAAATAAACACATAATGGCCAAGGCAGAAATGAAACCTGGCTCCTTGCAGAGAAACCTGACTCCTGAAATTCACTGTCACTTGTTTCAACTCTTTTTTGTACTCAGCCTTGTCTCAAAGACTAATGGTCTCTATTTCTGTGCAGCTCCAGGAGGAGTTGTTAGTGAGACACAGAGTGGAGGGAAGAATAGGATTTCAGAGGGGACAAGAAGGAAAATGCCGGAATCTTGCAATATTAAATCATGGAAATGGAGATGGGAACATATAAGGTCCCGTAATCTTAGAGGTTCACATAGCATTAGCTCTTCAAGAAATAGTATCGGAATATGATGCAATCCCAGTGGGACTGAAAATGTGTCATTTCCTGTTGAGGAGCAATGACTTTTAGGTATTTGGTGCCAATGTGTCTGCATGCTGTTCTAATAGGAAAGAGAACAAGACATTGGTGGGGATCATTGCTGTCAGAGAAGACTCAGGAGTATATGGTCCTTCCTAGCACACTCGAGGGTAGGGTCTCTGGATGATACTACAGAGCATTTTCACCTCCTCTGGTATGAAGATTTTCAGAAAACCAGCTGGTGACCATCTCACTCCATACATAAAGGAAGTGTGGGCAAGATGGTGTAGAGGAAACCCAGCAATGGACTGGACTGATTGAAGAAAAGAATCAGGAAAGAAAAGCCGTTCCTCAAGAGCCTCCTAAGGAATCTTGGTTATTTAAGATATTTCTATAGAGACGATGGTATAGACTAATGTTTATGGGAAGTGCCATATACAACTACATCCCTCTTGAAGAATCTCAGTGTATCTCACCACACTAAAGCCATTTTGATATGCTAAAGTACACTTTAATCCAGAATTCCCCAAATTTACTTACTCATGGAAAAATTTGCATATTCAATACTTTGATAATGTCCCCATTCTAAGAAATGGTTGAATAGCAATAGACTAAGAAACATATTTGTTTGTACAAATGAATATCAGGGCACATTATGGTTAGAAACTTTACCCCAAGATGTAAAGAAGTGATTCTTGAGACATTTGGTCTCATTGAGCAAATAAAGGACCAAAAAAAAAAAAAAAAGCCTTAGAACAGTCTCGATATGCAAGACTGCGATGTGCGATGTACAGGAATCTCTTAGGGAGAAATTCTTGGCCAGAATTTACAACTTGTTCCCTATCCGTTTCTATCAACAAATGCTTCATGCTAATGAGTCTGGCGTTATCACTCATCATCATCTCCATGTTAATCACCGTGATTGCCTCAGTTGTGCGTTTATAACACTAAGTTAAACAATGCAGACAACACTTTCTTCTTCCCTGACTGTGACAGTGTATCATAATTGAGTCATTTCTGCCCCCCTGGTCACCTTGGTATTCTCGGAAGTGCATTCTCTGTATATTAATCCTCTAGTTAAATATTGATAGCAAGCCTCTGCCTTCATATTTACTTTGTTGCTCCATTATTGCTACATACGTGGTGATTATTTGTTTCTGTCTTTTCAGCCTGTTTAATCAGGACTGAGTCAACGTTCTCTATGTTTAACCTTCTTGTCCAATCATTGTTGGAGAGTGTTTTGGAGAATATTCTGAAATCAGCTTGGAAAGAATTCTCTGCACTTGGTGTATGCCCCATCATAACCAGTAGGGGTCAGAAGGGCATTTCTCTCTGGGGTCAGGTGGTTGGTGGTGAGAAAGCAAAGTCCTGGAGGCATTGTCTTGGGTTGAACATCTCTCCTTAAACATTGTCTCCAAAAAGTAGATGAGAGAGAGAGACAGAGAGAGAGAGAGAGAGAGAGAGAGAGAGAAATGTCACAGGGCCAACCTGACAGCTCTTGTGTTTTTAATGGAGTGTTGGCCCTGGAGCTCTCACAGGATATGAATTTGCAACAAAAGTGGCTATCCCAAAAAGGGCTATGGAGTGGCAGAAAATGTGCCTGCCAAAAATAGAGACCTGGGTGCGATCCCTGGTCTTGATGAGTGTCTATTGGAGATTTCTGGGCAAGTAACTGAACTCTTTCCATTTGTGCCAGCTGATCACGGTCTTGTGAGAGCATTAAGTGATACATGAACAGGGAGCATATTTGAAAATACACCATTCTCTGCTACTACAGAAAGATGCACTAAAGCATAGAAATGGAAATATCATCCTTGAAGGCAAGCAAGTCATTCTGCTTTAATGAGAATGGTGTGTGTGGTGGCAGTCTTCAGCTCCAAACTGAAAGCTGTGAACCACCCCCAGAGCAGAAAGACCACCATTGCTTCCCATATGTGTGTATTTTAGGAAGGGGTGATGATTAAGTCTTAGACACCATTTTTGTCACTACCAAAAGAAAAAGACTAAACAGATGTTCTCTGGGCCCTTTCCAAGCCCTGGTTTATTTTGTTCATCAGTGACTTCGGAAGTCTCTTCCCGACCCTTCACTCTTGCAGAAGAGAGGCAAGTAAGAAGTGAATCTTTCAGAAGATGACAATCTGATTTCCAACAATAGTGTCTTGCAGTTTAAAGATTTTAAATAAGTATCATTTGCAAATACATTGTTTAAAGTTTCCCCAGAGATTGCTAGTAAGGCGAATAGCCCTTTGCATTGGTAGAGAAGGAGGACAGAGTCCTAAGTTTTCCAGCGATTTTCAGGTGATCCCTTCCATTCTCCAAGTCCAGGGGAATTTGAGGCTTCTGTGGCATTAGTGATGCCGACAGGCATAAAAACTGAAATCTGAATATCTAAGCTCTGAGTAGTCTGCTTGTTTTGTGTTTGACCCATTATTCAATGGTTGGTGAGTATTTGCCATTCCTCTAAAACTTCGTATTTTGTCACGTTGCCATACTTCTGGAAAATGCCTGGAATACTCCCTCCCCATTCCCTTGGGATTTTCTACTCATTCTTGGAGCTGCAGCTCAAATTTTCCATTCAATGAGATTCTTCTTTGTCCCCGCAAGTGAGAGAGAGAGAGACAGCCACCATCTGTGTCTCCAGAGGGCCTTGTACAGGCGCTATTTATAGCAGCATCATATTATAATTAAATTATGTATTTGTTTTCTGTATTTGTCAGGCTATGGTCAATAAAATAAAGCCCTTTCCAGGTAGTTCAACAGGAGGAATTTAATGCAATAAGCCAGTTACAAAGATGTTGAGAGAGTGAATAAACCAAAGAAGACGTAAGGGGGCATCTCAGATTTTAGTTACACTAGGAAGCTGCTAGCAGTCACAGGGCTAAAAGAACAAAGGTAAAGCATAAGCTGTTACCAGAGCCCAGCAGTCAAGGCTCCCTGGCTAGATCTGGTCCAGTGGAACTAGGATCACTGGAACACCACCTGAAGCAAAGAGAGATGGGGATGATTCTCCCACCATCTACCCAATACCCATCCTCCAATCTCAAGCCAGTGTCCCCACGGCCTTAAACAGAGACCAACGCCTGTTGCTAAGGCTATCTGGGAAATGCAGATTTCAGAGAATGGCCAAGGACTGGATGTGACAGCAAAGAAGCAAGTAACTGCCTCCCATACCCATCTCTCTCAGTAGACACAGAGTTTCATTCTGATTTCTCCAGCACAAGAAAGATACTACACGAGTTTGCTGAGTAAAGTGCTGAACTGAAAGTAAGATCCATTTCCTTTGTATTCTTGTCAAAGGAGCTTATGCCTCTTTAGAAAAATAATACCAACCTTCTTAGCCTAGCCTAAACCATTTTCTTTTTTCCTCCCTTCAGTTACGGTGTTTCCATCTTTGTCTGTTGGCTTTGTACAGTCTACACATTCTCAAACTTCCAGGAGGATGAGAAGCCACTGGTAATCTTGTTTGAAATTTGCATTGAATTTAGTTCTCTGCTCCCAAGGGCCCTGCTCTGTAGGCCAGTCAGGCTAAGAAAGGAGCTGCTTTGCTCTCAGAAACTTTTTAAGTCTTTTCGTTACCAATTTGCCAGCGTGAGCACATAATGAGGTCTTGGAGTAGCAGATAGGGAATTCGTTTCTCAGCCAAGTGGCTGAACTTGTAGCCATCAGATCGTGGACCATTATCTATAATCACTTCACAGATATTCCACAAAGATAATTTTCTTTGTATGATTAAAAAAAAAAAGCCAGGTCTTTCTCAAGGCTTTCATTAAGCCTGGGCCAAAGCAAGATGAGCTCATGTTGATACCTAAGAGGGTGTGTATCTCTTCTCTAAGATGAAACCATGGGGCTTCAGTCCTAGCTGTGAAGCTACCTTCCAAGAAGCAACCAACGGTAACTATATGAATGGGCGTTTACTAGTCTCTGAATCTCTGGGCTGTTTCCCATTCGTCAATTTTTACATGCAGGATCTGTGTTGGTGATGTCTATTTGTCATGACATTCCTCAGAACCTGCTTATACATCAGCTTAGCACCAGATTCCTTGCTCAAGTTCAGGGGGATACAAGATCATAAGCTACTCTGTGGAGAAACAAATCTGGAAAACTCCATGAGAAAAAAAAGTTCTTGTTTGAGAAAGATGGGTAAGTTGGGGACAGTGGTTTGCTGAAGCCAACTTGTGAAGACCCCCAAAAGCTGATTGAGTGCATCTCTTCCCAACTCTGTGTTCAAAATGGCATCATGCTGGTAGCTTGAAATTGACCAGAATGTTGAGTAGTTACACCACAAAGGCTGGCAAACACTGCAACTCGGGGCTTGTTACTATTAAGTCTTCTCAGAAATCTGGTTGCAAAACATGTACCTCTTGAAGGAGAAGAATCCCATCTTTGCCAACCTCTACCCTTTGATAAAGTCCATCAAATAAGGATTACTAAGAACATACTTGTGGCCAAAAAAAAAAAAAAAATAGGTTTGTTAACCAGCTACGACAAGGTTGATGGAACACCACGGGAATTGTGGAGCATCTCATTAAGATGGGGTTGCAGCGGGGCTTGTTATGGGTTTTGGGCTTGTGCAGAATGATTTTTAAGAGGGGCTAGGGAAGATGGAAAGCTCTATATTGGACGCTGCCATGAAGAACAGGCGTTTAGAAACTAGGTATGCAGCAATCATTATTCAGGAGGAAGAAGAGTGAAGTGGGGCTGAGGGAGTCACTGGGAAAGAAGTCGCCATTAGGTAGGAAAGCAATAATTGCTCAAAAGGACAGAGGTTGCCCATCCCTCTGCAGCTGTGGGATGGCCTGGGAGGCACGCTGTAAATTTATGTGGTCTTGGCCAAGTCCCATCACGAACTTTTTTTTTCTTTGTAGATTCTATTGGGAACATCATAGTCTGATAACCAGCAGGTCTAAGACTTGGACTCAGGGTCCTGTTTCCTTGGAAACAGCAAAGTTAAGATAACTGTGGAATGTTGTGTTCAAACTTCTTATCGTCTGGTTTGGAAACCGAGGCTGCTTCCCTATGTCAAAGTGACCCATGAGGCTTGGCCCCTCCACAAGAACGGGCTGCCCTTTCCCATCAAAGCGAACCAAACAGCAAACTTTCTCAGAGCGTGGGATCTTAGAAAACATGGGTTCTCCACAGTTTCACTGAGGTTGGTTAACAAAATCAGTTTTTTCTGGTTCACACCTTCTACTACCCTTCATCCACTCACCATTGCTGACTTCATGCTCACTCGTCTTGCTACTAGATTCACAGGGAACGTGGTTGCATTCTTGCCCAAAGAAAGTACAAATATGATAAAAGATTTCAAAAACCTTTATATCTTTTTCTTATTTTTTATTTTTTAGAGACAGGATCTCATTATGTTGCCCAGGCTGGCCTCGAACTCCTGGGCTCAAGTGATCCTCCAGGCTTAGCTTCCCAAGTAGCTGGAACTAGAGGTGTGCACCACGCTGCCTGGCTCAAGACTTATATTTCTGAAACACCTGTTGTCTCCAGAACTGAACACAGTGCCTGGCACAAAGTAAGTACCTAATAAATGCCTATGGGATAAAATGCCATAGGATGAGAGATATTTGGGAGTGATATAGGACTTCGGCATGTCTCAGCCCACACTGTGTGGATAGCTCACACTGTGTATTTACAGGTCATTTGTTGCAATAATGGTCAAGTTCCTTTTTCAGTAGCAAGTTCTCTCCAATGTCAGGTGGATAGGAAGGCAAATGTGGTATCTGCAGCTGTGTCCTGTAGGTGTGGCCCTTGCTGGGAGTAAACATAAAACATGGTCTTTTTCTACCATTCACATCCCTAAGGCAACATGCCACAAATGACCAGCACTTTCAGCATTGCTTCTCTTAATGTGGTCTCCACACCACCTGCACCAGACTCACCTGAGATGTTTGTTTTTAAAAATGCAAATTCTCCTCTCCACCCCAGATCGACGGAATTGGAAACTTTAACACTGGAAACCAAGGCCTGCAGTTTTCACAATCTTCCCCACGCAATGCTTGTGCATGCTCAAGTTTGAGAACAACTGATCCACATGATGTGACTTTTTTTTTTCCTTATGGTCTCCTCATCTAACAAATCAACAGGAATGTATTGATGCTGGACAGTCATTCACTTGTCCACTCAAGCAACATTGACTGAGTGTCAGGTACAGAGGTAACCGCACTGAAGAAAATACTCAAGGTGCCTACAGTTGCCCAGGAAACCCATCTGTCAAGGTTGTTTGCCCTGAAGAGAGAGAGGTTTTGTTTGACTTTGTTTAGATGAAAAAGATAAAAATGGCATCATGCTTCCTGACCAACAATCAGAGATGTTAATATTTCCAAGCTAAGCTGTTGAACAGGGTTACTTCTCAGAGGATGGGTTTGGTTGGGAGGGGGTAGTGTAATAAACTTGATTGCACCACCCCAATTTTTGTTGTGCCCTCTCTCCCATCCACTCTCCACCTCCGAGGCTCTCAGCGGAGAGCTCAGTGCACAGCCTAGTACCCTAGCCATTGCTTCCTCTCCAGTGGACTCAGCTTCTCTCCTGGCACCTGCCGTGGTGGGAGCTGAAGCACGAAGAACTATAGATCCCATGCCCTGGCCCCACATGACCAGATCCCTTGGAGGGTCTGCTTCTCCCATCCCTCCCAGACTTCAGTGATGTTCAAGGATCTCGCTTGCTCAAAGCCTACAGGCCCTGGGATGCCCGCATGGGGCAAACTGGCCAATAAAGAACAAGACAGGCATCGCTGTCGTTCTTGGGCTCCTCTGCTTTGGGATCCTATGTTTCTTAATGTACTGTCAAATTTAATTATAGACTAAAGACATTTGCTGATGTGTAGGTACTCATATTTTCCATATCTCTGCAGCTGTTGGAGGATATGATCTTGCCAAATGAGAGATTAAACCAAGAAACAAGAAGTCACAGGATCTAGAACACACAGGCTCAAAAATAAAACGATGGCAAAAGGAAGTTGAGCCAGTTCTCTGAATTCCTTCTCTGCTACTACATGACCTCTCTAAGGGCTGAACGAAAGAACAGATGAACTAAAAATGCTTTGAAAAAGTGTTTGATAGCAAACATCCTCACATTGACTGGCCTGCAGAACAGAGCCTTAAAGAACAAATAATCTTACATGAATTTAGTGCCAACTGCAAGAGGATGACCAGCATTTTCTTATCAATCTTTCAGCTAAGCATAGAATTTTAGGCTGGGGCCAGGCACGGTGGCTCACGCCTATAATCCCAGCACTTTGGGAGGCCCAGGTGGGCAGATCACCTGAGGTCACGAGTTCGAGACCAGACTGACCAACATGGAGAAACCCTGTCTCTATTAAAAATACAAAATCAGTCCCAGGCGTGGTATCACGTGCCTGTAATCCCAGCTACTCGGGAGGCTAGGCAGAAGAATCACTTGAACCCAGGAGGTGGAGGTTGTGGTGAGCCGAGATCACACCATTGCTCTCCAACCTGGGCAACAAGAGTGAAACTCCATCTCAAAAATAATAATAATAATAATTTTAGGTTGGAAATCATTTTCCCTTTGCATGTGGAAGGCTTTGGTCCATTGCCTTGTGGCTCATGGTGTTGCTGTTGGAAAATCCAGTACTATTCTTTTTCCTAATCCTTCTTTTAAGGCTGATTTCTGGAATCTTTTAGGTCATTCCATGACCACAGGTTCCATGATGCTACGTCTCTATGTAGGCGTATTTTCAGTCTTTGATATGTTCTCAGCATATTATGGGCTATTTCAATCTAGAAACTTGTGTCCATCAGCTCTGGGAAGTTTTCTTGTATTAATATTTTAATAATTCTGTGCACTCTATTTTCTTATTTCCTGTTTCTGGAATTCCTGTCCATCAGATCTTGGATTTCCTCATTCAATTCTGATTTTCCAGTTTTTCATTTTCTATTTTCCATGTCTGTTTTTTTAAAAAAATCCATTTCCCTCTTCTAACCTTTGTAATAAAATGCTGTAAGAGGAGATATTCTAGTTTTGGGTTTTTTGTTTGTTTGTTTGTCTATGACAGAGTCTCACTCTGTCGCCCAGGCTGGAGTGGAGTGACGCAATCTTGGCTCACTGCAACCTCCATCTCCTGGGTTCAAGGGATTCTCTTGCCTCAGCCTCCCAAGTAGCTGGGATTACAGGTACACACCACCACACCCAGCTAATTTTTTTGTATTTTTAGTAAGACGGGGTTTCACCATGTTGGCCAGGCTGGTCTCAAACTCTTGATCTCAAGTGATCTGCCTGCCTTGGCCTCCCAAAGTGCTGGGATTACAGGAGTGAGCCACCATGCTAGTTTTAATCTCCATAGCTTCATTCGTATTCTCTAATTATTCCTTTTTCTTTTCTTTTTTTAAATTATGGAAAAACACATATCACACAAACTTTGCCGCTTTAAACATTTTTTAAGTGCACGACTTAATGGCATTAAGTACATTCACAATGTTGTACAACCACTTCACAAGCCAGTTCCATAACTTTTTCATCCAATATGAAAACTCTACCCATTAAACAACTTTCCATTCCTCCCTCGCCCCAGTGCCTGTAAATCACCATTCTACTTTCTGTCTCTATGAATTTGACTACTGTAGGTACCTCATATAAGTGGAATCACATGGTATTTATCCTTTTGTGTCTGGTATATTTAGATAAGCATGTTTTTGAGGTTCACCCATGTTGCAACATGTATCAGAATTTCATTCCTTTGTAAGACTGAAAAATATTCCACTGTATGTATATACCATCTTCTATTTATTCATTCATTCATCAATGAACATTTGAGTTGTTTCTAACTTTTGACTATTGTGTATAATGTAGCTATAAACATGGGTGTACAATATCTGCTTAAGTCCCTGCTTTTAATTCTTTTCTTTGTGATTGCTGTGGTTCAGCATTTCCCAAATGATGTTTTGAGGAATTGTGTTTACAAGGGTGTTAATCAAAATATATAAAGAAAGGATTCCATGGCCAAATAAAACAAGGGAATTGTTAGGTCACAAGCAATGTCCGGCAATGGCAATATCTTTTCAACAAGTTGGGTAGCACTCTTCAATAAATGCCTTCCGAGCCAACTTAAAATCCACATAAACTTATTGACATTAATGATATAATTCATCTCATTGTGGCACGTCTCTTATTATTACGAACACACACATATGGGAAACACATACACAGTGTTGGTCCATTTCACATTGCTATAAAAGAATACCTGAAACTGGGCAGTTTATAAGGAAAAGAGGTTTATTTGGCTCACGGTTCTGCAGGCTGTATAAGCATGGCACCAGCATCTGCTCAGCTTCTGGTGAGGCCTCAAGAAGCTTTTACTCATGGCAGAAGGTGAAGGGGGAGCAGGCATGTCACATGGGAAGAAAGGAAGTAAGAGAGAGGGGAGGAGATGCCAGGATCTTTTAAACAACCAGCTCTCGAGTGAACTAACAGAGCCAGGACTCACTCATTAGTTCGGGGAAGGCACCAGGCCATTCATGAGGGATCTGCCCCCACAACAAAGACACCTCCCACCAGGCCCCACCTCCAGCTCTGGGGATCTCATTCCAACACAAGGTTTGGAGGGGACAAACATCCAAACGATCACACACCTATATTAGATTCAGCTTGCATATCTATCCTATTCCTCAGATGTGGTTCTAAATTATTTTAGAGCTAAAATACTAAAAAAAAAAAAAAAAAAAGCCTTCATGTCTATGGAGGAATTCCAAACAACGCTTTGAGAAATGAAAGTCAAGGTAAGCCTAGAACCATCCAAGATAAGTCCTTCAAAAGCGACAGCATACAGTTGAACACAGAAGCCCTGTGTATGAATAATTTTTTAGTCTTTTATTTCTACGGCCCCAACTTATACACTTAAATGAGGCACGTCCTATAGGGTGGCTTCCAACTTCCTGAAAAACAAGGATTCATCATGGCCAAAATGGCCAATGAAGTCTTCTCCCTTGGCAGGCATCAAAACCATCAAGGGTTTGGGCTTCTGTTTTCTTTATTCTTTCTGTTAAGCTCTTCCTATGAAGTTGTCCCACATTTGATGTGTCCTTTGTTCAAATACCACTCATTCCCTGCCAATTTAGAAAAACATGCTTTCGTTCTACTGCTACAGCTGAAAGGAAGGATAAAAGAGGGTCTGGGATTTTTTTTCAAGGGTAGGTGGGGAGAAGTATTTTCCAAAAGCACCCAGCAATTTTCTCCATTCCCAATTTTGACATTTCTTTCATGGTTCATCTCTTTTTTGAAGAAAGACGATTCTTGTATGCCAAAATGCCACTTGTTACAAATGCAGTCGGCATCCCTGAAACACTCATAGGGTAACTTTGTGATCTGCTGAAGTGTCTGGGTGACACAGTGTGCAGCTCAGCTGCCAGGACCCTAAATGAATGCCGATTACAATTAAATGCAAATTAGTTGCAGCAGTACATACATAATTTCTTCAGCTGCCTCCGTATTGCAAGGCACAAATGCCATTCCAGACTGTTATAATTAATTGCCCCCAGATAAGTGTATGAAGAATATCTCCATCATTTCATCTTTCATCGTTGATGATTTATCCATCTGACACAAGGAGCATGAGTTTACCAGTTAGGCAGTTTAATTAGGTTAATTGCTGCACCGCCAGTATACTGTGGAAGTCACTAGACTGTCTGCTGCCTAGCCACCTTGTCTTTATGCATTACAGCATACCCCACGCTGAACTGCAGGTGAAACCAGGCACAGCACCTGCGGCATGGTAACACTGTCCTTCTGGTCGAATTCGCAGTGTCTCTCTAGTGCCCAGCACTGTGCCTGGCACATAGTAAGTGCTCATTAAATTTGTTAACTAAATGGATGAATGAATGTTCTAGAGTGTTACTTTTATCACTGAAATGTTTTACTGCCACAGGAAGTCAGAGAAGCTCTATAAATGAGAGGATCAGAGGACAAGAAAATGGCTGGTGAGGACAGAGCCCATGACAGAGTATCTGTCTGCCTTGCTACATTTCTGCAGCTGTCAAGCTGAGCCTAAGGTCGGCCTGGCCTGGTCCACTTCCATTGGGATGTGTTAAAAGTGGAGAGTGTCGGAACATCAGAACACTGTCTGGGAACCATGTGGTCACACTTTCCCTTCAAACAGAGACTCAAGAGCTCACAGCGTGGTGCTGGTATCTCTGCCAGCACCCTACAAAGTGTCTTTGCAGATGTCTCCATTTGACCAGTGAGCGTTACAATGGACCCATTCATGAAGTGAAAAAGCTCCTTATTGCATGAGTCAGAGGTCACTCGCTACAACCAAAATAGGCTTTCCTGCCATCATTGCCACTCTGAAGTGGCTGCCCAGCTACGGCTATACGGTCTAACTCATCTTGCATCTGGGTGGCCTCATATGACTAGTTCTCACCAAAGGAATTGTGACAGATTCCCTATAGTCGACCACACCAGTAACTCCCACTTCATATTGTTTCATAATATGATGTTGCACTCCTGTAATAAGCCATGGTCTCTATGTTCTCTCCCTTTCAATCTGGGTAAGCTTGTGAGGCTTATCAGGCCAAGTCACAAAAGGTGATACAGCTTCCGTCCAGGCCTGTTGGGACACTCTTGGAACCCAGCCACCAAGGTGTGAGGCAGCCCAGCAGCCACATGAAAAGTCCAAGTGTGGGTGTCCTGGCTATGGCCACAGTTGACGTACACAGAGACACCAGCCTTTGAGGTGAAGGGGAGGGGCTGGTGAGTTGTCCAATACCTCCACCCCTGCCTTTGAGCAATCCTGGGAGACACCAAGTGGAAGAGAAGCAAGCAGTCCCCACCAAGCCCTGCCCAAATTGCAAATTCATGGGGAAAACAGATGTTGTCACTGCTGTAATGCACCAAGTTTGGGGTGATTTGTTACACATCAATAAAGAACTGGAATGGGAATGTGGGTGGAAATGATCTTTGTCACTTCCAGTCCAGGCATTCAGGAACTGGGGATGCCTTCTCCACACCTTCTCCTTCTCCAAGGCCGTCGGACCACAAGATGAAAAGAACCAAGTATCCCAGCCAGGTGCAGTGGCTCACACCTATAACCCCAGCACTTTGGGAGGCCAAGGCAGGCAGATCACGAGGTCAGGAGATGGAGACCATCCTGGCTAACACAGTGAAACCACATCTCTACTAAAAATAAAAAAAATTAGCTGGGCGTGGTGTCACACGCCTGTAGTCCCAGCTATTCAGGAGGCTGAAGCAGGAGAATCACTTGAACCTGGGAGGAGGAGGCCAAGATCACGCCACTGCACTCCAGCCTGGACAACAGAACAAGACTCCATCTCAAAAAAAAAAAAAAAGAGAGAGAGAGAGAGAACCAGGTATCCTGATTGCTACACTGTGGCAAGTCTTGGCTCAACCAAAAATACCTGCATCAAACTGCTCAACAGCTAGAAATAAATTTCTTTTTTTTTTTTTTTGAGACGGAGTCTCGCTCTTTCGCCCAAGCCGGAGCACAGTGGCGCGATCTCAGCTCACTGCAAGCTCCGCCTCCCGGGTTCACACCATTCTCCTGCTTCAGCCTCCTGAGTAGCTAGGACTACAGGCACCCGCCACCGCGCCTGGCTAATTTTTTTTTGTATTTTTATTAGAGACGGGGTTTCACCGTGTTAGCCAGAATGGTCTCGATCTCCTGACCTCGTGATCCGCCTGCCTCAGCCTCCCAAAGTGCTGGGATTACAGGTGTGAGCCACAGCGCCCGGCCTAGAAATAAATTTCTAGTGTGTGAAGCCATTAAAATTTAACAGTTTATATTTTTATAGCATCTAAAATTACCCTAACTAATTCAATTCATTTTTTCTACTCTGTCCCAAACCTTCCACTTTCACCAGTATTTTCTTCTCTGTTCGTTTCCCAATTTTCTGATTAATATTAACCATTGTGTTTCTGTTCAATTAGCCTCACACCAAGAGATGAACAGTGTGTATTCTCAGAAGGACAACACTCACAAACTTTGAACCCCATTGGGTGGTGGTTAGTCTGAGGGTGAAGGAAGAGTAGGAACTCCCCCCAGCCTTTTTTTTTTTGAGACGGAGTTTCACTCTTGTCGCCTAGGCTGGAGTGCAGTGGTGCAGTCTCGGCTCACTGCAACCTCCACCTCCCAAGTTTAAGCAATTCTCCTATCTCAGCCACTCCCCCCAGTAGCTGGGATTACAGGTGCCCACCACAACGCCTGGCTATTTTTTGCACCTTTTAGTAGAGACGGGGTTTACCATGTTGGCCAGGCTGGTCTCGAACTCCTGACCCCAAGTGATCCGCCTGCCTCGGCCTCCCAAAGTGCTGGGATTACAGGCATGAGCCACCGCGCCCGGCCAGAAACTCCGCCTTCTTATCCCTCCTCCTCAACACCTCAGTGACAAGGGCAGCACTCATGAAAGACAAGAGGGAAGGAAGAAACATAAGTCAGCAGCCTGGATCTCTGCGCTTCACTCCAGAGGGGATCTCGTATAGTGAAGCTGGAGCATCATCAAGTGGACTTCTTGGGGTAGATCACGTTGATGTCCTGGCCATTTCGTAACCAATTTAGAGGGAGCAGACAGATATCTGACCCCCAGGGGCTCCAGTACCAGATGAAGGGCTAAGAAAATGAGAGTTTCAGGGGAGCACCTGCTCTTGGCCTCCTGTTTCCCAGTGCCCAGTCCCTTCCCCACAGCCCTGAGGGATCTGGGTCCAGAACTTGTCTCTTGAGCTCTCCATTGATAAGAATCTTCCCATCTCCCTGGTTCTGACGGGCCCCATGCCACCAAACCCTCCCGGCTAATAATGCCACATCTTATAGAGTCATTTCTGACTCCTGAGAACATGAAAGCAGAGCACACGAGCTCATGTTAACACATAAGTATGAGTCACTGCTGCAGGGGGTGGATGATGAACTTCTGTGGGTGGCTTTTCAGCATTTCAGGATTCTGAGAGATCCCTAAAAGGCCTTGCCCTCTGCCTAGTATTAAAATTCACTTTCTAACTGAAAACATACTTGGAAAAAATTGAGACAGTCTTCTGGGGAGCTCAGATTATGTTCATAATGCGCTGGCTGGGGAACCTTGGTGTGAACCGTGGTGTTCCAGGTAGTGATTTTTTGAATGTTCAGCATAAAGTATGAGTGCCCCCAACCCAGTCCTTGACCCATGCATCCCCTAACAGCAAGGAACCTGCCCCATGTCCACCCACAACTTCCTTTCTGATGGTATTACTTATACTCCACTACTTATAGTTGCCTCAAGCTTTCTTTGCTTAATTTTTAATTTTTTTTTTTTTTCCTGCAAGGCTGGATGGCAGCTTCCCAGTGAAAAATTGGGATCCAATTCAAGATGAAAAGACTTTACCAGTAAAGGGAAAAGTACAATAAAAATACCCCCTGGTTCATGTTTAATTTCTGAATTCCAATAAGAACTCATTTTATCAGTGGATTTAAAAATCTCCTGAACTCACAACTCGGGTGCAATCACAAACAAATGCAGGGCTGTGGGGTCTGCTGTGTAGCCAGCCCTGGAGCAGTAGAGAGTGAGTTCATGTGCCATTTCCCCCAAATGGGTTGTGGAAGAATTTTTTGGCTTTTTATGCTTCATCAGAGACCCCAGAGTAGAATTCAGCATTTCACAGTTCATTCCTGAGTTGAACAAGCCCATTTTCTATGGGGAACTCAAGAATGTTAGCAAGTTCCTCATCTTCACATGGTTTTGAGCGTGGTCTAATCCCTTATCTCTTCATGAGCTGTTTGGCTCATGCTGTTTTGATTTCACCGGAACGGCTGAGCCTTCAAGATCCCTGGCTCTGGCCTTGTCTCTTCAATGGGTCCCTTTGGGCCTCTGGGCTTAATGTCTTCAATGGAGATCTTGTGGGATATGGGATAATGTTTCCAAATTTGTTTTCCAGAGCCTCAGCCCCTGGGAGCAGCCTAGCCGGGGTTTTGTCAGTGTCCCCCAGCCCCTCCTTCCTTTCCTCTTTCTCCCCCTCCCATCCCTCTCCCTCCTCCATCAGCAGCTCCCTCCCTGTTGGCTTCATCACTCAAGGCTGATCTGGGAGAAGCCATAAGGGTGTTTGGTGGCTGGGCTCAGCTGGAGAGACTCAGAGGTGCCAAAAGCCAATTTCTAGTTTCCAACCTCTCCATCTTTCACTAGTTCTGAACAGATTTGGGGATTTTAAAGGCTTTCATCAATGCATAAAACCTCTTTTCACTCATCCGTGTCCCTGGAGATCTCCATTAAAGGGACAGCCACTCTCCACCCCATGAAAAGATTCTTTTTTTTTTTTTTTTTTTTTTGAGACAGAGTCTCGCTCTGTCGTCCAGGCTAGAGTGCAATGGCGCTATCTCGGCTCACTGCAACCTCTGCCTCCTGGGTTCAAGCAATCCTCTCACCTCAGCCTCCCGAGTAATTGGAATTACAGGAGGTTGCCACCATGCCTGGCTAATTTTTGTATTTTTTTAGTAGAGATGGGGTTTCACCAGGTTGGCCAGGCTGGTCTCGAACTCCTGACCTCAAGTGATCCGCCTGCCTCAGCATCCCAGATTGCTGGGATTACAGGCGTGAGCCACCATGCCTGGCCAAGACTTTTTTTCTTCTTATTAAGGGAGTCAGGACTGATGGTGCTACTGAGTGCACAGTGGCCTCAAGAAACCCCCAGGACTAGGTGAAACCATTACCCCCGTTGACTTGAAAAATCAGTGGGGATGGGAGGAGCTGTCTTCCAAGGTAGCCCCCCCTCCAGTGCTGGGCCCCTCATCTCCTACAGACCCAGGCTCTGTAACCACTGCTGGATTGCTGAGAAACTAAGAGCATCTGCCTGAGGAAAATAAGCTGAGATCCTTAACAAATCCAGATTCTCCGGCAAATCAGATGAAGAGGAATGTAAATGCAGGGTGAATTGCATTATGCTTTAGGCCAATACCACTCAGGGCCCAGGCACACAAGCTGTGTGATTAGATGAGGCCTTCAAGTTGCAATCAGGCTTCAAATCTGATGTTCCACTCTTCACATATAGGAGCTGATGGAGTCCTAGGGTCACAAAGGAAACAAAAGACAGAGCGTTCTAACGGCATATTTCACAGATGCAAACACTTACACCCAGAGTATAAGACATGCCCAAAGCCACGCTGGACTCATTATGCCCTCGATCCAGGAAGCATTTCTGGAATAGGTGCTGAGAGCCAGGAGGTGAGACCTCCCATAGGCACAGTCCCTGTCTTCAAGGAATTCCCAGTCCAATCAGGGACACGAGCTTGTAAACCTGGCATCTCCTATACCTGGCCCTCAGCCCAGATCTGAGTGAGAACCTCTGGGGCTGGACCTCAGGGCACACTTATTTAGACACTGCAGATGGTCCTGATGTGGGCTCCAGGCTGGGGACTCCTGTAGACACACAGAATGGGATAAGAGAACCAGAAGAAGCAGCTCACCGTACAGAGGGAAGAAGAGAAGAGTGGCGAGAACCCAGGGAGGGAAGTAATGAATGTATGCCTTCATTCCACACTTTTGTTTTGTTTTGTTTGAGACAGAGTCCAGGCCAGGCTAGAGTGCAGTGGTGCAATCTCGGCTCACTGCAATCTCCGCCTCCCTGGTTCAAGGGATTCTCCTGCCTTAGCCTCCCAAATAGCTGGGATTATAGGCACGCACCACCACACCTGGCTAATTTTTGTATTTTTAGTAGAGACGAGGTTTCACCATATTGGCCAGGCTGGTCTCAAACACCCAACCACAGGTGATCCACCCACCTCAGTCTCCCAAAGTGCTGGGATTACAAGCGTGAGCCACCGTTCCCACAGATGCTTATTGAGAGCCTGGAATGCCTCCTGGGTGCTGGGACTATGGCAGTGAGCAAAACAGATTTTAAAATCCCCATTCCTGTGGAGATGATGGGTCTTGATCTCTCCGTATATCTTCACGATTGGTGGAGAAGTAAAGGAAGAGAAGTGCTATGATTCGAATGTCTGTCCTGTCTGAACCCCATGTTGAAATTTGATCCCCAATGTGGCAGAGTTGAGAGGAGGGGCCTTTAAGAGGTAACTGGGTCATGAGGACTCTGCCCTCATCAGTGGATTAATCCATTCATGGATTAATAGGTTGACAGATTAGTAAATTATCATTGGAATGGAGCTGCTGGCTTTACAAGAAGAGGAAAAGGCCGGGGGCAGTGGCTCACACCTGTAATCCCAGCACTTTGGGAGGCTGAGGTGGGCAGATCATGAGGTCAGGAGATCGAGATCTTCCTGGCCAACATGGTGAAACCCCTTCTCTACTAAAATGGAAAAAAAAATTAGCCAGGCATGGTGGCGGGCGCCTATAGTCCCAGCTACTTGGGAGGCTGAGGCAGGGGAATCTCTTGAACCCAGGAGGCGGAGGTTGCAGTGAGCCGAGATTGCACCACTGCACTCCAGCCTGGCGATAGAGCGAGACTCCATCTAAAAAAACAAAAAAAAAGGAAAAGAGACCTGAGTCAGGACACTCAGACTCTCACCATGTGACACCCTGTGCCACCTCAGTCCCCACCAGCTATGACCCATCAATCTTGGACTTCTCAGACTCCCTAAGTGTAAAAAATACTTTTCCTTTCTTTACATATTACCCAGTTTCAGGTATTCTGTTACAAGCAACAGAAAATGGACTAAGACAGGAAAGGGTAACTAAAGGCAAGGAACAGCAGTGGAGTAAAATGAGAGAGGCAGAAGAGGTGGATGGAGAACGGCTTCACCGAGCACGGATGGAGGGGAGATGATGCATGAGGGGGGCATGACGAAGCTGGAGACGGGGGCTTGTGCTGAAGGTGCTGGAGAGAATATTGCCAAGAAGAGGAGGAAGAGCTGAAGGGACAGGGAGTTTAAGATGTGGGCTCCAAAACACGGTGTAGATGATGACAAGTTCCAGGTTGTGACCCTGGGATGCTGCGTTGGAGTGGAGGTCAAGCTCTGGGGGGGGCGGCAGCAGCTTTCAGACTGCGAAAGTCCATGACTTGCCCATCCACTGAAAAGGAAGTAACCGCCCCCTGCACAGCCTTGTTTTTGTGCCTTCTACCTACGTTACCAGCTGTGAAATAAAACTAACCGTTGTTACCACTTCAAGCACTTGGGGTTTGTTTTGTTTCTTTTTGAACTGAAGTAACCATGGGTACCTGGTAACCTTGGATAGATAAGTGTGTATCTGAGTTTCCCTCTGAAAACCAAGCTGTTGATGGATTTCCTTGACAGTGTATTCTTTCCTGTAACTAATATTAAATCTAAAAAAAAATGAAATTGCTGGAAAAGTACCCATTTATGTTATGCTTTATTCCTCTAGTTAACTGATAGGGTGATTTTTTTTTTTTGAAACAGAGTTTCGCTCTTGTTGCCCAGGCTGGAGTACAATGGCGCCATCTCAGCTCATCGCAACCTCTGCCTCACGGGTTCAAGCAATTCTCCTGACTCAGTGTCCTGAATAGCTGGGATTACAGGCATGCGCCACCATGCCCAGCTAATTTTGTATTTTTACTAGAGACTGGGTTTCTCCAGGTTGGTCAGGCTGGTCTCGAACTCCCAACCTCAGATGATTTGCCCATCTCGGCCTCCCAAAGTGCCGGGATTACAGGTGTGAGCCACCACGCCTGGCGGTGATTTTTTTTAATACAGGAATTTCAGGCTTGGTCTGGGGAAAATGTATAAACAAAAATTCCCTGAAATATGCAAGTTTACTATTATGATTTGCCCTGAAAATAATATGCTGATCAACTCTATGCTTTTTTTCATGTATATTTGTTAAATTCTGGTTCTTAATTACAGCTTTGCATCACAAACAATGGTTACGTAAGTGTTTTGTTGTGTTTTGCTTTGCTTTGCCTTATTTTACAAATTTGATTGTGGTTTCTGAAAAGCCTTGAATTATTTCAAGGAGTTATTTATTCGTGTAGATGAATATCTCTATCCAATAGACCTGGAAGCTGATACTAAAACGGCTGACCAAAAGATAGATGCATTTGTGACCCTTGTCTCCCCAGAAACTACTGGAAGGACCAAATTTATGATCACAACAACCTTTGGTGCTGGCCTTTGTGCAATTTCCTTGCTAGGGCTCTGTGGCCTCTCTCATAGCAACCTAGCTAAGGGGAGGGTCCCTATGTGTGTGGGCACCAGCACATAGCGGAATTGAGAGACTTGTGTTTGCATCTTGGGGCTGCCACTTTGTAAGTAGAAAGGCTTTGGTTTCCTCAATTTCACAATGAGATTAGAATATCCTTTTCCTCCCTCACTTCTCCAATAATCTGGATGCTATGCAAAGAGATCAAGTCCCATCACCTCCATCATAACAGGGACTTTTTATTTAAATTTGTGTTGTTCTCTACCATAGTCGCAGCACCCAGGAGAGTGATGGACACGGGAAAGGCTCTCCTAAACAGCTGCTGAATGAATGCATGCATTCATTACTTCACTCTTCTCTCCTTCCCTCTGCATGAGTGAGCGGCTCCTCCTCTTCTCCCACCCATACTGTGGACTTCCAGGACCTCCAATCCTGAGTGAGCATCAGGATGACTCAGGGTTGGGCTGAGGGCCGGGTCGGGGAGGAGCCAGGTTTACAAGCTCATGTCCCTGATTAGACTGGGAATTCCTTGAGGGCAGGGACTGAGTCTCTGGGAGTTCTCACCTCCTGGCTCCCAGCACCTGTTCCGTAAATGCAAAGTGTCGCCCAGAGAAAGTATGCACTCGGCATCTATGGGTCTACTCCTCAGACTGTCTGACTCTGAGACTTGTTAGATCTTGCAGTCCACAGAAGCACTTTACCCAGGTTCCTTCAAAACATCTCCTATCAAGGAGTTTCATCCGGGCTTCTGAGGACCTGGCTTGAGGGAAGGAAGGGGGAATTCCTGACTTCAACATTCCTCACTGCTCTGGACATAAGGGTTCACTTCTGGGGGCACAGGCACGCCCAGCCTCCCCTCTGCTGATGCAGAAAGTGGAGCCGTATTTCACGTTTTGTTCAGGCCCCTCACCCCCAGGGGCCCACAGCCTGGCAATCGATCCCAAAGCCTCTTGCACCGCTCCTCCTAGATGGCCCTAGGACCTCAAGTTTTGAGGGAACAAACATTCTGGTCCAGTACCCTAGAGAACCCGAGTCAATATGGTAGCATGTACGTGAGCCCAACTAATCCTGGGAAACAAAGTTCGTCCCTATGATGAGCATAATTTTCAGAAGGAAGATAGTATATTTTGTAGGAAAGAGCATGGGGTTTGGAGGCCTGGGACTTTGGTTTATGATCTTACAATCTGTCTCCTCTTGCTAGCTTTGTGACCTGTGGTGACTCACTTAGCTTCTCTCACTTATAGATCTGACATCTGCAAAGGAGCATATTAAGCATAGCCACCTCCAGAGTTTTTGTTAGATGAATCAGAGCACAGATCCGTCTCCCTGACTGGTTGCTAATTAATCTGTGTTGCTAATTAACCTTCCCTCCCCTGCAATCCACACCCCAAGCCCTTGGTCATATCACTGCATTGTCCAACAGAAAGGAAGTGTAAGAAATATGGATTCTTCTTTTAAAACCCTGATAAATTACTTAATGGAAGGTGGAGGAGGTTAGGTCTGTTTTGGGTTGAAATGGGTTTTCATGAGTGAGTTGCAGATCACTTAGTCCCCCATCCCTCCCTCAGTTTCCCCTGGAGAGGCTGCACTCCAAGCATATACCTGTCTCCTATCATGTGGAATCCAAGTCAGCTCTTCGTTTCACATCAGCAGGCTTTCTCTTCAAAACAACCCCACTTTGCTACTACATGACCCCCTCTTATACAGAGGAGTTTGCCACAAATTACTCATCAACATGGGTCTGGGCACATAATTGCTTCATCTCCCAGGCTTGGCACATCTGTGTAAATAGTTTTGATTAGTTTCAGTCTCACTTAATAGTAACAGTTGTGTGGGCCAAGGGAGGTTAGGCTTGATCTTAGACTAAACCAATTAGCAGCAAGGCTCCCACTCCCCCGTCTTTCTGCCCCACCCCTGCATCAATGCCTGCATTTGTAGCAGTGAACAATCTCTAAGGTGATTGTGCCAAGTTCTAAGCCGGGACTTTCAAAGACTTGCCTGGGTACTGCCGCCTCTGCACATAAACTTTGAGAGCACTGTCCAGTCTGGACTGAGCCTAGCTACCTCTGCTATAAGTCACCTTTAACGTAAGTTGCTCTTTTGGGGGCTTCCATAGTTTAAATATGTTGAAAGTTGGCCTCTAACGTGAGCTTCACCCAGTAGAGCCAAGTTGCATGGTTTATAAAAAATGTTATTTCAGTTATGTGATATCCTTTAAACACAGAAATGCACTGAAAATGGGCCAGGCATGGTGGCTTATGCCAGTAATCCCAGCACTTTGGGAGGTCAAGGCAGATGGATCACTTGAGATCAGGAGTTTGAGACCAGCCTGACCAACATGATAAAACCCCACCTCTACTAAAAATACAAAAATTAGCTGGGCGTGGTGGCAGGTGCCTGTAATCCCAGCTACTTGAGAGGCTGAGGCAGGAGAATCACTTGAACCTGGGAGGTGGAGGTTGTGGTGAGCCAAGATCATGTCACTGCACTTCAGCCTGGGTGACAGAGTGAGACTCCATATCAAAAAAAAAAAAAAAAAAAAGAAAAGAAAAGAAAAAAGAAACATACCGAATATGTAAAAGCTCCCAATTTTAGCTCAGTGGTTACTTGGCAGATATCAACCCAATGACCACAACCAAGGAGGATTGATTGATTGATTGATTATTTTAGATTCAGGAGGTACATATATTTGTTTGTTACATGGGTATATTACATACCAGTGGGGATTGGGCTTCCAGTGTCCCCAATATACCAGTAGTGAACATTGTACCCAACAGGTAAGTGCTCAACCCTTGTCCTTCTTCCATCCTCTCTGCTTTTGGAGCCCCCAGTGTCTATTATTTCCATCTTTATGATCATTCGTACCCATTGTTTAGTTCCCACTTATAAGTGAGAACACGCGGTATTTGGTTTTCTGTTTTTCAGTTAGTTCACTCAGGATGATGGCCTCCAGCTCCATCCACATTGCCGCAAGAATGGTATATATAAACCATGGAATACTACACAACCATAAAAAGAATGAAATCATTATTTTCATTAGTATTCCATGGTGTATATAGACCACATTTTCTTTATCCAGTCAACCACTGATGGGCACTCAGCTTGGTTCCGTGACTTTGCTATTGTGAATAGTGCTGCAATAAATAGGTATATTATTTATATGGTCTCTTTTCCTTTGGGTAGATACCCACTCATGCACTCATAGGATTGCTGGGTTGAGTAGAAGTTCTATTTTTAGTTCTTTGAAAACTCTCCATACTGTTTATCACAGAGTTGAGCTAATTTACATCCTCACCAACAAAGCGTAAGTGTTCCCTTCTCTCCACATCCATGCCAACATCTGCACAACCAAGGAGGATTTAGCAAGAGGATTTTATTCCTTGCAACTAGTAACAAGAACACCTGGGATAACTCCCAAAGCAGTGCCTCCTCGAGCTGGGGGCTAGGTCCGGTTTTATAAGGATAGGGTAATAAGGTGTGATCTGATTGGATTTCACAATGAAGTGATGTCAAAAGCCACGATCTGACTAGATCCTGCCATGAGGTGATGCCAGGGCTCGATCTGATTGGATCCTGATCCTGCCCTGCAGTGTCCGCTTCTTATTTCAGTCCCCACTCCTCAGTCCAAGCACTTAGGTTCCCCTGTGGTTGCATGCCTTGGCTCATCAGGGCATGCTCATGATCTTCAACCTGGGAGTCCCGGGCAACTGAAAAACAAATCACAACTTTGTTACATAAAAGTTGAACCAGATTGGTCTGGTGCAGCTACAGCACTGGCAATAGTGGAGCCATGGGCTGTGTGTCAGCTGGCAGATGAGCTGGCAGATGATCTGGAAATTAAGGTGGCTGTTTTGCCATCCCGTCTCTTTGAGCTGGTGGAGCCTCTAAGCTGGGACTCTGAGCAGAATCTAGAAATGACTGGTTATCTCCTGTTCACTGATACTCGTCGACTGGAAAATATTACTGGGTACTGAACTGGCACAACTCTGCCTTGAAATGACTCAACCTGCATGAGTGGGGTGAGTCATCGCCCTCTGCCACCTTACAGCACAGGCCCCACGTGTTGGTTTTTATTACCCTGCATAAGGTCCAGGCCTCATTCAAGTAGGACTCCAAGGCTGCCTGTCCTCACTTCCTCCATTAGGAAAGAGGTGACGAAGGTGGATAACAATTTTACCACCTGGGGATGTGGATTTCTGCCTTCTATTCGTCATTCCTGACATAGGTTTGGCAAGTCTGTGGGTGCCTTTGCTCCTTGCTCGCAGCTAGAACTGAGAATCCTAACAGCCAGAGAGGTTATTATTTTTCTTATGTTGTCACTAGATTCCAGCTCTGAAATTGCAGGTAATTATCTCTCAATGACCAGCATGCCATCTTTCTCCTCTCTATTTTACACCCAAGCAGGCAGGATGGTTGCTGTATGGTGCATTTTTATTTAATTAGCTAAAAGGCTTGGATCTGCTTCTGTTACCCATAAATTAATGCCCATTGCAGCATGCCATGTTTATTAGTCATGGTGTGGGATTAGATGTCAAGAACAAGAGCTTCATCTTCATCACTGGGCATTGTCCTGTCCAAAGAAAGCAAATGGTTGAAGAGACCAAAAACAATCTGGAAATCCTGTAAGTAGCATCACATAAGCAAAGCAAAGTAGGCTTTGGCAAAGGGAACACATTCAGTCCCCTGCTAAGAAGAGCCACTGCTGAGCTGAAAGCCCCCATAGCTCTGTTAAAAGTGAGTTAAGGATCTAGAACCAGAAATACCATTTGACCCAGAAATCCTATCACTGGGTATATACCCAAAGGATTATAAATCATTCTACTGTAAAGATACATGCACACTTATGTTTACTGCAGCACTGTTCACAATAACAAAGACTTGGAACCAACCTAAATGTCCATCAATCATAGACTGGATAAATAAAATGTGGCACACATACACCATGGAATAATGGACAGCCATAAAAAAGAATGAGTTCATGTCCTTTGCAGGGACATGGATGAAGCTGGAAAGCATCATTCTCAGCAAACTAACACAGGAACAGAAAACCAAACACCGCATGTTCTCACTCATAAGTGGAAGCTGAACAACGAGAACACATGGACACAGGAAGGGGAACATCACACACTGGGGCCTGTTGGGGGGTGGGAGGCTAGGGGAGGGACAGCATTAGGAGAAATGCCTAATGTAGATGACATTGATGGCTTCAGCAAACCACCATGGCAAGTGTATACCTATGTAACAAACCTGCATGTTCTGCACATGTACCCCAGAACTTAAAGTATTTTTTTAAAAAAGTGAGTTAGGGCACTATAGGAACTGGGCAGGACACACAGCCCAGCCTGGTGGAGTGAACCATGAAGGTGATCCTTGAGTTGAAGCCCAAGATTTAGTAAGAGTTGGCCAGGTGGAGGGTGTGAGCCTACCATTCAGAGGGAGTAGACACATGAACACAGGAGAGAGAAACTGCAGGTGGCGCAGTAGAACTGCAGAGGGGAGAAAGGCACCCTGGGTTCTAGAGGGCAAGGCAGCACTGGATCAGGAAGGTCTTACATGATCTGCATGAAGGATTTTAAGCAGCAGAGCAGCATGATCAGAAGTGCAGTTTCTAAAACTTATGCTGGTGGAAGAGAGGAAGAAGGCAAGAGTGAAAGTAGAGAACCCAGTAAGGAAGCCAGGAAAGAAATGCGGACAGTGGCTGGGCTCTGTGTCTCATGCCTATAATCTCAGCGCTTTGGGAGGTGGAGGCAGGAGGATTGCTTGAGCCCAGGAGTTTGAGACCATCCTGGGCAACATACCAAGACCTCATCTCTACAAAAAATAAAATAAAGAAATAGCTGAACTGGTGGCACATGCCTGTGGTCCTAGCTACTAGGGAGGCTGAGGTGGGAGGATTGCTTTGAGGCTGCAGTAAGCTGTGATTGTGCCACTGCACTTCATCCTAGGCAACAGAGTGAGATGCTTGCTTAAATAAAAAAAAAAAAAGAAGAAATGTGGATAATTAGAAACCTAGGCAGTGGTGGTAACAATGGAAAGAGACAGAGCAGACAGATGTGGGGGACAGTGTGGGGCAGGGGATGTACTGGTCTTTGAGGTTGGTCATCTGGGAGAACATCAGAGCCACTCACTGCAACCAGACACCCAGGAAGGGGAGCAGGTCGGCAGAAGAGGGCACGGGAAAGAAAGATGGAATGATGGCATGTTTCATTTAACCCAGGTTGAACTTGAAGCCTTCCTGTCATATACAGTGTGCACCCATGTGGACTAGTCGCACATGTTCAGGTAACTGTAACATCCTCTGTGCCCCATTGTGACCCTTTCTGCCACCCCTACTGGGGACACAGAAGGAGAAACTGTAGTTAAGTGCAGTGTGAGACTGGGGAAACTGATCAGCTGTGATCTAAAGCAGGGATCCTCAACCCCCCGGGCCATGACAGGTACCAGTCTGTAGCCTGTTAGGAACTAGACCAAACAGAAGAAGATGAGGGGTGGGCAAGCAAGGGAAGCTGAGCTCTGCCTCCTGTCAGATCAGTGATGGCATTAGATTCTCACAGGAGTGCGAACCCTATTGTGAACCGTGCACACGATGGATCTAGGTTGCATGGCCCCTTACGAAAATGTAATGATAGACCAGGCACGGTGGCTCATGCCTGTAATCCCAGCACTTTGGGAGGCCGAGGCAGGTGGATCACAAGGTAAAGAGATCGAGACCATCCTGGCCAACATGGTGAGACCCCATCTCTACTAAAAATACAAAAATTAGCTGGGCTTGGTGGCGTGCGCCTGTAGTCCCAGCTACTTGGGAGGCTGAGGCAGGAGAATCGCTTGAACCCAGGAAACGAAGGTTGCAGTGAGCCGAGATCACGCTACTGCACTCCAGCCTGGTGACAAAGCGAGACTCCGTCTCAAAAAAAAAAAAAGAAAGAAAGTATAATGATAAATGAAATGTGCTTGAATCATCCCAATACCATTTCCTGTCCCTCTCTGTGGAAAAATTGTCTTCCACAAAACTGGTCCCTGGTGCCCAAAAGTTTGGGGACTGCTGATCTAAAGCATTCTCTGAATTCACATCAACACTCACAAAACGCATTTGTGCTCATAGAAATGTTATATGGTTCATGAGAAGAAAAAGATAACAATCTTTTAACTCCAATTTAAAGGACTGTAATCAATTTTTTAAAGGTCTATGAAGGAAAAGCTATAGCCCCATTATAAATTCTGAAAAGAGCCAACTGGTCATGATCCGTTTTGCTACTGAGTAAAAGTATCAAGATTCAGGTAGTTAAGCAATAACAATGAAGAATGCCTACTCTGTGAAAAGGCACCGGGAGATACAGAGATATCCATGACGGCTCACATCCTCAAAGTATTTGTCATTTTAAAGGGCATTCAGGAACAGCAATAGCTATAACTAAAGGTATCTATTTCATAAATAGTGTTAGCTAACTATCGTCAATACGCCAGGGTGAGGAAGACTAATTCTTATTTATTTATAGAAAGATAGGATCTCGCTATGTTGCCCAGACTGGTCTTGAAAGCCTGGCCTCAAGCAATCCTCCTGCCTCGGCCTCCCAAAATGCTGAGAGTAAAGGAGTGAGCTGCCACATCTGGCCTGGGGAGATTAGTTTTGATTGGGTTGTGAGAAACCATGAGTGGCTTCACGGGCCTAAAGTCATGTTAGCCTAGGATGCTCTATGAATCCCCCAAGACCTGGCCTTGGAGGACAAGTAGGATTTCACCTAAATTCCACATGGGGTTTTCTTGCCATCATGAGATAAGAAGGTCACAGTCAAGTCTCAAGCATACACAGCATGTCAAACCATATGAAACAGCCATTTTTATAGGTAAAAGATGGTTGAATATTGAACAATTTCATAGAGTTCAATCTAATAATCCAGCTTTATCTGAATTTAGAATTCCTAATATGAGCTGGGGCTCCTATAACCTCCTGCAGAGGCTTGGCTTGTGGTCACCATAAGCATCTTCACATCAGCTGCTGAAGGAGCAACATTCCACAGAGCCCACTCTTTTCCCAGACCAAGTTTACATGGTTTGAAAACTAGACATTTTGCGCAATGCATTGGTGCTGTCTGCCTCCCTCCCGGGGCTCCCAGTCTGTGAACATTAAAAGAAAATCAATAGGATTAGGTCATGTTTTTGATGGCACGTGCACCTGACAGGCCTCGCATCTTAAATTCTCGCTAAAATAAAAGCTCTTAACCCTCTGCAGCTTCTGGGGGATCCACATTAACTTCTCATTCAACCTTTCCTGGAGTAGATTAATCACAAGAGCCGCACCATTATCCCAGCCCTACTTTGCTGAAACTCGCCCAGTGTTGGAAAACTCAGTTTGAACCCAGTCCTGCACCCCAAAGGAGAATCCTCTAAGGCTGGGCTGAGTCAGTCTTTTTGAAGTACACATGCTCTTTGGAGCTGACTGATTGCTGGCACTGTCAAGTGATGAGGATGTCATGATTCCCCGAAGCTGGGGTCATGAACCCAGAGCATATTTTAAAAATGAATTAGAAAACCATTTCAACATCCATGTGGACGTGAGGAGAAAAATTTGTTGATAAATAATTTAAGTGGTCACATGTTGGCCCTGCCCCAGGACTGTGGACACAACCACAGCATGAGGATGGGATTATTGTGCACAGTATATTAAAATTCACCCCACAGATGGCTTTCTATTTTTAAGGAAGAGCCTTATTCCAGAGTTAGAAAGAAGAATGCTTTGGAAACCCAAAGATCCCACAAGCATTTTCAGACGTTACTTCATTGACCTCTGCAGCCATTCAGGGGAATGGCTGTAGTTGGAGACGTTTGAATGCTCCGGCAGAGGGTGGAGGTGGCCGAGGCCTCACCCCTGCATTGGCAGATACATGCCTTGCAGAGGATGACACACACTCCATGACCACTTTAGAGAAAAGACTGCCTCAGCAGCTTGGCATGGGATCGCCAGCTTCTTTCCTTCTGTCCCCACACTGCCAAGTGTGGGCAGAAGAGAAAAAGAAAAATACTTACTAGAGCCGACTCAGCAATCAGAGAGTTTGGTGGTGTGGAAGTGCTGAGAAGTCCCTGGGACCCCATCAAAAAGAAAGCACCCTGGGTGGGCTGGCTAGAGCATTTGGAGGGAATTCCAAGCCCTCGGTCATCATTTCAACTAGATCAGCCCCAATCACATCTTCCTAAACTGTAATCCAACTTCCTCCCTCTCCTCAAGAGGAGAGAGCCCCAAGGGGGTGAAGGGACCTTTCTAAGGGCACAAAGTGAAACAGTAGAAAGCCAGATCTCTGGGTTCCAAAAACCTGGGGAGGGAAAATTGAGCTAGCAGGAGAAAGGAGAGAACCAGAGAAAAAAGAGAAGATGAAAGAAAAAAGTGCAGAAAGTGAAAATAAAGAGTTGCAAGTGTAGGATACTTTTGTGTCCCCACCCTCATGCACTTCCATGTGGCCTGACTGGCCACCAGGTGGGGACTTGCATCTTGGAAGGTGCCTTAAGGAGAGGCCTAAAATTTGGTCACTGCTCTTGTAGAAAGGGAAATCTCGGGAACTGAGGACCACACGTGCCCCAGGCACTGTGCACACGTGGTCTTTTTCAATGAAACTCAGGCCACGCGGTGGCTCACGCCTGTAATCCCAGCACTTTGGGAGGCCTAGGCAGGTGGATCACTTGAGGTCAGGAGTTCCAGACCGTCCTGGCTAACATGGTGAAACCCTGTGTCTACTAAAAATACAAAAAAATTAGCCGGGCGTGGTGGTGGGCACCTGTAGTCGCAGCTACCTGGGAGGCTGAGGTAGGAGAATGGCGTGAACCTGGGAGGCGGAGCTTGCAGTGAGCTCAGATCGCGCCACTGCACTCGAGCCTGGGCGACAGAGAGAGACTCCATCTCAAAAAAAAAAAAAATATATATATATATATATACAAAAATTAGCTGGGCTTGGTGGTACATGCCTGAATCCCAGCTACTTGGGAGGCTGAGGCACCAGAATCATTTGAACCTGGGAGGCGGAAGCTGCAGTGAACGGAGATCATGTGATTGCACTCCAGCCTGGGCAACAGCACGAGAATCTGTCAGAAGGAAGGGGAAGGAAGGGAAAGGAGAGGAAAGAAAGGGAAAGGGAGGAAAGGGAGGGGAAGAGGGTGGAGGGGAGAGGAGTGGGAAAGGAGGGGAGGGGAGGATGGGAGGGGAGGGGAGGGGAGAGGGAGGGGGGAAGGGAAGTGGGTGGGTGAGGAGAGGGAAGGGAAGAAGGGGGAAGGAAAGAAGGGGAAGGGGAGGGGAGGGGAGGGGGGAAGGGAGGGGAGGGGGCGGGGGGGAGGGGAGGGGCGGGGAGAGAACGCAAGGGAAGGGAAGGGAAGGGAAGGGAAGGGAAGGGAAGGGAAGGGAAGGGAAGGGAAGGGAATCAGTCCCTATTTTGTAAACAACTGAACTGCTGCTGCCATGTACTGGGTTTTTGAGGCAGAGACCCCCTCCCCTCCCAACGCTCATGCTCCCCTGCATTGTAAGCGCCCAGGATTCCTGCCCGCCAGTGCAGGGAGCACAGTGGAAGGGTTGTGGAGCAAAGCGGAGGATGTCTGCGTCCAGGTCCACGTGGTGTTATTATTTCTTTTTGTGATTCTAAACAAGAATCTTCCATTTAGCTTAAAACAACCAAATAAGGCAGCTGAGAGGAAGGTAACATTATCTTTTTCAGTATCTTAACCCTAAATGTCCATTTATTTCCCTGGAATAGAGTGTGGATTTTTGGATTTGTTTTTAGCAGGGAAGGGGAAAACATGGGGGTAATGTTGTTTTGTTTTCTTTCTCTCTCTCTCTCTTTTTTTTTTTTTCAGACGGAGTCTCACTCTTTCATCCAGGCTGGAGTGGTGCAGTGGCGTGATCTCAGCTCCACCTCCCAGGTTCAAGTGATCCTTCCACCTCGGCCTCCTGAGTAGCTGGATTTACAGGCACCATGTCCTGCTAATATTTTTTGTATTTTTAGCAGAGATGAGGTTTCACCATGTTGGTCAGGCTGGTCTCGAACTCCTTACCTCAAGTGATCTGCCCACCCCAGCCTCCCAAAGTGCTGGGATTACAGGCATGAGCCACCACACCTGGCCACGTTGTTTTGTTTTCAATTGAGCTGTGGATGGTAAAGATTTCCTGGACTTACTGAACTTGAGGGAATGCGCAGCACTGTCTAAAAGCCTGTGCCTGATTCAGAGGCACTAAAAGAGGCTGTGGGTGATGGGGTGGCATCAGCTAGTGGGGTGGGGTGGCAGAGGGCACGTGGCACCAGTCCCCAGCAGAACCTCCCATATCCTGCTGCTGCCCGCCTCCTCTGGGGCCACAGACGGTATTTCTCCTGCGGGTAGGTGAGTAAAATGTATGGTTTAGAAATGAGGATGAATAGCAAAGAGAAAGTCCTTGAGCATCTAGCTGAGGGTGGCTGCCAGGGGTGAGGGTGTGGGAGATGGGCATCATGGTTAAGAGGAACCCTGAAATAAAACATGCCGTCTTGCTTTGCTTGCTAATTATTTCTCCTCTGTGACTCCCAAACTAGTATGTTGTCCCTGAGGTCAAGAGTCATCCGACTGATGCTTGAGCCCAGGAGTTTGAGGCTGCAGTGAGCTATGATTGCACCACTACCACCACACTGCAGCCTGGATAACAGAGCTGAGACCTCATCTCTAATAAATAAGTAAATATTTTTTTAAAAAATTATTTTAAAGAGTCATCTGATTGACAGTCCTCTTTTCTGGAGCTGCAAAGGGCAGGCCCAGGCAGCCCATCTTCCCCCAGAGTGAGCATAAGTTTACAGAGATCTGGGTGTAGCTTAAGAGCCCAGAGAACAAGAGACAACTTGAAAGTCTTTAAGTCCCTGGCAGGCAGGAAATGTGAGCTTATCTTCTATTCCTCATGCGGCCTGGGCAGAACAGACACACACACAGGATGTGACCAACACAGATCTATGCACTCGTTTTTGGGAACGGCTGAGCAGAAGAGCCATGTTTCCCGGAAGCCTGCTTTCAGCCCAGAGAAAACTCCAGAAGGGTCAGCTACACCCTACTCTCCTCTGGCTTGAGAAGGACTGGCTGACCCACCTCTTGCCCCGACTATGAATTCTGAACCGACTTCCTAAGAATATCTCAGATCTCAAGAGAGAAGTAGGGCACGGGCGAAGTCGGAAGCATGACCACATTCTCCTTTCATAGAAATGAGCAGGAAATGGAGGCAGGGACACAGCTTTTGGAAATAGGTCAAGCAGAGGGAATGGCTTGGAAAATCACCTTCCATTTGCCTTCAGAGGCTATTAAACATGAAAGGAAATTCCCAAAGCAAGAAGTGAGATATCCGCGCCTGTCAATCTCAACAAATACCCTAGATACTCAGCACTCTGTAGTGATTCCAGGGGTGATGGGCCCTGGCCAAGGGCAGGGGAAGAGAGAAACCACCCCTCACAATTCCTCTGTTCGTAGCATTACAGGCTTAAGGTCTGATTTCATTGTTAAATCCACACTCACAAGGTGACACACTCTATTTGAGCATTATTATTCATATCATACAAGTAACTTAGTAGGCATTCCCTGAATCTTCCTGGTGCTTTAAAAACAATGCCCACTAGTTTACACACTTTCTAGGAATGTATAAAAGAAGACATGTCTGCTGATCAGCCGACCTCATGGCCTGTGGCGTTTAGCACGAAGCACCCCTCTCTGGCCCTGGAGAGGGCTTTCATTTTTGTGCCTCCCAAACTTGGCCATTCCTTTTTGGCATTGTCTTCTGCTCTGGTTACCGGGCAGTGTGACTATTAATCTTGAATGAAATGAAGTCTCCACCACTTCCATTTGAAAAAGAAATAGCTTTGCCTTTTCCATTTGATTCAACAGTATAAAATATTTATGATTCCTCTGGCACCTCCAACGCCCCCTCTCTCCCATCGATTCTCTCAGTCGGCACTAAGTGCTCACTTGGTGGCAAGTACTTCCTATCCATCAGGGACAGCCAGGGGATGACAACAGCCAGGAAGCCCAGCTGCTCCAGGACCGTCAGGTCACCAGAAAATCTTCTGCTGCTCCCTTGGGGAGCTCTTGTGAGTTTCCAAGCCCCCACAGCCACCCTGCAGAGGATTTTGCTGCTGTAGGCTCTGAGGTCCAGCTTTCCCACCTTACTTTCTTCCACTTGTGTGTTCCTTCTATAATCACACACAAGCACAACTGATACCTTTGGATCTTCTGTGACATGTAGGGCCAAGCCAGGGTAATTGGGAGCAGGGTTGGGCTGTAGGGGCTATAGCCGAACCCCAGAGGGCTCTGACCTCAAGGCTGCTTGATTAACCCACATGCAGCAGTTAGATTTCCCAGAGGGGAAAGCACCCAACTGGTGTTCCTGAGGCTAACGAGAGGTTTTCCTCTTGCCTCTCAAAAGTGACTCCTAGTCTGGCTGAGGTGGCTCATGCCTGTAATCTCAACGTTTTGGGAGGCCGAGGCAGGAGAATCACTTGAGACCAGGAGTTTAAGACCAGCCAGGGCAACAGAGCGAGATGCCATCTCTACAAAAAAACTTTTTAAATCAGCTGGACATGGTGGCAAACACCGATAGTCCCAGCTACTTGGGAGGCTGAGGCTGGAAAATCACTTGAGCCCAAGAGTTTGAGGCTGCAACGAGCTATGATTTCATTAGCTTACTCCAGTCTGTGCAACAGAGCAAAACCTCATCTCTTTAAAAAAAAAATGACTTTTGTTCACTCCTTGCTGGTCCCCATACGATATCCCTGACCTCCTGATAGCAGTAATTCCTCTAGACTCACTCCCTGTTGTAGAAGTAGAAAATAGTGATGGGAATAATGGAAAACAGAATGATCTCAATTGAACAAAAGAAAGATACAGAGCTCCGTACATCTCTAAAACCTTCCATTCCTCAGTTCCTGGCTGTATAATGAGGATAGGGATGATAGCCACCATCCTGAGTTATTAGGAAGGTTATATGTTACAAAGCCTAAAACAGTGCCTGGCACTTAGAAAGTGCTAGTGAAGTGCTAGTGAAGGCCGGGCGTGGGGCTCATGCACTTTGGGATGCCGAGGTGGGCCAAGGTGGTCAGGAATTCGAGACCAGCCTGACCAACATGGTGAAACCTCGTCTCTACTAAAGATACAAAAATTAGCTGGGCGTGGTGGCAGGCGCCTGTAATCCCAACTACTCAGGAGGCTGAGGCAGGAGAATTGCTTGAACCCAGGAGGTGGAGGTTGCAGTGAGCCAAGATCGGGCCACTGCACTCCAGCCTGGACGACAGAGGGAGACTCCATCTAAAAAAAAAAAAAATTGCTTAGTAAATATGAGCTAGCATTGTTGGTGTAATAGTTGTTAGTTTTATTTGGCCAGGCAATATCAGTTCCAGCCATCAGTAGCAGGGCTGGCTCTGGCCAGTGGCAGGAAAATGCAGTGAGCTGAAAGCCAGGAAACAAGGCAACTTCAATATGAAGGTAACTGCTGCCTCAGCCTGGAAGCTCCCTCTAGACTTCTTGCCATTAACCCAAAGACTAACCCTATGCTCCTAGACTTTGTATAATTCTCTACACACAGTAGGTGTTCAGTAAATGCTGAATGTATAGATTTATATCTCTCATTCCCTAAAACCTTATTTTCACATCTTCTCAGTGTCCTGAGTGTTCTTCATAAGAAAGACCTCTTTCTCTCTGCCCACAGAACCTGCCATCAAAACATAATTGTCAGGGCTGGGCATGCTGGCTCACGACTGTAATCCTAACACTTTGGGAGGCCGAGGTGGGTGGATCATTTAAGATCAGGAATTCAAGACCAGTCTGTGCAACATGGTAAAACTCCATCTTTACTAAGAATACAGAAATTAGCCAGACATGGTGGCAAGAACCTGTAGTCGCAGCTACTCAGGAGGCTGAGGCAGGAGAATCACTTGAACGCCAGAGGTGGAGGTTGCAGTGAGCTGAGATCACGCCACTGCACTCCAGCATGGGCGACAGAGCAAGACTTCATCTAAGAAAGAGAGAAAGAGAGAGAGAGAGAGAAAAGAAAGAAAAAGAAAGGAAATTAATTGTTAGGTATCCCAAATTCCCAGAGTCCTGCAATTTGCCAACTGTATAACTGTACAGTGTTTTAACATAAGAGTTTTGGAGTAAGATAGACTTGGGTTCAAATTCTGGCTCTGATCCATCCTTGCTGTGTACCTGGGGCAAGCTATTTAGCCTCCAGAAGTCTCAGTTTCCCTATGTATGAAACGAGGATAATAATAGTGACTGACTTGTAAAGTTGTAAGTCATAAAGTAGGGCTTTTAGAAGACATTGCAAGAAAAGAGATCAGCAAAGTGGGTGGCACACACTAATTAATTGCCCAATAAATGTTGATTATTATGGTCATTATTATTCATGAGTTAAGACACTAAAGCAGAGAACATTCGAGTTTTACTGAACCTTCTAGAGATAATCAAAATGGCAATTGGTGCTGAGCATTCTGTTCAGGCCACAGGGGGAGATATGGTTGGAGAAGTGATTTTCTGGGCACCTTCTCCAGTGCTCATGATGGGGTGCTACCTCCTCTAGCCCTGACCAAGAAAAGCAAAGGAAAGAAAACTTTGCTACTGGGCTGGAGGGTAGATCGAGCTCATTTGGCCCTTCATGGTGCCAAGGGAGGCAGGATGGGAGAGGCAGAACAAATAGAAGACTGGTTCTGAGTGAAATGTGGTTACCCTGGCAGTGGGGACTGTTTCACTCATGAAGTTATTTTAGGTGGTAGCAGCAGGAGGTTGGTTTAAAGTAGCTTAATTGTATTGTCTGCCCTGAGAAAAATTCAAAAGCTGGAGAATATAAAAGAAATGATTAAAAGTCACTGTTAGTCACTGCTAACCTGGTACATCCCCCCTGAAATCTCATAAACAAACAGGCTGCTCTTCCAACGTCTACGGAACTGAAATGGTACCGCCCAGCCTCTCCGGGGTGGACCCTGAGAGAGGCATTCGCTGTGCATCTCCCTGATGTGAAACTTCTGGGCCCTCCTGGAAAGGGTTGAGCAAACACAGTTGTTTAATGCGGCTGCATTTGCCCACAGTGTCAGCATGCTTCTGCATTAGAATGTATTACACTCGGCCACGCTGGCGCTTTCTCCATCTGTTTACATTTAGAATGGGACTCGCTGCCAAAGATTAGGAATCCCAGTGCCCACAATCCAGAAAGCGCAAGCCAAGGGGTAGAAATAAAAACAAATTGAAAAACCACTTGTTGCTAACTGGTTTTGTTGAATTCAGAAGGAGTAGGAATTTTTCCCTGGTGTGTTCAGTTCCAGAGAGGAGGACCTCAGTGGCGGAAAATCTGAACGGGCTTCACAGGGTCTCTCTCCAGGTATATGACCGTGACTCTGGGCTACATTCTCTGCAACACCAGACCATGAACTCTTCAAGGCAGGCAGGAGTATGCTGAATTCTTCTTGGTTTTCCCAGCATAGAGCCTGGTACTCGTGTTTAATAAATGCTGCTTGGTGGAATGAATAAATGAGTTATACTCAGTAATTTGTGGGGTTTTTTTTTAATGTGGCTGCAAATTCTTTTGATTTGCACTGAGAAGTAAGATCAGCATCCCTTCCCTTTGAATCTGGAAACGGCTGTGGCTGCTTCCATCATCTTAGCTGAGCAGAAGTGGCTCCATGTAATTCCAAAGCAAAGCAATCAAAACCCACACAGCCAACACCTGTTATCTTTTGCTTTTTGATGCTAGCCATCCTAACAGGGATGAGGTGATAACTCATGGTAGTTTCGATTTGCATTTCTCTAATAATTAATGATATTGAACATCTTTTCATATGCCTGTTGGCCGTTTGTATGTATGTGGAAAAATTGGAGCTGGTACACTGTTGGTGGGAATGTAAAATGGCATAGCCACTGTGGAAAACAGTACGAAGCTTCCTCAAAACATTAAAAATAGAACTGCCAAATGATCCAGCATTTCCACTGCTTGGTATATACCCCAAAGAATGGAAATCAGTAAATCAAAGAGATAGCTACACTTCTATGTTGATTGTAGCATTATTCAAAGTAGCCAGGATAATAGAAACAGCCCAAGGGCCCAATGACAGAGAAATGGATACAGAAAACATGGTATATATGTACAGTGGAATAGCATTGAGTCTTTGAAAAGGAAGGAATTCTGCCATTTGTGAAAATATGGTTGAACCCAGAGGACAATGGGTATTCTAAGTGAAATAGGTCAGTCACAGAAGGATGAATACTGCATGATTCCACTTACATGAGGTATCTAAAATAGTGAAACCCATAGAAACAGAGAATACAATTGTAGTTGCCAGAAGATAGAGGGTAGGGAAATGGGGAGTTGTTCAATGAGTATAAAGTTTCAGTTATGCTAAATGAATAAGTTCTAGAGATCTGCTGTACAACATAGTATCTGTAGTTCACGGTACGGTATTACACATTTCAAGATTCATCAAAAAGCTAATCTCATGTTAAGTGTTCTTACCACAAAAAAAAAAAAAAAAAACAAAGTGGTGGAACAAAAGAAAACTTTGGAAAGTGTTAAACATACCTGTTTCCTTGCTTGTGGTGATGGTACCAAGGGTATTTGCATATGTTCAAACTCCTCAAATTGTACACATTTAACATACACAGTTCTTTGTATATCAATGATACCTCAATAAAACTCTTTAAAAAAATAAGGTAAAACAAAAGTAGCCTTATGTTTTTTTTTGAAAATGATTTCTTTTTTAAGAAAAAGGCCATGTGGCTTTCACATTTGCTCTTGAGGCCTGAACCACCACGTACCATGTCTAGCTACTCTGAGCTGCCCTGTTTAAGAAACCATGTGCAGTGAGGTCTTGACACTCCATAGAGAGAGGTGCCCAATATGACCCCAGGTGTTTGACATGTGAGCAAAGAAACCTACAGATGACTCTGGCCCCGTTGTGTAAGTTACCCCTAGATTTTTTAGTCTTCCCAGCTGGGGTCTCGCAGTCATTGTACAGCAGAGACAATCCATTCCTGCTGTATCCTGTCTGAACTCCTGACCCACAGAATCCAAGAACAGAAGAAAACGGTGCTTGTTTTACACCATGAAGTTCTGGGGTGGTCTGTACATGACAATAGGCAAATGTAACTTTCTTCAAGACTCCAGGCAGGAGAGCCATTGCAATGCTAGCCCCTTGTAGTTGGTAATAATTCCCACAGTCAGGAATTTGATCTTAAAAAAAACTTAAATTCCCTCTGCAATTGAAGCCCATTACATCTTAATTTATATCTGGAGAGTTGGTAACAGCTGATTCCCACTCTATGTTTTTCACTGGCCTTCACATATTTGAAGATGTCGAGTAAGTAGGTTTTCAGCTTCTTCTTCTTTGGGTCATATACTCTGAAATCTTTGTAGATCCTTTTATCTTCCTTTTACTTTGTATTTGTCACCCTCTAAAAACAGATGTCAACAGCTTGTGGAGAGACAGAAGATATAGTCATGAAATGAGAGTCTTAGATCAAAATAACAATTATTTTGACATCTAGGGCACTTTATAGTATGCAAAACATTTTCACCTGCCTTATTTCTGAATCCCCACAACTACCCAATGGCATCAATAAGACAAACGTTTATTCCTATTTATTAAAGTTAAGCTCCTTTCTCAGGATCATACTTATTAATGGCTGAGCTGAAACTAGAAAACAAACCTCCTTGAATTGCAAGTATATGGACAAGGACAAAAAGAAAATTGAAAAGAATAAAATCAGCTGATGTGTCTGAATAGCAGATTATTTTCTCTCCAATGTTCCTTGATTGTAATTTTGCCTTTTCAGTAAACAAAATCAGAACTTTTTTTTTAAAGCTGAGTCTTTATAAAGTGTTTGGGCAGGGTTGGAATATTTTGAAGTATGTAATTTTAAAATAAATAACTCAGATTGTAGGCACAACAGAAAACTACACAGTGAATGTTCTTCTCGCTACTTTCATTGACTTTGATTTTTCTGGTTCTAGAAAAATGGTAGAAAATTGGTTGTAGTCAGAATTAGAAATAAAAATATATTTAGTACCATTGTGTTTGAGGTAAAATATTTGCATGCATGTATACTTAAATGCCAAATACAAGTGCGTCACATTGCATGAATAATGGAAGTGTTAGACCCTAAAGATGCCCCAAGATTTTTTGAATACCACAGAATATCTCCATGGACCAGCCACTAGAATGAAAGTTCCATCTTTGTCCAGTTCTATGGTAGCAACAGAACATAGCAAGTTAAGGCATAATGGCCTCTGCTCTCTATAATAGGTATGGGCTCACGTTTATTTTCTATGTCAGGCCTTCTAGTGGGTATAATAAAGGTAGACACAATCTTTATTTCTATATGCTGACTAGACGCAAGGGAGAAGTAGTGACCCAGAAAAGACGAGTGGTGGGGGTGGAGTAGATGGTGAATAAGGTTTACAGTGATTCCTACTTAGTAAAGTTCAGTCACATTCTCAGGAGTGCATCTGTCTACAGCTGAGCTGAAACTAGAAGGCGAACAGTGAATAGAACAAGGATCAGAGGCTGTGCCACTGACACAGCAAACACTCCCATTTGTCCCTACAGTGTTCCACAAAAAACAAACCTGAAAAACTGTATCCAAGTCTCTGGTGGGGGCCAGGGGTCCAAAAATCTGCATATTTAACCAGTATCCCAGGCAATTGGGGGCACACTAAAATATCTGTGTTCCTGCATGTCACCTGCTCAACAACTCAGAAGGTTACAAAAAGTAATCCAAGACTCAGGGAGGTTCTGTCAAACAGTGCCTGGGAGAACCAAACTTGAGCCCTTCTGATGCCAGAAATAGACTGTGTTCTTCACTGCACATTGCCACAACCTGGTGGCAAGTCTTTACAATTCTCTGAGCCTTGGCCTCCTCTTGTGTAAAGTGAGAGGTTAGGATTTCTTTTGTGTTTGGCATTTGATGATGACCCGAGGTGAAAGAGTTGTCTGCATCCAAGACAGCTGGATACCAAGGTGCCATTTTGGATCAGAGAAACTTGCACAAACTCTGGGCCAAATGGTTTTACAGTGGTCTCTGACTCTCTCAGACTAATTTAAGATGTATCCCAGAACGATTAGCCTATGGCCCATTTATATCAAGATCCAGCTGAGTTCTAATTGGCACGAGCAACCGCTGGCATGGTACACACAAGTGCTTGCAAAGGTGATTGCCAACAGCCACCCAGCTGCAGCGGAGAGGATGTGGGCACAAACCCTTCAGATTAGGGTGTGTCACTTGAGACCAGGCCAGAGCCATCAAAGCACCCTGTTTTCCTCCACCCTTTCCGACTGCCCCAAGACTGGCACAGGGTTTAGTAATAGCGAAAGTAACACTTGCCCATGTAGGGACCAACAGTCTTTTCTAGGTTGAGTTTTCTAACTTGAGTGAGGTGCCAGACAGAAAGATGCCACCAGAGAGATTTGGCTCCCCAATGTGCCATGCAGTAAAGCCTGGCCCTTATGGCCTGCCGGACAGCATTACAACAAGTGACAAGCGCACATTTACTGTCATGGCCTGACTGAAAATCCTTGTCGTCTTAATTTGTCATTCCGAAATATATGAAAACACCTACTTAGGCCACAAAGCCTTCTTTTTTGCCTAATGGTGTTCTAGAAATAAACTGGCAGTGAAGGATACTGCATTGTTACGGGGATGTTGTCAGTTGGTTTCGTTTATCCATTTATCAATGCCATTTTGCAAGAAATAGTCTCTGCTTTAGAGATGACACTTCATACATAACAGGGAGGGCGTGAGTTTTCCTTAACTGCCAGAACATTACATAATATAACATGTCACCAGGCCTCAAATGCAGCAGCAAAGACTCTGTATATAGGCGACTCCAGAGCCAACATGTGCTTAGCCAAAAAAAATGATTCAATGCCTTCAGAATGTGGGATGCAAAATGAGATTCTGTAGGAGTCAGGGGTCAATGGTGGGAGAGTGCAAGAAACAGATCTGACAGCTCCCAAGTTCGGGGCAATCTGTTCTCAGTTAACTAATAGTTGAGAGGGATCGCTGAAGGATACAACATTGATACCCCAAAGCGCTCCAATCAGTTTCACTATTTGGCCTGATTTTATGTGTCTGTTTTCCATTCCTCCCTAACTCCTTCTTGGGCTGCAGAATGGGCCTCATTTGCAGGTTTGGTTACCAGTTATCAACTTCCACTGTGATAAAGGACAATTAGGATACAACATTGATACCCCAAAGCACTCCAATCAGTTTCACTATTTGGCCTGATTTTATGTGTCTGTTTCCTATCCCTCCCTAACTCCTTCTTGGGCTGCAGAATGGGCCTCACTTGCAGGTTTGGTTATCAGTTATCAACTTCCACTGGGATAAACGACAATTAGGAGGTGGTGGGGACAGGAGTCCTGCCTGTGAAGTCCCAGTTAATCACCAAGCCATACAACCTCCCCTAAAGAGTCAAGAGCGGATGCAGGCTGTTGATGTTTTTCATTCAAAGCTCGCAATGCACCGTTCTGAAAACTCTCCAGCGTAGAATTCAGGAACCCTGAGTTTTCTATCTCTGTCTAGTTCTGGACTGAATGGGCTCAAGTCATCTAGTTAACCTCTCTGGATTTCAGTCTTCTGAAAAGTGAAGCTAAGAGATCTAGCATTCTGCAGAAAAGTACTGGAGATGACTCAGGACTGAAAATGATCATGAAGCCCCTTTGCAAATATCAAAGTGGTGATGAAGCAGTCATGAACTTTGACCAGAAGCCGTGTTTTGTGGGATTGCCACTTTAATCGCTCCTGTTCATCATTAGGACTGCAGCCAGAGTGTGGAAGGAGGTGAGTGCTTTGGTGGTCTTGCTAGGTTGCGGAGCGTGGGCTTTTGTGGATATGCAACAGTGCCCTCTATTGGCATCCGGCATATTTTAAGCCACTGGAGCTGATAAGTCCATTTTCCTCTGCCCTGTGTCTTTGTACTTCTTAGTGGAGGCCCAGAGAGCTTGTGTGTAAGGGGCTGTGACCAGACTGCTCAGCAAGGGCTTTTGCTTCGCAGAGTGCTGCGCGTACATTAGAAAGCTGCTGAGTGGAAATCTTATTCCCTGGGATTTTAAACAGCCACATTTCCTGGCGTTTGACATCAATGGGACATTTAGCAAATGGAGTGCCAGATGGAGCTCCTGGCTCTATTTTCTGTAAGACACTTGAGAGTCAGAACCCTCCCAATGTTTGCGCTTGATAGGCTTGCCCACCGTAGGGCTGGCCACGGCTCAGTGGATGCGGGGCATTCTGCGGGCTTGCAACGCGGGGAGAGCGGGGACACACAGGATAGCACGTGGCAGCTCGGCCTGCATTGCTACACACAAAAGCATTTCAAGTTCCAGCATCCTTGGTAATTCACTTTAACACTCAGTCACTCACTTCTCTTATGTTATCTGACTTCCTTACAAGCCACATGCAAGAAAACAAATAGTAATTGACTCACACTTTCACAAGCACTGTCTCTCCTGAACTTCTCAAGGCAGTAAGCAAGGCAAACCTCGGTGCCACTGTTTTGGAGATCAAGAAATGGAAGCTTAGATTGTTGAGGGACTTGCCCACAGTTCCATGGTATCACCTTATAACTTATAGAAAAAGCAATGAAATCTCAGATTTTTTCTAATATCTAAGCAGTGCTGTCTTCCCCACCCCCCACCCCCTTTTGTTTTTTGAGACGGAGTCTCACTCTGTCTCCCAGGATGGAGTATAATGGCATGGTCTCGGCTTGCTGCAACCTCCACCTCCCAGGTTCAAGGGGTTCTCCCACCTCAGCCTCCCTAGTAGCTGGGACTACAGACACAGGCCACCACACCCAGCTAATTTTTGTATTTTTAGTAGAGACATGGTTTCACTATGTTGGCCAGGCTGGTCTCAAACTCCTGACCTCGTGATCCACCCGCCTCAGCTTCCCAAAGTGCTGGGGTTACAGGCGTGAGCCACCACTCCCGGCCTCTCTTCCCCCTTTCTATGTGAACACATGTACTTTTATTAAATCATTTTGATTATTTTCTATTAATAATTCACATTTATATGAATCACAGAATTCAAGATTACTATATAGTCCCTAGAAATTGCTTTATTACTCACTATATTTATGAAGGCTCCTAGTAAATCTCCATGATGATATTTGGAGAGTCTCTGATATATTCAAAGTTGTCCTGTTTTTATACTGAAGGCAGCCGACACTGATCCAGTCAATGAAATCGTGATTCTCTAAGAATGAATATTTGGATTTTTTTTTTCTTTTCATAAGGTTGCGTGTCTTTGGTGTTCAGGCAGGTAGATGCCACATTGCTTTATTAAATTGGTGTAATGGAGCATGGATTTTTTTATATTGTCATATGCAGTGATAATCTAAAATTCTAGAGCTATGATTCATCTCTGAGGATGTTTTACTCATATTGCACAATAACCAAAAAGTATTTAGACCTCAAACAGCGGGTTAACTGGGCATGGCCCTGTCCTTGTACAGTTTGCATGCTGTTATTTTTACAGATGTTCTCCTCAGTTCCCACCTTAATTCAGGTCAGGGGAGTTAATGGGAAATGAAACTGCATCTCCTCTACTTCCCTCCTTCCTGCACGGTTGACTTGAATTATAAACCAACAGCTATGCTCTGCCGGTTGATAACTGAGTTGTTTACCACCTCAACCAGAAGATGCAACGATTAGCTGTTTTTTTCTGGCTTTAGAAAAAGGTTACCTCGTAAATAGATGAGGAGACAATCTGCATATCTGCCCCATCTTACCTTTGACTTAGATACCTACTTCCCTACTGAAACAATAAACCAGTCTCTGGCTGTTGCTGCAGAAGAATCTGCTACAGAAATATCTGTCACACTTTAAAATTGTTTCCCACACACCAAACAAGCTCAACCGCTCTTCTCTTGTTCCAAAACAAAAGCCTTATCCTGTAGGACTCTTTCAACAAAAACCAATGAAGAACACCTTTACTTTTTCAAGTAAAACTAAAAATAATGATCACAAAACAAAAACTTGCTCTTTATATTTATTCAACTTCCTCTAGCCGCCCCCTACATTAAACCAAGTGTTTGAGAAGAGTTTCAAGAAATCTTAACTTCAGAAGGAGTTTTAGGAAGTTCCTATTGCAATCTCTGATTAACGTGGAAATCCATTCTCTTGATAAATACTTCCACTAACAAAGAGGCCTCTCTTTAAAAGATTGTCCATTCCTTTTCTGGAGAGTTCTAAAAGAGGATAATCAAAAGGAAAGACCCTTCTTTCACTGGAATTTATGTCTTAGTAAGTGTTCATTTCAGATATATTCACAAGTAAAAAGAGAGTAAACTCTAAGACTCAAAAATGGGCCATTTCTATGAAATAAGGACACAACAGATCGAAGCTGAAAGATTTGATCAACCTTATCAATTGTTGAAAGACAAGTCTTATAGAAGGAAGCTCGGCCAACTCCAAAACTGACTCCTTTCCAATGCTTAGTGATCATCTGGACACACTTGTGGAATGTGACATTTTGGTCTAACACAAGCACAGAATAACATGTAGCATATACCCAAATGAAATGAATCACTAGCGAACGGATCCTTAAAGTCTACAAAAACCAACCACAGGGCTGTAATGAAAGAAAGTGATGACAGACAAGTTATAACATACAGCCAGCCAAATTCCGAACACAGTATTTTGGCTGACTAGTCTTGGACATGGGAAGAATTATGCTGTTCAATTTACAACTTATTAAAGAGGGAAAGAAGTCATCGATACAGATGGTTGGTTCTATATCAAAGAAGACTAGGAGAGGTGATATTACAGAGCTTCTATAGAGCAAACTGTCAAGCAGTACTTAACTCACTTTTCCCCATAACTAATCATTAGAAAAGAATGAATTTTCAAAAGGTTAAAAAAAAATTGCAGTGTTCTTAGTAAGCCATGGTTTTGCTCACTTATCTGCAAAAGCCTGGACATGCTGATAGAGTCAGCTTCATTCCTTAGGCAAGGCAATAATTACTTTTTCACATGGTGCATGTTCTCTGCAAGCAGTTGCTCACGACATGTGGAATGAAATGCCTTTGTTAGGGGGTGGGGAGAGTTTATCATAATGTTTTATGCTAGTAGATGAAATCTGCCCCTAAATATAACATAAAAACTACTTTTGATTTACCAGAAGGAACACATGGTACCTTAAGTACAGTCTATGAATATTTTGAACAGTAAGCCTCAAATAGGTAACAGAAGTGTCAAGCATGAGACCAAGAGTCATCTGGGCCTAAATGGACTTTGAAGTTGGTTTTATTACACCATAAATGAAGTAATGTTCACTGTTGCTTTCAGTTGCTGTAGTAGAAGAGCCAGAAGTCTTGCGTTGTGGTCCCTATTTTGCTCTTAATCATGTGTGCCTGATTTTGGATAACCTTTCAGAGGCATAAGCTGGCTTATCTATAGAAAGAAGAAAGCTGCATTAAAGTATCTCCAAGATTCATTCAAAAATGAATGAATATCATAGAAAAAAAATATTCTATGATTTTTATCTTCTTGGATGGATAACATCACCACCCAGCAGTGGAGAAGAGAAGACATCAGGAATTCTCCTAAGCCTTTGGCCTATGGAGGTCTCCTGGATAATATAGTTCAGAAGAGAAATAGGATGTTAGTCCCCTGACGCCCACATGGGTGTGAATTAATCATCCCACCACTGAGCCATTTGTGACCTTAGAAAAGACTATTAAATTCCTTTCACTTTTATCCATTTGTAAGTGGCAATAACCCGTCCAACCAACCCGCAGCCCAACCAGACCTCATTTATAAAAATTAATTAGATAACATCTTAGGTTTCCTAGTCCATGGAAGTAAATGTTCTAAAAATGTAACTATTAGGTTGGTGCAAAAGTAAATGCAGTGTTTGCCATTTAAAAGTAATGGCGAATTATCCTCAGCAAACTAACGCAGGAACAGAAAACCAAAAACCACATGTTCTCCTTTATAAGTGGGAGCTGAACAATGAGAATACATGGACACAGGGAGGGGAACAACACTTACTGGGACTTGTTGGAGGAGGGCAGAGGTGGGAGAGCATTAGGGAAAACAGCTCATGCACATGGGGCTTAATACCTAGGTGACAGGTTGACAGGTGCAGCAAACCACCCTGGCACACGTTTACCTATGTAACAAACCTGCACATCCTGCACATGTACCCCAGAACTTTAAAAATTTATATAAATAAATAAATAAAAGTAATAGCAAAAACTGAGATTACTTTTGCATGAACCTAATAATGTTTATTTTTAAAAACAATACATGTAACTAGCAACCTCTTGTGCTGTCATGTATAAGCTTTTAAAAAGAATATTTTGAGTGCACTTTGACGCATGATTTAATTACCACTTTTCTTTACAACCATGAAGCTTCTCACTTTTGTTCTGAATGTACAAGCTGTTCATCAGAATAAGTTGCCGGCTTGGGCCACTTCCTTTTCTCTACAGAAGGATTTCGCATGGCGAGCTGGAATTTCCTTTATTTAAGATGCTTGAAAAATCTGGAATGGTCTCATTGATTTATTTCTGGAGTGGGAGTGTCCAACCTAAAGTGTCTCTTCAGCATGTCCGTAATTTCTATTTCACATATGAAAAGTTAACGCCAAGCAGTTGCTCAGCACATGCTAATCAAAATTTCACAGATATAAAGCCCTGAGTTAGGAACATCCAGATGTATTTCAAAACTGGGTAAAGTGCCCCAGCACATCTCCAGGGTAGCTACGTATATGGTGGGTGGCCACTGGGCTTTAACTGGTGAGTAAAGACTAGCATGAAGGACTCTATGGAAGATTCCATTGAACTTTGCAAGACTCTAGCGAACCATACAATTTCCTTCCTTCTGTTTCAGTTGACTCATCAATCCATAAGGAGTACCCATTTATGTAGAATTTTAATATTTCAGAGTGACAAATTATGCCTCTCCTATTAACATAGCCAGGACAAGATATGAAGCCACCGCTGATTTTTTTATTCAATATTAATTCTACCAGCTATTTTTCACCTTTAAAAATCCAACCATAACACAGACCCGAAAATAGATGATTCAGGCCTCTTGTTTTTAATACATTCTGTGGGGGAGTTTTTGGTTAATTTCCCAGAGGTTCACAAAACTAAAAAAATCCTTCCCCATACTAGTTTTAGGAGGAGCCAGCCCAAAAATTTCCTCACGACCCTGAGTTAACTGAGTTATTTCTGGATGTGAAAAATAAATCTGAACATTGTAGTAGAGGGAACCCTAGGGTGATCTTCCCTTAAGACTTTGGAGTTCTCTTCAGAAGTAAGGAGGCAAAAGTAGACGGGGTCGGGGGGCCAGAGTTGAGAGGCAAGTCACAAATGAGTTAGACCTAACACTCAAAAGGAGAAATTAAAGAAAGTAAATTTCTGTTTTCGCTCTGGAATAGGGAAGAGCGAGGAGTCATTGTCTCTGAGTCTTCAAGTTTAGGAAGGACCTTGACACAGGGCGATCGGAAGGAGATGGACTGCACCTCCCTGAGGACGTGTCAGCAGGAAGGAGACACAAAATTACAATACTGGGGGCTTGCATTAGGCACCGAGAAGCGTTTCATGACAGTGAGGGCTGTTAAACACTGGAATGAGGTACCAAGGGACCTTGGGCAATCTCCATTCTTGGCAGGTTGAGAAATTAGATCCTTATCTGCTGGAATCAAAGCTATGGGGAGAGAATTGGGCAACCTCAAGAGACCCCTTTCAAGCCTAAGAATCTCTACCCCGCCACAGTCGGAGGAAAGTCGATAATTTAAAAATGAAGAAAGTTCTCCACTGACTTGCTTATACATTTCCTTTTTCTGTCAAAACGAGAAATTTTTTTTTCTTTTCTGAGAGGATGTATATCCTGAGGAAATTATTATTTTTTATTTGCTTTTGATAAAAATAGTGCCAACCACTTCTGGGTTTTTTGCAGAGCTCACAGGTGGGGGTGAAGAAAGCCTTTGGCAATGCCTGCAATAATAGCTCAATATGAGTCCTCCAAGAGGTCTTCATTAAGGGAGGCCTGAGAGGGCAGAGCCACTCAGTGCTACAGTTTGCAAAAATCCTTAGGATGTTGGCCTGTGTGGCTCCTAAAAAAAAAAAGAAAAAAAAAACCCAGCTGCAGGGGGGATTTGTTTTCATAGGGCAGCTACTTGAGGGGTTTGGTCACTGCTGCTGAACCACAACATTCTGAGTATTGGGGAAAGGATACACTTACATTCAATACGAGTGCTTCTAAGAAAATCGCACTTTTCTTATAAGCTTCCGGATAAGAATTGTGCAAGGACAGTTGTATTGCATCAAAACATGTGGTTTTCACACGCATTGCTGTGCAGATCACAGGATTTTTGCACCTGACAAGAACATCTTGGGGGGAGGACCAAGAAAGAAATTTGAACCCCTCAGCAGACTTCTCTTGATCCGCCCCTTTCACTGTTCCCATACCTTTAGACCAGCCGTGCTAGATTTTGTTAAGTAAAAATGGAGACCCTGACTGCAGAAAGCGATACAGCCATTCCAGCAAGGAAGGACAGGAATCCATTTTGTCTCTTTTAAAATACAGAGTTAATAGTAACTTCAAGATCGTTTCTGCAGCCTTTTCTGAGAGAAGCTGAAGCAAGTGCTCTTAGGGAGTGATTATTATCTGTTCTCTCGGTTGTTGTTTTGGGTACAATATGTAGTTTTCCCCTGGCAACTGGAAAATTATGTTGTGGCAGGAAGGACATCATTCTGCCTGTCTTGAAATGCTTTTCCCAAGAGATCTCAAGCTGAGGCTGTGTTGATAAAACACACATATAGAGAAAAGAAAATATCTTCCTTCCTTACTTCTTCTCTCTTTCTTATCGTTACACATCTTTGGAAGGGAATAAACTAAATATAGAAATAAAGGACAAGAAAATTGAATGAACACCTAACTTGAAATAGGCAGCTTCTGTCCATGCAGCGAGTGGGCTACATTATTGCAATTTCTATAAAACTGTTTCAGCACCAAATGGAAATTGGCCCATGTGCAGATTGGGGCAGCTTTCTGCAATTGAACCAATTGAACTTTTTCGAAATTGTACATATACGCACATCCGAAAGCTCTATACAACTGACTGTGTTGTAGCTAAGGACTGGTGAAATCCCCAAGGGAACCAGTGATACTCTTTCTAGGTCTTTCTAACTCTCAAAAGTTGTGTTTTAAACACTTTCTCACATCTTCCTACGAATGACTTCACTGTTTTATTTGTTGTGCTTACTGGTAACCAAAAATTATTTCAAGGTTCTATCCCAAACTCCCCTACATTTCTGGTGGCTTTGAAGTTACTCCAACGATTCTCTGTTCAGAAAGGTGGCTCCCACTTATCTGTGATTAGAGCATTTTGTGAACAAACGAGGCTGTAGAAATGAGTGCAGTGACGTAAATTCCTACACATGTTTTGGGCAAATAAGTTTATCTGACATAAATTGTTCTCCTTTCCTCCTCTGAGACCCTGGAACAAGCAGAGGAAAGGGTCTAGGCATTGAACTCCGGTGCACCTGTGATTAAACTTCAACTTGCCATGTCTGAGCTGTGTAACTTTAAGCAAATTGCTTACCCTTTCTGAGCGTTAGGTTCCTCATCTGTCAAATGAAGGTTCAAGTCTCATCCTTACAAGATTATTGTGAAGATTAACTGAGATGATACATATGATGCATGTGGTGTAGAACAGGTACCTGGTGCTATTGATGTTATCCTTTGGTCCATTAGTAAGAACATGTCCCAAACCCAAGCTTGTATCAAGTCCCTTAGAAGAAATTGAAAAGAAGACTCACAAGAATACAAAGGGAAGGATAGATACTGATATTAACAAAATAGGCTCGAAAAAATCCTAAAAAGTGAGTTCCCTATTTTTCTATCTACCTTCCTGGTCTCTTTCTTTACCTCCTGAATAGTTTGCATGGGTTCCCAGATGCGGACACTGGTTTAACCTCAGCAAGTTGTAACTCTCATTAAAGTGATTCAACTGTTCTGCTCTTTGCTTCCAGAATAATTAAGAATAGCAATGTCCAGATGCTCTCCTAACCAGTTCCCACATTAGCATCTTCCCCGTTCTCTGAAAAAAAAAAAAAAAAAAAAAAAAGGTGACCTTTTGACCTGATTCATTGGGAAGGCTGTTGTGAACTTCCTGGGTCAGAGTCGCCTGGGGTCAGTTACATTAATAGCCATCTAAACCTTCCTCTAAACCTTCCTGGGAATTGTAAAAACCTCCCAGATCCATGACAATAATGAGCTTTAAGCGTCCTTCTTCTCATTTCCAAAAGATTGAGGAATTTGGGCTTTACCCAGTAAGCCTGCATTGCACTTTGTCTTCTGACTCCATCAATTTATCATGCAGCATTGGATAATCCAAGAGTTTGTTAAATTCTCTATTTCTACAAAATATTTCCCATTGATTAAATTGTTCATTGAAACCAAGTCTGTCTTCAGAAAGAGTTCTACTGAGACTATATTGATCAGTCTCCAGAGTAATGAGTATATCTACTGAGCACATGCTTCATAGCTGACATGGTTCTAACAACATTCGCTAAATTCACCCTCCTAACGTTCTGTGAAGCAAGTGCTTGTGATACAGATAAGGGAAACTGAGGAATTGAAAGTCACAGAGTCACTGAATGGTGGGATGGGGAACAAACTCAGGCTGTCTGAACTCACTCTGATATCCTGCAAAGCAGTTACTAGCACAAACTCTTTCAATTGCTTATGATGGACAGTGCACTGATACTTTAGAGAAACTGAAATGAAACATGAAAAATACGGTTTTGGTTGATGTTTTTCCTAAGAAATGAGGATGAGGTTACTTCACTTTAATATTACACCTACGTTTAATTAGAATGAATGCAAAACTGATGAAAATTCTAGATTTTTCAGAAAGAAGCCTTTTTTTTCTGTTTGAGCCAAATCACTATAATGTCTATTTCCAAAAGCCAATAGTGAAAAAGTTCTCCCCAAAGTGAAGAGATCCTATAGAAATTTAAAACCATAATTAGGAACAAACCATAGCGGTCATTTCTATTTGCTGTGGCAGCTATTCAACTGCAGTATACGGATTTCATCTCCACCTAGAAAAAGTGAGTTCTAGTGTCTTACTGCTTTGAGGAAACCAGTGAGATGGGAGAGTTCCCTGACCCCCTTGTGGGACCTGCGACAGTGGGGTGGGGGGCGGCTCATTTTGCTCAGCAGAGCTTAAACCCCTTGTGGGAGGAGGAGCATGCAGGTGAGCGGGTGAAAGAGCCAGGGTGAGTGTCTTTAGGCGCCAGCAGGAACGAACCCTGTACTGGTCCACAGCAGCCTCTAGGGGTTGCCCCCGACCTCTGGAGCCCCAGAGGGCATGTGTTGCAAACAATTCTCTTTTAGTATTTGCCGTCCACGGATGGCTAAGTGTTAACCAGCTCAGTGGAGAATCACGGTGGCATACACCCTGCCCTCTTGGTACCCTGATTCTTGTCCAGCATCCAGGAAGAATCAGGTCACACGGACTTGAAGGATGGTGAATGCAGAGGTTTTACTGAGTGATGGAGGTGGCTCTTAGCGGAGGGGAGCTGGAAAGATGATGGTGCCGAAAGAAGGTGATCTTTTCCTGAAGCGCGGCTGGAGTCATGCCTTCTGAAGTTAAGCCACCTCTATCCATAGTCTCTAACACTCAGTTGCTCCTTCTCCTCTCCATGTTCAGCTGCTTGACTATCTGACAGCTGAGGTCTGGGATTTATATGGGCACAAGATGGTGGGGAAGGGACAAGGAGAACCAAAAAAGTAACATTTGGGCTGAAAAACAAGGATAACCGTTCTCATTTAGGGCCGCGGTTTCCAGGCCTGAGGGTGAGGACTTTGCCGGGGAACCACCCTCTTCTACCCAGTATTTCCCCACCTCCTGTCCATATCACTAGTATGGGAATTGTATGGAAAATTTTAAGCCTCTATTAAGTTGGCAAAGCGATTTAAAAATCAAGTCCTAAGCACTGAATTTTCCCAGGCTTTGTCTTGTTCTGGCTGACCGACTACCTGTGATCTAACAACTCTCCTTGTGAGCCACAGAAGCTCTCTATGACATTTTCAGTGAGGGTGCCTGAACCTCGGATGGATAACCAGTGCAACTAAAGATTTAAGGGCATTTCCTTTTTGTCTGTTTGTTTGTTCGTTTTGAGACAGAGTCTCACTTTGTTACCCAGGCTGGAGTGCAGTGGTGTGATCTTGGCTCACTGCAACCTCCGCCTCCCAGGTTCAAGGGATTCTCCTGCCTCACCCTCCCGAGTAGCTGGGATTACAGGCATGTGCCACTACACCTGGCTAATTTTTGTATTTTTAGGAGACACGGGATTTCACCATATTGGCCAGGCTGATCACGAAGTCCTGGCCTCCAGTGATCACCTGCCTCAGCCTTCCAAAGGGCTGAAATTATGGGTGCTTCAAGGACATTTCTGATGTGCTGAATACGCCTATGGAAGAAGGCATTCCTGGATCCTAATAAATAATGAATATTTATTTTAAATGAATTACTCATCTGCAGTGTTGAAGTTGAGCTTGAACAGTGCTAGCTATCAGTTTGTGTTCAGTAGGTTAAAAATCCCCCTCAAAATGTCCTGGTATCTTCAAGTGTGGCTATACTAGATCCATGCTTAAGGTCTGCCCTCTGTGTGCAGTCTAAGAGTGCATTGTTTTTTCTCCTCTGCTTTTAAAAGTCATGCACATGCTTTTAAAAGTACATGTAGAAAGTACGTCAAATAACAAATATTCCAGCCATAAATTCCATTTTCGATATTTAACCCATGCTGGTGAATATAAATTTAGTATTTTTCACATATATCTTGTACCATATAGTACCAGTTGTTTAACAACAATTTGATATTGTTAAATAACAGTGTATTGTGAATATTTTGTCATGTTATTAAATATTCTTCTATTTCACATTTTAATGACTGACCTATGTCCTATCACATGAACATGCCTCAATTTTATTTCACAAACCCACTATAAGTGGATGTACTTGTTATTTATTGTGTATAATAAATTAGCCCAAATTTAACAGCTTAAAGCAGCAAGCATTTATGATCTCACAGTTTCTGTGGGTCAGAAATCCAAGAACAGCTTAGCTGGGTCCTCCAGCTCAGGGTACCTCACAAGGCTGCAGTGCAGGTGCTGGCTGGGGCTGTTGTCATCTGAAGGCTCAAACCGGGAAGGATCTGCTTCTGGGTTCACTCACGTTCCATTGGCAAGCTTCAAGTCTTCACTGTCTTTTGGCTAGAGACATCAAGTCCTTGTCATGTGGGCCACCCCATAAGGCTGTTTACAACATAGGATGTGCCTTTCCTCAGATGAGGATTCCAAGAGACAGAATGTGAGAGAAGATACCCCTAATGGAAGGTGCAGTCTTTTCATATCTTCATCTTGAAAATGGCATACCATGATTTTTGCCATATTCTAGCTGGTAGACAATAGTAACTAAGGCTTGTCCACATTCAAGTGAAGAGGACCATATACCAAGGCATACATACTGGAGACAGGGATCACAGAGGACCAGCTTAAAAACAGACCACCATAGTGGGCATTGAGGTAACACATACATGCATGCACAGTTCGGACACTAATAAAAGGGAAATATTTTTCTGAGTAGCTTAGAGGAAGTGACCAGTTGAAGTTTTCAAGACCTGATGTTTCAGCCATTAAATGAAAACAGCAGAAAACTCATAATGGCATTTTTCAAGTCAGCTTGGAACCTGAGCCAGAAAAATCACCTGTCAATAGACTATTTTGTGGACATTTTCCAGTGTGGTGGTGGATTTAAAGACGTAAGTTCTGCACCACTTCACTTGTATCTTCCCCCTAAACAAAGCGTTCATCACACCAGCCAGGGGGCTCATGTCTTCATCGGGCCATCTTGGCAATGGGAGAACAGCCTGTGTAGCCTGGCATTGAGCTTTCCCATGGCCCAAATGCAGGCTTTTCCAGTCTTCTCTCTACACAGTCTGTCTGGTCCATGCCAATGATAGAGGCAGGAGGCAGAGAACTCTCCTAGGCAGACAGGGGAAGGTCCCTGGAGAACCTCCAACCTGCCAAGGTCATTGTGCACAGGGAGCTTGCCTAAACATGCCCGTGGTGAAAAATTTCATCCCTTAACACATGCACAGTAAGGGAAATAAATCAGTATGAAGTGGCTCAGACTAAGGTCCCACATGTGCACTGAAAGGACAGGGTGGCGCCTCCAGGAATTCATGCCTTATACACATAGGGAACCCAGCCCCATCACCAGATATGTAAAAGCCCTTGTAGTCAACTGTGAACGGGCTACCAAGAACCTTCTTTCAGGACCCTCTCTTTGCTGAGAGCTTTCCTTTCACTTAATAATTCTATTCCACTCATTCTCCAGTGTCCACGTGCCCAATTCTTCCTGGTCGTGAGACAAGAACCCCAACCTAACTGAGCTAAGGAGCAGAAAAACTGCACCACCAACACTAAAAACAATGTCTTAGTATTCTCTTTCTCTCCACCTATTTGTATCTTATCCATCCTCTGAGTTCATCCCAAATTAGCAAAAACCTCCATTCTACTTTATCTCTGTCACAACTCCTAAAATTGTTCCAGCAATCACTCAAGTATGTACTATGGTTAGAGGACTCCGGAACTCAGAAGACTGGAAGAGTAAGACTCCAGACAGTGAACAGAGTAACAGAAAGAGAAACAGTAATATCCACATAAACAAGAGTGGCTTATGCAGCAATGACAGCATGCCCAGTACCACCTGGGAGAGGCATTGAGCTGATAAAGCGTTTGAGAAGAGCTCATCTTAAAACAACAGGAAACGCTCAGTGAGGCTCAGGAATGAGGAAAGCAAAATATCCAAGAACGAAATATTCATGGTCAAGATGAAGCCCTAGACCTGGACTGAATCATTGATCACTAAGAGGAGCTGGCCCTGGTCACAATGGAGAAATATTGAAATATTAGATGTAAAAGAACACATATCTGAACATAACATATGTAATCAACCACATGTTTCTATGTTCTTTAATCAGATAAATGTTTGGCTCTGAGAAGAGCCAAACACTTATTTTTCTAAATTGCTAAAGTGAAAAATCTCTGTTGAATCCAAAACACTGACTCTGTTAGAAGTCATCTTCTAGGAGTCCAGGCACAGAGAAGTGAGTTACATAAATGGCCCCAGAACACCTCCATCAAGCTGTGACTCTCACTCTTCCCTGTCAGTTCCTCTGCAATGTAAATCCATCCATATGGAGGCACGACTGACTGTACATGACTGGGGAGAAGCAAACAAGGTAGCCCCTCGGTCCCTGTATTGCTTAGAAGAATAGCAACAGCTCAAGAGCTGATTAAGTGCAACTACTGCAAGCAATCATAGAAGCGTGTTGACTTCTCTTCAGTCCCTGGACGTGTAAGACCATCCAGATTTGCCTGAGGACTGCAGGATTTCTGAAGATGGCCCCCACATCTGGAAGCTCTTTTTCCTGAAGGCCTTTCAGAAACCCCCACAGCTATGGGACAGAGTTCTCCATCCTGTGTGTATTTCTTGTCTACCTTCTATTTTTATAGCACTATGTTGGGTACCATGAGAAAAGCAAAAAAGAATCAACTAGAGTCCTTGTCATAGTGCTTATCATCCCGCTGACAAAACAAAACACATTAACCTTCAAAATGAAGTGGCCCAGCCTGAGCAATGTGATGAAACCCCGTCTCTACCAAAAAAATACAAAAATTAGCTGGGTGTGGAGATGTACGCCTGTAGTCCCAGCTACTTGGGAGGCTGAGGTGGGAGAATTGCTTGAGCCTGGGAGGCAGAGGTTATAGTGAGCTGAAATCGTGCCACTGCACTCCAGCCTGGATGACAGAGTAAGACCCCACATTAAAAAAAAAAAAAATGATGTGGCATAGGCTGCAGTGTACGATTAAGTACTGAAAGAGTAGGTGATCCATCAACGGGGTGCCATGTTGTTAACCTGCACTCTAGTCTGCTGGCCACACCTCAGCGCACAATGACATGAGTCAGGATGCAGGTACACTAGGGCTAAAATCAACCCGAGGCATTTATATGTGTATAAGCAACTGAGAAAAGCAGCTAACAGAAAATGGAGGGGAGCCCAGGAATGAGGGGGAGCACCCTACCCACTTCTACCTCCCACCTATAGGATGCTAGTGCCTTGATTTCCCCTAAGTGCAGCCCTTTGTTGGGTAAGACTCTCTCATCTCTTTTCATCCCCCACCTCGTTACAGCAAAGAGTGTTATTTAAGTTCTTTTTATTTTTTTCTCAGTGTATTTCAGTTCTGCTTCTTGCCTTGTTCTAGCTTAAACTCATTAAACATAATTTAAAATATTTTACCTTGCCTCTTTATTCATTTAGTTCTTCAAAGTTTCCCTTCCCCACTTGTGTTTTATTATCACCTCTGCATTCTAATCATGTTCCCAGCTGCAAATATCATCACACAACCTTGTTTTAGCGATAGGTTTCCTTTTCTTTTATCCTCTAATTGGAACTTACCTTCAAAATCTTCCAAGATTCCTTCCTGCAGGCCCCTAGTTTTATTACTAGCCAGCGTTCCCTCGGATTCACACCCTGTCATGTTAAATCTTTCTCCCTTCAGGAAGCCAAACACTGGCTTTTCCTTTAAGCTTCTCTCTCTGTTCCATTACTCATTTCTTAGAAAGACCTGTTTTAGAACCCGAGGTTTACTGTAAAATGTACAGCTAAGTTGTGATGAAAACCAGCTTGTTTCTATAGGATGAAATAATACAGAGTTCACCTTGACTCAACCATGTAGTTAGATACCTAGGAAAGAGGGTTGAAAGCAAAAAGAACAAAGTTGCTGTTAAAAAAAGAAAGAAAGAAAGAAAAGAAACTTACATTTGATTATAATGGTGCCCTATGTTATTTTTTTCTAAATAAGAAATTAAAAATAGAAATGTGTTTGTTCCATGATTCTTTAGTGAGCAGTAGCTGGTTGGCAAGGAACAATTGGCTATTGAACTCTCCACATAAAGATAGACAAGCATGAGCATGTCAGCCCCAGACTCAAGGAAAGGCCATAAATGACTGTCTCCTGTGAGAGGCCATCTTGGGAACAATGAGGAACTTGTCCTGGTCTGGACTAGCTAAGTGCCTTCCAGTAGTAGTGACTGCCAGGATGGGCTGTAGGAGCAACAAAGAGGGAGTCAATCTTCTCAGTTATTCTGTTGGAATTTCCTTATGCTGAGAAAATGAGCTGGGAATCTATCCTGAGGAGGCAACTTTGCTGCAGTCAGAATTAAATATTCAGAAAAGCAGAGAGGGAAGGACTAGTCTATGACATGAATTCTAAGAAATTCCTGAAAATGGGGAAGGAGTGGGCCTAAGTGCTAACTGATTTTGCAATTGCACTTACCCGGAACCAGATATATTCTAACCATTTGAGATTTCAGAGTCTGAAAACTTGACACAAAATAATCATTGGGTATTTATGTATGTATGTATGTATGTATTTATATTCATTTAGAGATAGAGTCTGGCTCTGTGGCCCAGGCTAGAGTGCAGTGGCATATTCCTAGCTCACTGCAGCCTCAAACTTCTGAGCTCCGGCCTCAGCCTTCCAAGTAGCTGGGACTATAAGTGCATACTACTATGCTCGGCTGATTTTTAAATTTTTTGTAGAGATGGGAGTCTTGCTATGCTGCCCAGCCTGGTCTTGAACACCTGGGATGAAGTGATCCTCCCAGCTCAGCCTCTCAAAGCAGTGGGATTCCAGGTGCAATCCACCACTCCTAACTCGATATTCTTTAACCATTATAAACAATTTCCCTTTAATAATTGTGTGAACTCAGAAGGAAAATAGAGTGCTGAAAAGCTCATAAGTCATAGAAAGAAATTCATCGGTAGTATTAATGGAGGTGCAAAAGCCCCAAATTAGTGGGAAATAGTGTGAGCTACTGAACTGTGATGCCAACCATCATAGAAAACTTTCTGAACTAAGTGGCAGGGCTTCCATATCTCAGGGCATCACTTGGATCCTTTCTAACCACACTAACCCAGACCCTGTTTCTGTCATGGAATTAGCATGCAGTGGTGGTCTTATGAAAGCCATAGTCAGCTTGTTTAGATTCTCTTTCTTGACCATTGGAATCACAGAAAAGAAACTTACACATAGTGGCTGTTTGACAAATAAGTATGAATGACTGGATTTTTCATCAGCATCATAAACTAGCCAGTGTTTTGTTTTGTGTCCAGATGGCTGTATTTTGTTAGACTGTACTAACAGTTCTAAAGAATGCAATGATTCCACCAAAGGCTGTGATTCTGTGAAGTGAAACTCCAAGAATGCATCACTCATTCCAGCATTCAACCAGGCATCGTTTCTGTTCTTACAGATTCTCACAGGGTGTCAGGGGTTTGGCCATCTAGAAGTAGAAGACCTCTGTGCTAGGACTGCAAGAAGATCCAGTCTCAGAAGCAGAGGAGATGGACAAAGAGCTCAGCAATGTGTGATGCTCTAGGCAAGCAGTTGGCAATGAGATTCAAGGCAAAGAGGGGAGACCAGGCACAGTTGCTCATGCCTGTAATCCCAGCACTTTGGGATGCTGGGGCCAGGAGTTTGAGACCAGCCTGGGCAACATAGCAAGACACCATCTCTACAAAAAAAAATTAAAATTAGCAGGGCATGTTGGTGCACACCTGTAGTCTTGGATACTCGGGAGGCTGAGGCCAGAGGATCACTTGAGCCCAGAGTTCAAGGCTGCAGTGAGCTGTGACTGCAGCACCACACTCCAGCTTGGGGTCAGAGCAAGACCCTATCGCTTAAAAAAAAAAGGCAAAACAGGAAGTGCCCCAAGAGTGAAAAACCTCAGGGTGGAAATTTCTATGCATTACTGTCACAAAAATAAAAAGGCAAGCCATAGACTGGGAGAAAATATTTGCAAAAAGTATCAAATAAAAGACATACCTAGAAAATAGAAACAATTCTCATTATTCAATAATGAGACCAAAGACTGAATTTTTTTAAATAAGCAAAAGATTTGAACAGATACTTTACCAAAGGGGTTATACAGATGGCATTTTAGGTACATGAATACATAGTCTTTAGTCATCGGGGAAATGCAAATTAAAACCACAATGAGATACCACACCACTCCCACCCACTGGAATGGCCAAAATTAAAAAGACTGATCTATGAAGTAATAACAAAAATGTGGAGAAACTGAAATTGTCACATACTGCTAATGGGAATGTACAATGGTGAAACCACTTTGGAAAACAGTTCAACAGTTTCTTACACAGTTAAAGATACACCCACCGAATGATAAGGTCTAATGGTTAGAATCTTGAGTGGAGAAATGTAATTGTATAACCACACAAAGAATTGATTGACCAATGTTCATAGTAGCTTTATTTGTAATAGCCAAAACTAGAAATAATCCAATGTTCAGCAATAGGTCAATGGATAAACAATTGCAGAATATTCATACAGTGGCATGCTATCCAATGAGAAAAAGGAAATGGACTATGGATACACATAACCATATGAATCAATCTCAAAATAATTATATCAATGAAAAAAATCAGACAAAATAAAGAGTACATCTTGTATGATTCGTTTATATGAAATTTTAGAAAATGCAAATTTACCTACAATGATAAAAAGTATTAGGTTGGTGCAAAAGTAATTACATTTTTTTGCCTTTTTTTTTTTTTTTTTTTTTTTTTTTTTGGCAAAAACCGCAATTACTTTTGCACCAACCTAATAGATCAGTGGTTCCCTCGAGGGAGAGGTGAGGGGAAAGAGAGAGAACACAGGGGCATCAGGAAACTTGGGGAAGATGAAAATGTTCTTTATCTTGGTTGCGCTGATGCCTTCATGAGTGTATATATATATAAGGACAAAATTTATCAAATTTTATACTTTATACATGGGCAGCTTTTTGTACTTCAATTGTACACAATGTAATATTTTTTTTAAAGAAATGGAACATGTCTTCAGACTCTCCATTATTAAACCACAAAATCTAAAGTTGTTTTAATTCAAAAGTTCCAGTGTAAACTCACATGAAATATGAAATCATTATTGAGATCTGAAAAAATAGTTAAATTAATCTACTATGCCACAGAATATAGGAGCTATCTGAGTCCATTTATATTTACATGATGAATTAGATGAAAGGAGTGTTTGGATGGAGCGAGAGACAACAAATTAAAACTTGGTTCACAACAGTGAACCAGGCAAATGACCTAACCTGTAAAGACCTGGGTTAAGACTCCAGCACCACTGATTGATTGCAAGCTAAGGGAGCTTTACCAATTATCTCAACATCTATGGAGTCAAAGAGTTTTAATATAATTATAATATAATCTAAAAATGTCTACAACATAGGTGGTACTGAGGCTCAAATGAGAAAATAAATGTGAAAGTTTTTATAAAACTTTAAAGCAGCTGGGTGGCTCATGCCTATAATCCCAGCACTTTGGGAGGCTGAGGTGGTTGGATTACTTGAGTTCAGGAGTTCAAGACCAGCCTGGGCTGCATGGGCAGAGAGACCTCATTTCTACCAAAAATACTAAAAATTAGCCAGATATGGTGGTGCACACCTGTAGTCCCAGCTACTTGGGAGGCTAAGGCCAGGGGATTGCTTTAGCCAGGGAGGCAGAGGTTGCAGTGAGCCAAGATCGTGCCACTACATGCCAGCCTGGGCAACAGAGTGAGACCCCATCTCAAAATAGAAGAAGGAGAAGAAGGAGAAGGAGAAGGAGAAGAAGACAAAAACCTTTAAAACATATAAGAATGCAAACCAAAAAAATTCTAAGCCCCCCAACCAACCAAATGGATCTCCCTTTTGGCAAAAATGATTCCAAAGAAACCTGAAAAACTAATTTAGACCATGATCGGAAGTGGGGGGCCGTTGGACATGGCTCATTATATTCTCCCCCTTTTAAAGATCTGAATAGCAAGCATTTGCCATCTATTGTATCTAAGGGCTGCAACCTACGAGACTTCATCTACATAATAAAAACCTTGGTTTCTACAGCCCGTTATCTTAACCCAGACACTCTTTTCTATTGATTCCCAGTCTTTAGATAATAACTTAACTCTTTAAACCAATTGCTAATCAGAAAATCTTTAAATCTACCTATGACCTGGAAGCCCTTTTCCTCACCACCTCCCCCACAGCTCCACATTGTCTTGCCTTTCCAGACCAAACCAATATGTACCTCACATGTACTGATTGATATCTTATGTCTCCCTAAAACATATAAAACCAGGCTGTAACCCAACCACCTTGGGCACATGTTCTCAGGACCTCTTGAGGTTGTGTCACAGATCATGGTCCTTACATTTAGCTCAGAATAAATCTCTTTAAATATTTTACAAAGTTTGGCTATTTTCATCAACAAGAATTAACAACCATATTCTGATTATAATAATTACTGTATGCCTGACAGCATCCTGAGAACTTTTCCTCATGCAATCTTTCCAACATCCTTCTTGAAAAAATTCCATGACTTCTCCTCCACTGTGGACCAGCACAAAAGGGCTTCTGAGAGTTTTGGTAATTTGCTATGGGCATAAATCTAATGCCTTGTGGAGCTGTGGCTTTCTGAGACCCAGGTCTTGCATACTTCACAGGCCATAATTGTGAGCATTACATGACTGTCTTCTCCTCTGATTTATGTATGAAGGGACTCCAAATATATAAGAAGATGCTACCACACCCTGGGAGATTGGATTCCCCACTGCGCTGGCTTTCTCAAGCTCTGTGAAATGTGATGTTGGCTGGAACTTATCATGAAGAGCTTTGCTGTAAAACAGATCTGGGGTAAAGTGGGTCTTAAAAATCCTTTCTCTATACATCCATGTAGATAGAGACCATCTCCATTAACAGAAGAGGGAATGATGCCATTCTTATAAAGAAGCTGTACTGTGGGCACATTTATTCCTAAGTTGATAGTAGCTATTTTAACTATGAAAAGGATCTGCCCAGATGAAAGAGGGGCTGCCTGTGGAGCACAGCTGGATGGGGGAAGCAAGGTTTTCTGCTGGGACACCTGGCTTTGTTTATCAGGGGCTTTATTGAGACTTCTCTGTTTCATCACCCCATTCATTTCCTACCCATTCTTCTATATCTCTGCTTTTCTTTTGCAAACGTTTTTCACCTCTCCTCTTCTGCGTCTTACTGTCACAATGATCACTCACTGATAATTTAATCAAATGTGTCTAACGTCTTGAACTGACAAGTGAAATAGTCTCACAAAAATAAAATGGGGAAATGAAAATGAATAGTAGCTTAAAATGATATCTAGCCAACTTTCAATTTCCCCGTTACACTGACAGAAACAGAGAACACAGTAGCAAGAAGATACTCCAAAGAAATTACTTAAAATATCACTTTACCTCTCTCCCTAATCACCTGTTTAGCAAATGATAATACCTAATTTATTAAACTGTTACTTCATGAGTTTCAAAATGGGCAAATAATTAATATGAGATAAAGGGAGAAAATAAGCAAAAAGAGATATAAGACAATTTATATGCTACACTATGCTATAAACATACTATGTTATGTATAATTATACATATTTAATATATAATTTTCATTATATATCACAGATAATTACATTTCATATATTATATGCTAATATGTGACATATTATGGTATAGAATAATTATATTATGTATCAAATGTGTGTGTGATATGTATTTATGTACTTTTAGTCTGAAGAGTAAAATTGCATCATAAAGATTCTTACTGAATTTCCTTGATTTGGTAAAATCACGTATTCAAGTGCATATGTTCCAAAGTGCTGTTCTGTTGATATAATAGGAAAAAAAACCCTATTATCACAAAGGAATTGGGCTGTGTGTACAGTTAACTCCAAATCATTATTTTACCCTATATAGCATTATTTTTGAGATTTGACACAATTTTCCAGAGGAAAAATTTTAAATGCAAGAATTAGATCTTACCCTTTAGGACAACCTGCTTGCTGTCTCCCAGACAGTGTATCTTATTTCACATGTGCCCTGTATATTATGGAATTGCCTCCCTTGGAAAAACAACCAGAAAGCCCCAGAAGCACGTGGTAGAGGTAGTCAGGTTCATCTCCAAGTAACAAAGGAAGCTGAGACCTGGGTTAATAAAACAAGCCCAATTTAGTCTGCTCTTGTTTGGAAATTTCACCTTCAAAGGTGTTTTCTGGCTTGAGTTAGATTTAAGTTTCTGGGTATAAGTAGTGGAAGTTGTTTAGATATCCAGCATTTAGTAGACTCCTTTGTGTATTTGAGGAATTCCCTAATTAGGTCTTTGTATTAGTCTATTTTCATGAAGCTGATAAAGACAATTTACAAAAGAAAGAGAGGTTTAATCAACTTACAGTTCCACGTGGCTGAGGTAGCCTCACAATCTTGGCAGAAGGCAAGGAGGAGCAAGTCACATCTTACATGGATGGCAGCAGGCAAAGAGAGAGAGCTTGTGCAGGGGAACTTCTCTTTTTAAAAAACCATCAGATCTCATGAGACTTATTCACTATCACATGAACAGTACAGGAAAGACCCACTCCCATAATTCAGTCACCTCCCACCAGGTTCCTCCCATGACTCACGGGAATTGTGGGAGTTACAATTCAAGATGCGATTTGGGTGGGGACACAGCCAAACCATAGCAGTCTTTGTGGGAGATGAGACCTGCTCCCACTAGTGAAGCTAGAAGAAGTAGATTACCCCCTTTTTCCACCTCCCAGTCATAAAGTAGGCATTGTGGCCTGGGCTCAGCCAGTTTGGTTTTAAAACTGAAGCTGGTGATCAGAGTGGAGCAGGAGACATCAACTCTGGCAGCTGCAAAGCCCACACTGCCTGGCCTCAGGGGAAGCAGTGCTGAGGTCAGCAGCAGCCAGCTGCGGCCTGCTTAGCATGTGCTGGGCCTGGCCTTGACTGTGATTTCAGCTATCCAGCTTCTGTTGTTTTCTGCTTGTTCAGTTCCTGCATCTTTGCTCATCAGTATCATCCATTCAATTTCACTCTGGTTTAAGTCAAAGGGAGTTGGTTTCTCTTACTTAAAACCAAAAGCTCTGAAAGAATACTACAGATATATCTTTTTCACAAACCTGTGTTTTGTCCCAATGCAACATTTGTTTCCATAGTCTTATTTATTCTATGTAGAGCTAATCATAACTCAAACAGATTGTGGTCTGGGAGTAATATCTGAACTAATAAAAATACTGAATTACGCATTTTTTCTAAATGCAGTATTACTCCCTTCAAATGTATGAAATGATTGGAATGAGCTTATTCTAGTTCCTGGAGGAAAATTATGTTAAAAAAATTCATTAAAATGAGCTCTGTTTAGCAAATAAATGACTTGTTAACAAAGAGAGGCTCCTATGGTTTTAAGAGTAAGTTGAAAGTTTGGTATCTCAGGAAATTATAAATATCCAGTGGCCTATATTGTTTGTGATACTAATTGAGTAAACAGAACCTCAGACGCTGGGATTTGCCTTCAAGGAAATCAATGGGAAAGAAATCAAGATCGTCCCCATTTTCAAACTCTTCTTCTGGATTACGACTTTGGTTCCTTTGCTGAGGATGTGGAGATGTAGGAGAAGTAGGGGGATTCTTGTTTAAAATGAAGATATTCCTGGATAATTGATGTATGAGTAAAGTGTTAGGGGATTAAGTTGCTATTCATTATGAAAGTAAGTTAGAGGAAATGGGACATAAGAGAGCCATGTTTTGAAAGTAGAGTGCTGGGTAATAGCCAAGAGATAGTCCCAGCCTGGGGCCACAAAGGGACAGCGTGAAGACCATAAAGGAGAGATGGGGAAGCTGGGAGGGCAAGAAGACCTTCAAGTGGGGTGCGGAGGGGGGAACAAAAGGCTAACTATGACCTTCACTATTTTGTCCAGTTCAGTTCAGTTCTGTTGATGCCAGAATTCCTACCCATTCTGAAGCAGTGGAACTTAGTTAACAATAATTTGTTATGATGTGAAAAAGGCCCCATTCTGCATTTTAAGACAAGTTAATAAGGTGGGGTGCAATGACTCACACCTGTATTTCCCAGCACTTTGGGAAGCTAAGGTGGGAAGATCGCTTGAGCCCAGGAGTTTATGACCCGCCTGAGCAACACTGCGACACCCTATCTCTGCAAAAAATAAAAAATTAACTGGGTGTGGTGGTGCTTACTTGTCCCAGCTACTCAGGAGGCTGAAGCAGGAGGATATCCCTTGAGCCCAGGAGTTAGAGGCTTCAGTGAGCCATGACCATGCCACTGCTTTCCTGGGACACAGAGCAAGACCCTATCTCTCTTAAAAAAAAAAAAAAAAAAAAAAAAAAAGCAGTTTATAGGAAGATTGGTCTATCCCCTCAACTTTTTAAGGTAAGCTTTTTTTAATGTTCAACCTAAATATCCTTTTATTATCAATTTATTTTACCATTTAGGCCTCTAAATTGTGATTCAAATATGCTGGCATTTTGCCTCAGAAAAGAGCACATTTAGTCCCTGGGCTGGCCAAGAAATAAATAGTTGAGGTCTAGCTTGTTTCTGTTTATTGCTGCTATTGTTGCTGCTGCTACTTTACATTTTCGCCTCCTGAATCTATCCTTCCAGATCACTGATCATTTCTGAGACTCTTTCTGAAATTTGCTGCAATCTGTCAATATCTCCCCAGCCCTTTACAAATGTCTCTCATTTGTTTTTTCCCTTGACTCACCTGTTTTGTAAGAAATGAGGGAAGCTTGAATATGAGTGCCTGTCAAGCACAGAGACGCAGCAAGACTCTAGATGCTAGAAACATAACAAGCCAGATTCTCCCAGGGACTAACTGTGCTCCCTGAAGTGAAGCTCATGTCGCCTTACCTGAGAATGCGTAGACTCTCTGGTGGGTCAACGTCAGGTAAACACTGGTAGGATGATGTGAGGCTCTGTACGGCGTCCCATTGGGAAGGGGAAGTGGGACGACTCAAAATCTCCATGGTTCTTGGAAACTGCAACTTTAAGCAAAACGACAAATAATGAAACCGATTTGACCATAGGCTAATTGATAAAACAAGAGTTAAGAACCTATGGCCTATTTCTGATCACAAAAACATGACCGAACTTCCAAAAAGACCCAAAACACTTCTAATATTAAACATTGAAATAAATGTGAGCCATACTTAACATTTAAAAAAGATGAATCAAAACAAGTAACACAACGAGTTCCCCATTTATTCCAGTTCAGAGTCACGGGCAGTGCAGACTGGAAGACAGGGGCCTAGAGTTCAGTTACTCCTGCCTTGGCCTTTGCTGGGAATGAGATTATCAACCTTTCAGTGTTCTTATCCACCTCAGAGGGTGGCTGCAAAGATGCAAAAGATTATTTCAATATCTTTCTAAGCAAATATTGCCCAGTGGAAAGTGTAAGGGCTATGGCATCAGCAGACTTGAGTTTGAATCCCAGGCATTCTGTAGCTAAATGACTTCAGTCAAGATCTAAGCCTCTGCTTCTTTGTCTGTAGAACAGGGATAGTACCAGCATCATATGGTTTTTGTGAATATTAAATAAAATAATGTGTAAGGTGCCTGGCACATGTGAGGTACAAAATAAATGCTAGCTCTTTTTAAAATATAATTTCAACTTTTATTTTAGATTCAGAGGGTACATGTGCAGGTTTGTTACATGGGTATATTGTGTGATGCTGAGGTTTGGGGTTCAACTGATCCTGTCAACCAGGAACTAAGCATAGTATCCAATAGTTAGTTTGTCAACCCTTGTTCCCTTCTCCCTCCCCACCAAGTAGTCCCCAGTGTCTATTGTTGCTATTTTTATGTCCATGAGTATCCAATGTTTAGCTCCCACTTATGACTGAGAATATGTGGTATTTTTTTTCTGTTCCTGCTTTAATTCACTTAGGATAATGGCCTCCAGCTGTATCCATGTTGTCCCAAAGGACATGATTTCATTCTGTTTTATGGCTTTGTAGTATCCCATGGTGCATATGTACCACGTTTTCTTTATCCAATCCACTGTTGATGGGCACCTAGATCCATTCCATGTCTTTGTTATTGTGAATAGTAATGCCAGCTCTTTAATCCTTCTGTTCTCTCCCAAGTTGAAGTATTAAGAATTAATCTTGAGAATTAATGTTGCAGTTATTAAATGTTGTAATAAAGTATTAAAATAATGCTTCCAAAAATGTTCTGTAGGCTATAAAGAACAATATAAATATAAAACATTTTGAAAACTAACATACTAGTCGGGCACAGTGGCTCACACCTGTTATCACAGCACTTTGGAAGGTTGAGGTAGGAGGATCACTTGAGGCCAGGAGTTCAAGACCTGCCTGGACAACACAGTGAGACCCGATCCCTACAAAATCCTCCCCCCAAAAAAATTAAACCAAAACAAAAACCACTGTATCCTTTTTCATCTACCATCCTATCTCCTAGCCTCCCTTCCACAGAAAACCTAAGGAACTGTCAAAACTTACTGTCTGCTTCCTCACTTCCCATTTGGTCCTCAAGTAGCTGCCACTTTCACTACTCCCTGAACACCATTCTCACCTGTTTCCACCAATGACCCCCTAATTGCTAAGTGCTCTGGGTCTTTGACTTTATTTTAAGCCCTCCGCAGTGTTGATCAATGTTGGCCACCTCTCTTTTTTAAAGCATAATATTTTCTTTAGATAGACTGTATTCTCTACATTTTTCTCCTACCTCCTTTGACCTCTTAAAAATTCCCCTACTCTCCATTTCAATCTTATTTGAAGGTTCCTCTTCCTCTTCCCATTCCTTCAATGTTGATTCTGACATTACTCTGCCGTAGGCTCATTTCTCTTCTCACTCTCCACCTCTGTATCCTAGTGAGTATCCCATCTACTCACTAAGTTGCCCCGAGAAGCAGTGCCCATGTCTGTCTCAGGCACTGTTGCATCCGTAGACCCTTGAACCTCTGCTTAGTGAAGGTCCCAAGGGTGACTAGCTGGTAAAGGTAAAGAGAACTATGGGTCCAGGGGAGCAAAGGGCAGATGTTCAGCTCAGGAATGACCTGTGCTTCTGCAGCAGCGGGCACCCAGTGTGTTGGCTGCTAAATGAACCAAACAGAAAGAATTACAATCTGGGGAGCCCAAGTTCAGGGAGGCTTGCTGCAGCTTTGAGAAAAATGGGGTCATGGTGCTGGAAGGTCCAGGGCCCCCTCTGTATTAGTCCGTTCTTATGCTGCTAATGAAGACATACCTGAGACTGGGTAATTCATAAAGGAAAGAGATTTAATTGACTCACAGTTAGCTGAACTGTGGGGAGGCCTCAGGAAACTTACAATCATGGTGGAAAGGGAAGCAAACATGTCCTTCTTCACATGGTGGCAGGGAGAAGAAGAATGAGCAAAAGTGGAAAAATCCCCTTATAAATAATCAGATCTCTTGAGAACTCATTTACTATCATGAGAACAGCATGAGGGTAACTGCCCTCATGATTAAATGACCTCCCACTTGGTCACTCCCACAACACATGGGGATTATGGTAACTACAATTCAAGATGAGATTTCAGTGAGGACACAGCCAAACCATATCAACCTCTGTAGAGATCTGGGCCACTAAGACATCATTGCAGGATGGACAAGCATCACCTGTCAGCCTGCAGAAGACAGGCTTTCAACGGCAAGTCTCTGTGGCAATGAGATTTCAAGGCGGTCTGTCCAAACCTCCCCAGAGATTTTGCACAATTTAGCCTCTGGAGGGTAAAACTCAAGAGGAAGGTACTAGTCTTCCTATTCATAAAGCACATGAGCAATTATGTCATTCGTTGAAAAACACAAAAGAAACGAGATCTTATTTATACTTTAGTTGTGATGCCCAGTTCATAGCAGTCACCCTGGCTAAAATATCCTGATATTATATTTGTTTCTCAATACACATAATACTTATTATATTTATTTCTCTGCACCCAGAAGCCTCAGCAGGAAAGGGAGCTAACAGAATATGCATTCTCAGTGACAGCCTTTAAAATGAGTAGCAAATTTACAACTTGCTTGTATTTCTCATCGAGGTGCTCTGGCAAATATGTGCTCCCTTGAGAGCCCTGAAGGCAGCCAACACTTTGACATGCTCAGTAAATAATGAGCAAGCCCCTTACAGAATGTCATGCCATGTGATGGCTCCAGACACGCTACTTGCTAGGACGTGATGGAAACAACTTGCCGAAAGACCAGAGGCATTCAGTCCTGCTTCTATGGAGCTCCTGGCATCAATGTCACTCCTGAGCCTAGCTGAAACTGGAGCTAAAAGTGAAAGCAGACATCGTTCCTTCAAGAAAATGATGGAGCGTAGATGCATCCGATAGTTGGCATTCACATAGTAACATGTCTCTCAGGTAGAAGGTTCCCTAGTCTGTCTCAGGGGGTGCACATCTTCTTGCCTTCCTATTCCACTTAAAAGGCAACCTTACAATCAGTCACCATCTTTGGGACCCCAACAAAATGGGCAACTCTTGCCTTTCCCTTTTCCATCTCTCCTTTTCTCAAATTGCCCCTTCTCAACCAAATAATTTGGAGGAGCCACTGCTTAGCCCCTCACCAACAAAGCCTATGTCTAGACTTGCCCTGACACTCACATCCTACCCCCAACCCCACCTGTCTACACCAAATGTCATTGTCCACTTAGGTGAGTTTTCTCGGGAAATGAGTGCTTTGCTGTGCTCACTGGTTAATATGTGTATTTTTAATTTTTAAAACATCTCTCATAGGCCAGATGCAGTGGCTCACACTTGTAATCCCAGTATTTTGGGAGGCCAAGGTGGAAGAATTGCTTGAGGCCAGGAGTTTGAGACCAGCCTGGGCAACACAGCAAGATCCCATCTCTAAAAATAGAAAAAAAAATTAGCCAAGCCCAGTGTTAAACACCTGTAGTCCTAACTACTCAGGAGGCTGAGGCAGGAGGATTACTTGAACCCAGAAGTCCAAGACTGCAGTGAGCTATGATGGCACCACTGAACTCCAGCCTGGGTGACAGAGTGAGACTCTGTCTCAAACAAACAAACAAAAAAACTTTCACAGACATGTTTATACTAAAGTTTTGAGATATAAATCAGTGACCTACAAATGAGGGCTGAGTAGGTGGGAGGTAGAATAGAGTGACTCTAGGCCTCCTCAAGATGAACTGTGGTACTACAAAGATGGCTTCCTCTTTCCTCCACTGCTCAAACTCTCAAAAATCATATTGACTCACAAGTTAAAGTAACAATGTCTCATTAGAATTTGTTAAACATTAAACACAGACAGCCAACTACCTGCCTCCCAGATTATTCACAGGCAGTTCCAACTCAATACATCCTTATTTAAACTCATTTTCTACGTACTACCCTCCCCACCACACACATATAGACATGCACACTGTTACTAAAGTAACAATCTACTTCTCCTTCCCTTCAGACCTTCTCCCCACTCCTAAATGCCATTTGAAGAAAGATGGAAGAGAAAGACAACTCAAGATGAGGAAATACCCCTCTGAGTAAATCTGTACTTTGAAACAGGAAATATTTATTTTATAAAGATTATTTTTACTACAAGAGGCTGGGTTACCTTTAAATGAGTTGCACTTTTTTTTTTTTTTCCAATCAGGAATGGAGGGTACAGAACAGAAAAGGTCAATTATAAGAAACTTTCAATTTTCCCCTTCTATTACATGTTAATTTTCCACCTTATTTCAGAAAGAATTTTTTAAATGTAAAATACAGGGTAACAGACATTAAAAGTGGGGAGAATAGAAGAAAGAAAACACAGAGAGTAACACAAATGGACACAAATGGAGAGTGCTGATGACAGTGTGCATTTCATAATGAATTCTTCACTTAAAACTCCTGAGCTACAATGTAGGTTTATGTTTCCCAGCAGCTAATGATAAAAGTGTCCATGACATGAAAAACAAACCACTGCTTAGGAGAAGTGCGGCTTTCTCTTCAGGAAGTGGGAGGGTTCCTTCTAAGTAGGACAACGTTCTTATAACAGACTCATAACAATTTACATAGGACCATGTCTTACAGCAGCCTACTTCTTCTAGTACCCTCCTTTGCACCAAAACACCCTTCAGAAGAAGCGATCTTTTTAGGAGACCACTACAGTATAATGCAAACCTTCAGGCTCCAACTTCAGGCTCCCTTGTTCTAGGAGGTGAACTTTAGAATATCCTGTGAAATTCATGGACTTGGCATACATTGATTAGCTGAGTTGATCAATACTGTTCAATACCCCAAACAAACACTGAGTAATTAATAGTAAACACCACCTAGCAAGAGGCAAGAGCATAGCAGTCAATTACACCCATCTTCCATTGCGGATGAGCTGAGAGTTTCATTGTTATCTTTTTGTAGATCACCAAAAATGGGACACCACGCTCCCAAAGTTCTGGTAAAACAGTATGAACACAGATAGATTTTTAAATAAGTGGAACCAGGTGACCACTTCAGGAAACCAATCACAACAAAAGAATGTTTCATTCTGAGAAGGACTGCTTCCTCCTGTGCCTTCCAAAGTCAATGACTTGGAAATATGACCCAAGGAAAAAAATGAGGATACTTTTTGGCGAGGACGTCATCTATGAACCAGATTTTAAAAAGGAATAATACCCATCAAATAGAATAGTTTCAATTTTACATTTTTCTGATAATATCTAACTAATAGTTCCTTTGCTGTGGTAATCACAGTGATTCCATTTTTCCTCCTTCTGGGCAAATAACAGGATTACACTTTCCTGTCCCCTTGGAAGTTAGGCATGATGGTGTGACTTACTTTAGTCAATGAAATGAGAGGCAAACAATATGTCACCCCCAAATGGAAGATTTAAAAGCCAGTGTACAATTCTACGCAATCTCTTTTCCTCCCTTGGCAATCATTAAGATATAGAGGTGGAACTTTCTTTGGTCAAGGTCTCTGTATCAGGTCATGCAGAGAAGGCTTTCAACAACTACCCTATTCTGCCTCTCTATCGCACCTGCACCGGGCTACGTATTCACACAGCACACTGCTTCCTACTTGGCAGCCTTTGTATCCATTACACTGCCAGCCTGGAATGCCTTTTCCTCTCCTATTCCTTCAAAATCCACATAGATAACTCCTGCTTCTAGGACACAACTCCAGCCACCTCTTCCAGAAGGCATTCCTGAATCCTCATCCCATCCTTGACTGGCATTCGAGACACATTTTTTTTAAAACCTTAACTCCTTTTTTTATTTTGTATTTTATTTTTAATTTCCTGGGGGGTGGGTACATAGTAGGTGTATATATTTATAGGGTACATGGCTGCACACTGATTTAGTGTTGCTTATCAGCTTGAAATGATCTTCTCTCCCTCATCGGGTTTGGAGCTCTCTGAAGCAGAGACTGGCCTATTCAGAATCTTGGAATTCTCAGCTCCCAACTCAATACCTAGCATGTAATATGTGCTCAATAAATGTCTACTGGGTGAATAAATGACTGCCTTAATGAATGAGTGAATGAAAATGACTTTGTATTGTGAGAAAGGAGAGAAGTCTTGTCTCTAAGGGCCATGTAAGTATGAATATTAGATGTAAGTCTTTTTTTTTCTTCTTATGTCCAAGTTTACTACCCTTTTCAGAAAAGAAACTTCACTATGGGAAATTCATTGTTTAGGCTCTCTAAGTTTTGCATATTAACCTGAGTAAATTCTAGTGACAGCCCTGGAGCCTGTTTCAGTGTGGTGACATTAGGCAAACCCACTGAACACTCTATTTCTTCATCTGTTCAGTAGGAAAACAGATCCATGTATCTCTCTGACTCTAAGTGCCTCCCTCTACTGAAAAACAGCCCCAGATAACATTTTGAATTACAGGCACAAAGTAGTTGGTCAAGTAGCCTTTGAAATGGAGCCAAGGAACAAAATCCCAGAATAAATATCTGAAGTAGTGATGACATGTACTTCATGCCTCCAACCTAATGATAAAAATTAGGCTGGCCTTTCTCATAAAAAAACTAGTATACCAGCATTCTCCCCTCTGCTTGCAAAGGTCAAGGTTCAGGGTGTGAACAGTGTCTCTCCCATTATATTAATGTGTTCAGACACTGAAATGGCATTTCGAGCTGGTTTATAAAGAAATAGAAAAAGGTCAGGAATTCGTTATCTTCATTATTGCCCCGTTTATACAACAAACAACCATGGGCGCTCTTCCCTATTCAAGTTGCTTAGTGACAAGAGCATCACCTTCTCTCTTTTCAATAAAATATATTAAAAAGCAACCTTTTTAGGTCAAACTTTCTCAATGTCTCAAGAAATGAGAAACCACTTGCAAAACAATTGAAGATCTTTCTAAGGGTAACATGAGCTTTATTTTTGCTGATAGATCTTTTTGAGGGAGGATGGGGGCTATTGCACATTTCATATTCTTAGGATAAATATGGGTGTGAAATAAGCTCTGGTCGTAGACACCTGCTTGGCTGCAGTCATCTTTGGGAGGCTAAGTAAAGGACAAAAGAAATGTTGGATTTTCTCTCAAGATGAAATGCTGCATTCTGAATTAGCCCAGTGGAGAAATCCAGCTGGAAGGAGTACCACAGTGTTACAGGTATTCCTGATGCATCACTATCAGGAAACAAATGCCAATATAGACCATATCCTTGCAAGAATGAGCTCATTGTCACACTGGGATGCCCTCCAAGAGAGCAAGATTGAAAACTCCCAGGCACCATTCTTCTCCAGCAAGATGTTAAGAGGAAGAATAATGCTACCTGGCACGGAGGGAAAATATGATGCTTATTCACAATGACAAGGGAATCAGCTAGTGGTTCACAATTTTTCTGAATCATTATTTTATAGATGAGCTTACAGAGATTCTAAGCAGTCCCAGAATCTGACACAGCGGGACTGGAGTCTGATTCATGGGCTGGCCTAGCCATGCATACGTTCAGAAGGACAATCAGACCCTACAGCCTAGAAAAGCCAGGAGCAACTGTGTGGTTCCTTGCCCAACCCTTTTTTAAATTTTTACTTTTTGAGACAGGGCCTTGCACTGTCACCTGGGCTGGAGTATGGTGGCACAATCATGGCTCACTGCAGCCTTGAACTCCTTGGGCTCAAGTGATCCTCCTGCCTCAGCTTCCTGAATAGCTGGGACTACAGGTGTGCACTACCATACCTGGCTAATATTTTAATTTTTGGCAGAGTTGGGGTCTTAGTCTGTTGCCCCAGCTGATCTCAAGCTCCTGGCCTCAAGTGATCCTCCAGCTTCGGCTTCCCAAAGGGCTGGGTTTACAAGTATGAGCCACCATGCCTAGCCCTCACCCCTTCTGATAGTGGTTCAACAATGTGAAGAAGCCAATTGCCAGATGCCTTTGAAGAAAGGAAAGAACGTGCGGTTTCTAGAACATGCACTTTCAGAATATTTCACTAGATCTCTTAGCTTATGGTATCCCATGGTGAGAGGCTGAGATTCAAAATATGGCTAATAGCAGAGAAAAACAAGAGCAGTGAGACGGGGGGAGGGCGTGGGCTTCATTTTTATTCAGACATCTGCTTATTGTCTTAACTCCTCCCAGAAAAGTCTGCACCAAGAGATGGGCTCTCCCTTACAGACCCCCAGCACTGAGGAAATAGTTTGCACTGAGTTGGTCATGGTGTAGATAACTTGGCTTTCATTAGGGCCCAGGAGTGAATAAGGATCGGCAACTCTGCCTGCTTAGTTCACAAACTACACCTCTCTCGCCTCTCTCAGCACCACCAACTGCCCTATAGCAATCATTTAAAAGCCAATCAGAATCTACCCTGCAGCTACCTTTTATCCCCTCGGCTGTTAATTCCCCAGGCTGTCTCCAGCAAATAACCTCAGCTCACCAGTTTATCCTACGTGCGCAGCGAGTAGCATTCAGTGTTGAACGTCCACATTGGAAAGCTTATGAAAACACACACAACAATGCGCACATCTGTAACTGATGTATAGTGGATCATGGTCCATTACATAGAATTCCCACTTAGGTTTTCCACGTTAAAATCTTGGGGAAGCAGGGCCGGTGGTTCACGCTTATAATCCCAGCACTTTGGGAGGCTGAGATGGGAGGATCGCTTAAAACTAGGAGTTCAAGACCAGCCTGTGCAAGGTAATGAGACCTTGTCGCTGCAAAAAATAAAAAATCAGCTGGTCATGGTAGAGTGTGCCTGTAGTCCCAGCTACTCAGAGGCTGAGGCAGGAGGATTGCCATTGCACTCCAGCCTGCATGACCCTGTCTCAAAAAAGAAAAAAAAACACAAAGTCTTGGGGAGATAGTGGCAGTGCAAAAGTCATTTGCAAAAGAACATTTTTTTCATTCAGAATCTCTCAAGCCTATCAGAATTTGCCTGCTTTTGCAAGAAAAAGATTCATTTTGCTCAGATTCATCTCATTGTTAAATAAATCTTCTCTTTTCTTTCTTTCTTATTCTAAAGTGGCCCCAATCTCCTCTTTCTCCCTGATCTGTTTTTAAGAAGTAGATCATCAACCTAACAGCCACATTTGAAATGCATCCATAAGGTATGAAGGGAGCATTCAGAAATATAAATTCTCTAAATAAAAGTGTCAAGCTCCCAGTAAAATAAGATGGATTTATTTTTCTTTTGTATATCTACAGCGTAATTTGTTTCCACCATTTGAAGTCTTGTTCAGAATACCAGATTCAAGGTTTCTTCCTAGCAGAAAACATTAGCCTAATTCCTCCACTTAAAATGATTTAACTTCCCTGCAGATGTCCTAAGCAGGCTTGGGGTATGTTCAGAGGCTCTCAGCAAATTAGCTATAGTCATGTCCTGAGATGAGTAGACCCTTTGAACGCTTAAAGCAGATTATTTAAGAGAAAGAAGGGAAGCAGACCAGCACTAGAATAATAATGTTTAAAACCCTCTCCAGTCATTTGTAATACAGCAAAATCTTCATTTAAAGAATGCTTTATTGTTTCACAGATGCAGATATACCAAAGGTCATAGTGTGTCTCCAAAAACAACTGTCTGCAGTAAAGGCTAAATGTAATGCACTTTGGCCATGAGGTATATGTTAATGCCATCTCTCAGATTCTGTTCAAAAGAGATCCCATTTATTCAAATTCAATAGCAGGGTCTGGTGCCCTGGGCCTCCATTCACAAGCTGGAAGGAATACGGGTCCTTCCATTTTTTTTCTTTTAAGTTATCAGAAGATGATCATACTATGTAATCAACAAGCTATTGAAAGAAGCCAAGCATTTCTGTAAATTAAGTTTAATGCTGTAATCAAATAAAACTTACAGTGGTATTTTAGGGTACATACTTCATGAGTGTATATCACAGTAATTAAGGATAAAACTGGTGAGTTTATGCAAATGAATTTAATTAGTATCACGTTTATGTAAGAATTGGGTTTGGCTGCTGGTGACAAAGAATCCAAAACAAAAGAGATATAAAAAGGATAGATATTTATTTCTCTCACACATAAAAGGATTCTGGTGAGAAGATTTAACTCTCCTCCCAGGCACAGAGAAATGGTGGTTTCTAAGTTTCCGAAATCCATCCACATCTGTTAAGAGGAAAATTTGAACACAGCACGGGGCTCACTGAGTAGAGTGACCAACTGACCTGGTTTGCCTGGGACTGTCCCATTTTAGCACTGAGAGGCTACATCCAGGGAAAATCCTCAGACTGGGGGACCGTCACCCCACCACCAAGGGCCTCCCCACAGTCAAGGGAACAAGACACATCTGGCAGGGTGTCTTCGCTTAAGGTCCCCCTGTCCTGGTCCACACCTGGTGTTAGCTCTTGTCAACTCAGCTAGACCCTGCATCTAGTCGTGCCTCCTCCACCACCTACTCAACAAATACTTGTTAAACACCCATTTTATCCAGGTCCAGGTCCACCTCACACTGCACCGTCTTCCTAATGGAATTTGGTTCACCAGGGACACGAGATGCCATCTCCTTGCATAATGTCCTTTTCCTCTTTCCTCCATGGGAATTCAGGTCACCAGGAACTGAAAAGGAGAAAGAGACCATGAGAACTCTATCTGAACAACAGAAGGCAAAACCCAAAGTCCTCAACTGTCATAATATTTGAAAACTATTGTGGATGAATAAGAAGTGACTTTAAAAGATTTCCACAATATATTGTTAAGTGGGAAAAAAATCAATTTATAGAATAACAGGAGGAGTATGATCCCAGTCTACAAAAATATTTATGTATGTATGTATGTATTTTAAAAGCATATTGATAGAAAGACAGACTGTTGCCTCTGAGTTTTGGACCAAGGGAGGAGCAGCTGTGATGGGGAGGAGGAGTCCCATTCAAAAGCCCCTGTGGTAAGATGCCACCTTACCCCCATCACAATGGCCATTATTTAAAAGTCAAAAAATAATAGATGTTGGCACAGATTTGATGAAAAGGGAAAGCGAATACAATGTTAGTGGGAATGTAAATTAGTACAACCTCTGTGGAAAACGGTCTGGAGATTTCTCAAAGAGCAAAAAGTATATCTACCATTCAATCCAGCAATCCCGTTACTGGACATCTACTCAAAGAAAGATAAATCATTATATTAAAAAGACACCTGCATGCAAATGTCTATTGCAGCACAATTCACAATTGCAAAGATGTGGAATCACCTAAATGCCCATAAACTGATGAGTGCACAAAGAAAATGTGGTGTGTACACACACACACACTGTATTAGTCAGCTCTCATGCTGCTAATAAAGACATACCTGAGACTGGGTAATTTATAGAGGAAAGAGGTTTAATTGACTCACAGTTCCACATGGCTGGGGAGGCCTCACAATCATGGCAGAAGGCAAAAGAGAAGCAAAGTCACATCTTGCATGGCGGCAGGCAAGAAGATATGTGCAGGGGAACCCCCCTTCATAAAGCCATCAGATCTTGTGAGACTTATTCACAGCCACGAGAACAGCATGGGAAAGACCCGCCCCCATGATTAAATTGCCTCCCAATGAGACCTTCCCATGACACGTGGGAATTATGGGAGCTACAATTCAAGATGATATTTGAGTGGGGACACAGCCAAACCATATCACATACACACACACACACACACACACACACACACACACACACACACACCATGGAATACTACTCAGCCATTTAAAAAAAAGAGGAAAATAATGTCTTTTGCAGAAACTTGGATGGATCTGGAGGCCATCATCCTAAGTGAGGCAACTCAGGAATGGAAAACCAAATACCACATGCTCTCACTTACACATGGGAGCTAACCTTTGGGTACACAGGGGCATACAGAGATATAATGGGCTTTGGAGACTCAGAAGGGGGAAGTGTGGGAGGGGGATAAGGGATGAAAAATTATTATGTACAATGTTCACTGTTCGGGTGATGGGTACACTGAAAGCCCAGACTCCACCACCATACAATGCGTTCATGTAATCAAAAACCACCTTTACTCCTAAAGCTATTGAAATAAAGCAAAAAAAAAATTTTAACAATTCAATTTTGATAAGATTAAAAAGCAAAACAAAAAGCTATTGAGAAGGCAGAATGGAAGGACTTGGTGGATTTGATGTAGAGACTAAGGAAGAAGGAGCAGTCAGATGTTGGGCAGCCTGGGTGGATGGAGAACAGAGGTACAGTTAAGAAAAACAAGGATTGAGAGGGAGGTGGAAGGGGGCAGGAGAGCGATGGCTTTCCTTTGAAACATGTGGGACTTTAGAAGGCTGTGGGCCTTTTGGGTCAAGATCTCCAATGTACAATCAGGAATACAGAACTGGAGCTCAGAGGAGAGGGAGTTCTGGAAATGCAGATTTTAAAATCAGCCACCTGGCTGGGTGCAGTGGCTCACGCCTGTAATCCCAACACTTTGGGAAGCCAAGGTGGGTGGATCACCCGAGGTCAGGAGTTCAAGGACAGCCTGACCAACAAGGCGAAACCCTGTCTCTACTAAAAATAAAAAATTAGCCTGGCGTGGTGGCACATACCTGTAATTCCAGCTACTTGGGAGGCTGAGGCAGGAGAATCACTTGAACCCGGGAAGCAGAGGTTGGAATAAGCCAAGATCACACCACTGCACTCCAGCCTGGGCGACAGAGCAAGACTCCATCTCAAAAAATAAAAATAAATAAATAAAAACAAAATCACTCACCTCAACCTAAGAGTCAAAGCCGCAGGAACACATGAAAAACACCAGCCAAACAGGCATGATGGCTCACACCTGCAATCCCAGCACTTAGGGAGGCTGAGGCAGGAAGATCACTTGAGCCCAGGAGTTTGAGACCAGCCTGGGCAATGTAGTGAGACCCTGTCTTTACAAAAACAAAAATTAAAAATCACCCAGGCATGGTGGCGTGTGCCTGTAGTCCCAGCTACTTGGGAGGTGGAGGTGGAAGGATTGCTTGAGGACAGAAGTTCAAGACTAGCCTGGGTGACATAGGGAGACCTCATCTCCAAAAACAAACAAACACAACAAACAGCAGCTAGAGTATCAAAAAGAGGAGAAGAAAGTAAAAGTCAGAATGTTGAGAAACACCTACCCCGAGGCATCCCTCAGAGGAAGAAGAGGAGACAGAAATTAGGAACATTTAGGGCAGGAGCACGGAGACACTCCAGCAGACGGGGCCAAATAAATGAAAAATGGACAAGGAAGGAAGGAGAAGGAAAGCTCCACGTGACTGAATCTGTCCTAGGCTGGCCTCTCACTCTCTGGGCTCTGACGGTTTACAGTGACTGATGAGGGCTCTCATGGGTTCTCTAGAGATACCCTATGTGGGTGATGTTTTACCTTCGGTAAAGACAAGCCTGGGGCATTCCCTTCCTTGTCCTCTCTCCTCTCCTCTAATCTCACAGAGATAGAAAACCAGAGTGTCGGGGGATGTGGCTGGCAAATCAAAGCTCAAGTTGGAGAAAATCAAAGTCAACCACTCCCCTCCCTCTCAGCACCTACAATGGTAGGGAAAAGGGTATAGCTGTAACCTTGAATGAAGTGGCAAGTTTTGGTGATGTCTCTGAATGAGACATTAATTACTGATTAGAAGACTTCTCATTCCCTGAAGGTGACCATAAAAGTCATGGTGATCCAGGAGCAAGAGACTAATTAGCTCCACAGCACAAAGGAGCTATAGGAGACAAAAATAAAATGACTTAATAATTACACCCTGAAGCCATACTTGTTCAACATCGTGATTATAAAAGAATAAAGGTATTGGGACCACTGCTTTTCTCATGGGTAGCAGGATGTTGAACAGGACTTTTTCTGTTGTCTGGGAATTGTGGCCAAAAACCCAAGGTTGAAAACAGTAATACTAACGGCCCCTAAAGATAATTGACTTGGATGGAAGCCAGACACTTCTCCAAGGCTATTTGACCCTGCTACAATCAATCCACCATTTGCCCCCAGATCATATTTGCAAAAAACTAGTTGGAATTGGGAGTTGTTGACTTAGATGAAAGGTGCTGGGGCCTTTTCTCTCTCTTCCCCACTAGCAGGTGAAGGGGCAATGTACTCTTCAGTTTCTATTGCTTTCTAACAATTGGCACCAACTTAGTGGCTTAAAACAACATGAATTCACCAGCTCACGGCTCGGTAGCTAAGAAGTCCAGGCACCATGTAGCTGGGTTCTCGTTCAGGGTGCCACAAGGCTGGAACCAAGCTGTTGGCTGGCTGGGTTCACACCTGATGTTCCAAGTCCTCTTCCAGCTTCTTGTGGTTATTGGCAGAACTCAGTTCCTTGTAGCTATAGGACTGAGGTTTCCACTTCCTTGCTGACTGTCAGTCAGGGGCTGCTCTTAGAGGGCACCCACATTCCTCACCACATGACCCCTCCATCTTCAAAGCCAGCAAAGCTCCCAAGTTAAATGATTCTCATGCTTCAAATCCCTTTCCAGGAAGAGCCCAGCCCCTTTTTAGCACTTTCCTGATTAGGTCAGACCCACCCTCCGTAATATCCCTTTCTTTCTTTCTTTCTTTCTTTCTTTCTTTCTTTCTTTCTTTCTTTCTTTCTTTCTTTCTTTCTTTTTTTTTTCTTTTTCTTTTTTTTTTTTTTTTGAGACGGAGTCTCACTGTTTCACCAGGCTGGAGTGCAGTGGGGTGATCTCGGCTCACTGCAATCTCCACCTCCCAAGTTCAAGCGATTCTCCTGCCTCAGTCTCCCGAATAGGTAGGACTACAGGTGCGTGCCACCATGCCCAGCTAATTTTTGTATTTTTAGTAGAGATGGTGTTTCACCTTGTTGGCCAGGATGGTCTTGATCTCTTGACATTGTGATCCACTCACCTCAGCCTTCTAAAGTTCTGGGATTACAGGCATGAGTCACCACCCCCGACCAATAATATCCCTTTATTAAAGTCGACAGTGCCATATGTCAGGGACCTATTGCAGGAGCTGAGTCCATCATAATTGTAATCTTGGGGATTGTGCAAGGTGTCCACATCAGGGGCAGGCATCTTGGGGCTGGATTACAATTCTGCCTGACATGGGTATGCCCTCCCAAAAGCCACATACAGGGGGGCTCCAAAGGATCATTTGTGAAGAATAGGGGTGAAGGCAAGACTCACTGGCAGGCAGTCTTCAGGTGGACAGCCTCTGTTACAGCAGACCTGCTCCTCTGCTCTTCATGAAGAACAGAGGGCAGCAGTAACAAGGTCTACACCCCACCCCATGGCATGGCCAGGAGGTGAGAGCTGCCCTGGACATTGTAGAATGGGGAAAGCTCTGACCAGGCTTCCCAGGACAATACCTAAGCCACACTTGCTGTGAGCATGCCAGGGGGCATGGGGGCTGAGTGGTGCAGCCAGAAACATCAAGCCAGATGAGCTCCCCACATCAGCAAACTATACATGGGGAGGCAAGCACATCACCCTCCAAAGCACCCACCTGTGACCCACCTGGAGAGTCAGGTTTCTGATGCCTCCATCTACAGACATCAACAGCCAGGAAAGGCCGGGAGCAGTGGCTGAAGCCTGTAATCCCAGCACTTTGAGAGGCCTAGGTGAGCGGAACACTTGAGGTCAGGAGTTCAAGACCAGCCTGGTCAACATGGCGAATCCCCGTCTCTACTAAAAATACAATAATTAGCCGGGCATGGTGGCAGGTGTCTGTAGTCCCAGCTACTTGGGAGGCTAAGGCAGGAGAATTGCTTGAACCCGGGAGGTGGAGGTTGCAGTGAACCGAGATTGCCCCACTGCACTACAGCCTGGGCGACAAAGTGAGACTCCATCTAAAAAAAAAAAACAGCCGAGAGAGCTCCAACAACAGCAGCTAAATAAAAGCATTTGTCCCTTTTCTCTAATCACTTTGTTTCATGTCAACTACACAGCGGCTATAAGCAGAAGGTGAAAGAAATAAAAAAGCCAACCACTCCTCTCTCCTCTAGACAAGACTCTCCGTGCCTGGCAGCTCTTGGAGAAGGACATGAGCACTAATCTGACCAGAAATTTAAGTTTTGATCTGGACCCGACTGCATTTTATTTTATTTTTTTGAGACAGGCTCCCTCTGTCACCCAGGCTGGAGTGCAGTGGTGCAATCATAGCTCACTGCAGCCTCAAACTCCTGGGCTCAAGCAATCCTCCTACCTCAGCCTCTTGAGTGGCTGGGACTACAGGCATGAGCCACCGCGCCTGGTCCCCAACCGCATTATAACCGAGAAGCTGTGGGACCTATCATTAAGAGAAATGAAATGCAGATTCAACAGAACATATTGTAAGGTTGCATTTGGAGGAAAAATAAATACTTCTTGTGTGTTTCTCACTAAATTCATACCGTTTAATAAACCAATTACATTTACAAACATGCTGAACTCTCAACAGAGTGGTCTGAACTCTTGGGAGTAGACATAGTTCCAACTACCACAGAGAGTGGAAAAAAATTCAGAGTGGCCTTTCAACCAGAGCCCAGACACTGGAGTCTCAAAAATGTGTGCAAATGTACCGGGCACAGTGGCTCATGCCTATAATCCCAGCATTTTGGGAGGCCGAGGTAGGCGGATCACTTGAGGTCAGGAGTTCAAGACCAGCCTGGCCAACATGGTGAAACCCTGTCTCTACTAAAAATACAAAAATTAGTTGGGCGTGGTGGCTCGAGCCTATAATCCCAGCTACTAGGGAGGCTCAGACAGGAGAATCACTTGAACCTGAGAGGTGGAGGTTGCAGTGAGCCGAGATCCTGCCACTGCACTCCAGCCTGGGCAACAGAGCAAGACTCCATCTCAAAAAAAAAAATTGTGCAAAAGTGTGTGTGCACATCCATGAGTGTGTGTGAGACAGGGTGTGTTTGCATGTGAGCATGTGTGTGCAGAGTGAATATCAGGGTATCCACATGAGTGTGTGTGTGTATGAGGAACACATGAGATTGAACGTGTGTAATTGTATATCTCCAGTGACAGCACAGAGGAAGAGATGGTCCAAGACCAAAGAGGAAAGAAATGGCATAAGATGGGACAGTGTTCTATGATCTCTAACTGGCCAAAGAAAAATGAGAAACAAATTTAAAAGAAGACAGGTAAGTAAAGTAAGTTTAGCTGTAATTTGGATTCTCATTTAGGAACCAGGGTCTTAATCTAGAGGGAGAAGGAACTCAACATAATGTACTGTAATGGGGGTTTCCAGACTTGCTAACTTTATTCTCTCCCAAGCCATTTGTCTCTCTGTTAGTTTAATAATTTTCCACAGCTGCTGTGTAATATAACTACTGATGTACTACTGAGCCAATTTCTCCCAGCCAGTCCTACTGCCAGAGAAACTAATGGGAAGAGATAGCGCCAGGGTCTACCCTGCAAACCTGCAAGGGCTTGCAAATTGGGTCACAGTTTGCTCGTTGCTGAAGGGAACAGCACACACAGGCTGCCATCTCCATTTAATTTTTTTCTTTGTCTTGCAAACAGCAATATCTTTCTTTTGGAATTCTGAAGAAATCGATTGCTTTCATATTTCCCTGGCTCTTTAAGGAACAAAAAGCAAGTCCTGAAAAGTAAAGACATTCCTTTTAGGTCCAACTCACAGAAATTGTGGTGCAACAGCAGTGTTCGATTCCAGAAAGAGCAGGGATTCTATTTCTGTCAGTCTTATGTCTCCCTGAAACCATTTTACGATTATTTTGTGTCCTCTGTTTTCCCAGTTGGATGACTTAAACACCACCCCTGAGAGGCAGCTGTTTCCAGAATATTGCACAATTTATTGAGTTCATGAGAATCGTGATCGTTGGCAGCACCGAACTTCACGGAGGGAATCATAGGCACTTTAATTCCAATTTGTTGACTTATGGAGGAAGAAATTTCTCCCAGTGGTGTCCCTTCATCCAGGAACAAGAGCCATCAAAGTGTCACAGACTTAGAGCCGGAAGGGCTCTCCGCTAGTGTTTCTGCCAGTCCTCTTGGTTTTACACATGAGGAAACTGAGGCCCAGAGAAGTTACCCAGTAGCAGATCTGCAAGTCACCCAGTAGCAGATCTGCAAGGAGCTCTTAGCAATCCTGACTCCAAGTGTAATGCTCTTGCATTAGCTCTGTGCTGCCTCCTAGATGTTGGTCTTCTTAATGTTGATAGCACATTTGCTCAAATGTTTGCTAATATGGTTTGGCTGTGTCCTCACCCAAATCTCATCTTGAATTGTAGTTCCCATAATCCCCACTTGTCGTGGCAGGGACCCAGTGGGAGGTAATTTAATCATGGGTGTGGTTACCCTCATGCTGTTCTCATGATAGGGAGTGAAGTCTCACGAGATCTGATGGTTTTATAAACAAGAGTTCTCCTGCACAAGCTCTGTTGCCTGCTGCCATGTAAGAAGTCCCTTTGCTCTTCCTTCATCTTCCGCCATGATTGTGAGGCCTCCCCAGCCATAAGGAACCATGAGTTCATTAAACCTCTTTTTTTATAAATTACACAGTCTCCAGTATGTCTTTATTAGTAGCGTGAGAACAGACTAATACATTTGCCCTGCAAAACTTCCTTATTCTTAAGCAAAGTGATTTCCAAATTTTCTTCATTAGACACATAATTTAGAACTACGATTAACTAAACACTAACTGGGTGTCAATTACTGTACTATTTCCTGCACATGGACACATTTAGGGTCAAAGTACTGTACCAAGTATAATTTTCCTAGAAGCTATAAAATGTAGGGTATCAGTGAATGGAAAAAATAGAACATTAATTAATAAAAGAAATCTACTACAGAGAATCTTTTCCCCCTAAATATAACCATAGAGACTAGGCTGGTCATTATTTGCAGTTCACAAAAGAAAGAGGCTACAGAAATATTCACAGCTATTGAACGAGGTGGCTGGCAAGTGAATTTGGTGTAGGTGCATAAATTTGTGTGCTGGGGGTGTGTTATAAAAGAATAAAGTCTGGGTTCAGCTGGGTGATGGCAGGAAAAACAGGATCCCAGAAGGAGGCTGAAAGAGTTGGGAACAGATGGAATGACTGGCCTACATGTCAAGTCTCTTCAGCTGCCCACCTGGCCACAGAAAAGGCAAAGCTCTGCAAATGGATCATCTCGTTCTTACTGTAACACATAACAAGCAGTGGGCAACACAAACTCACCTGTGTCAATGGAAAGAGTTAAACTCTGTGACATATTTCAGAAGCTTTATTCTGAGTCAGATATGAGTGACCAAGGCCCGTGACACAGCCCCAAGAGGTCCTGAGAACATGTGCCCAAGGTGGTTGGGTTACAGCTTAATTTTATATCTTTTAGAGAGACAGAAGTTGTAGGCAGACATCAATTAATACATGTAAGGTGTACATTGGTTGGGTCTGGAAGCAGTTGTGGGGGACAGGCTGGGAGAGTGGGTATGGCTTCCAGGTCATAGTGGATTCAAAAATGTTCTGATTGCCAATCAGTTGAAAGCGTTAAGTTATTATCCAAAGACCTGGAATCAACAGAAAGGAAAGTCTTCTAGGTTAAGATAAGGGGTTGTGAAGACCAGGGATTTCATTATGCAAATGAAGCCTCTAGGCTGTAGAGAGAATAGAGAACAAATGTCTTTTATCAGACCTAAAAACTTGCCGAACCCTTAGTTAAATATCTCCCAGATGAGGTAAAGACCTAGAAAGGGAAGAGGATTCTCTACAGAATGTAGATTTCCTCACAAAAGACAGTTTTTCAGGGCCATTTAAAAAGATGTCAAAGAAATCTATTTTGGAGTAAAATACTTCAGTGTCTTTCAGGGCCTGCCATCTGTCCTATGATGCTATACTAGAGTCAGGTTGGAATTTGGTGTCTTCCCACTACAAAGAGTCTGCTTTGTCAGTCCTAAGATCTCTGTTTTAATGTTAACCCTGGTCAGTTGAGCCTGAATTCCAAAGGGAGGAGGGCATAAGGAGGTCTATCCAACAAGCCCCTCTTCCCATCACAGCTTGAACTAGTTTTTCAGGTTTACTTTGGAATGCCTCGGCCAAGAGGGAGATCCATTTAGTCATTCTGGAGGCTTAGAATTTTATTTTTGGTTTACACCTGTTATTTACCTTTTTTCTGCTACACTGGCAAAATAACCCCGTCTGCCCCTGAAAAAGGCTTCCTGGTAATCTCTCTCAGGAATCAGGGTGATTTCTCTAGTTGTTGGCGAGTTTGACAGATTGCAGGGGAAATGCTGCTTCATAATCCTGCTCCAGATGTGTTCTGACCCTAGAAGTGAACACCGAGAGCGTTCCGGTCCAACCCTACAGGAGACCAGGGAAGGAGCACCACCCAGAGAGAGAGTTCCGTACCTAAGTGCACCTTCATTTGGTATTTAAAAAAAAAAAAAAAAAAAAAAAAACAGCAAAGATGAAGGAATGTTGACAGGGCCACATGACATCAAACTAATCAGCAAGATCCCCCTCCAAGAAGTGTCTGAGTTCAAGGAATGAAAGTATTCTAATCAAACACAGAGCTTGAGAGGAGTATAAAAGACTTGGCAGAGAATCACTGAAGTAGGAAATTAATAAGGTTCAAACCTAGTGTTAAACAAGCCTTCTGAATTCCAAAATCCAACAAAGCATCTTTGGTTGTGTTCTGAAGTTAAAGAAACTATAGTCAAGGGTAACAAGAGGTAAGGGTCCCAGCTACAGGGGGCGGGGTGGGCCTTGGTTTGCTCAGTCCCCATTAAGCCAATGTTGGGGCAGGCAAAGACGGGATGAGATGAGAGAGGCTCCACCGTGCAAGCGTGAGGGCAGATCCTGCCTTTCTTTATGACGTTAATATTTTGTTCATCATGGATTTTTTCCCATTGACTTTTACATTTAAAAACATTTCACAGCTGGGTGCAGTGGCTCATGACTGTCATTCCAACACTTTGTGAAGCCAAGGTGGGTGAACTGATTGAGGCCTGGGCAATACAGAGAGACCCCATCTATACAAAAAACATATATAAATTAGCCAGGCATATGTATGCCTGTAGTCCCAGCTAATCTGGACTCTGAGGCTCTGGAGGATCCCTTGAGTCTGGGAGATGGAGGCTGCAGTGAGCCATGATTGTACCACTCCATTCCAGCCTGAGCAACAAAGTGAGGCTCTGCTTCAAAAATAAAAAAAAAAATTAAAAACACTAAAAAACTGACCAAAAAAAGACACAATATATATATATTTAAAAACCCACTTCATTTAAAATATAATTTATCTTGACTGCTGAGCTACTTTATGTCCCCTTAAATTTATTGTTCCCCATGAGTTCTCATTTGTTTCACTCTAGTCTCAGCCCCAGGAAAGAGGTTAATAGATGCAAGTGACAGATGTGAAAGATGGCGACAGAAAAGTCACCATCTCTTAAGGGTCCCCCAAGAAGATGTGGAGGTTTTAACCCCCAGTACCTTGGAATGTGACCTTATTTGGAAATAAGGTTATTGCAGATGTAATTAGTTAAGATGAAATCACACATGAGTAGGACACGCCCCTCATCCCACATGATTAGTGTCCTTATCAAAAGGGGAAATTTGGACACAGACATGCACCCAGGGAGAAGGCCATGTGAATATGAAGGCAGAGACTGGGGTGATGCTTCTATAAGAAAAGGAATCCCAAAGATCGCCAGCAAAGTGCCAGAAGCCACGAAATTAGCCGAGAATAGATTCTACCTCAGAGCCCACAATCCTGCAACAGCTTGATCTTGGACTTGGAGCCTCCAGAACTTTCAGACAATGAATGTCTGTTGTTGAAGCTGCTCAGTTCGTGGTTCTTTGTTATGGCAGTCCAAGGAAACTAACACACCATCCCTGGTCTTAAGGACAGACCGAGCACCTCTGTATCAACCAGCCCTACTTCAGCCCTGTAGCCAGGGAAGACCAAATCAGCTCTCAGCCCAGAGATAAGCACATCAACGCAAATACAGAGGCTATGAGGGCAGGGTGGGAGGGAAAAGCTTGCTCACTATGGGGAGGATGAGGCAGAGTTAGAACCAGGGCCATGATCACCATCAGAACACAACCACCTCATAAAAATGCCAGAGCCAGGCAGGTCAGGTGGACACACATCTCTGAGGATGGGTGGGTGATCAAAGCAAGTGGGAGCAAGAGAGAATGTAACATAGGACAGAAGAAATTTAGCATTGAGTAATCCTCTGGGACACAGCTGCTTCAACTTGAGACAGCCTATATGCATTTGACTGACTCTGTGCTTTTACAAGGCTCCTACTATGTGCTCAGCTCAGTAACAGTTGCTGTTATCAGAGTGTGTAAGAGTCAGGCATGGTGACTTATGCCTGTAATCCCAATGCTTTGGGAGGCTGAAGCAGGAGGATCACTTGAGGCCAGGGGTTCGAGACCAGCCTGGGCAACATAGCAAGATCCTATCAAGAAAGAAAGAGAAAGAGAGAGAGATAAAGAGAAAGAGGGTGAGAGAAAGAAAGAGAGAAGGAGAGAGAGGAAGGAAGGAGCTAGGGAGGGAGGGAGGGAGGGAGGAAGGAAGGAAGGAAGGAAGGAAGGAAGGAAGGAAGGAAGGAAGGAAAGAAGGGAGAGAGATAGAGAAACAGTGTGTGAGTATCAAAATGAGGGGGCAACACTGAACCCAAGCTAGATTGGGGCCATATCAGAACAAGAAGAAAAGGAGAGGTGTGAACAATGCTACTTCCTTGAGCTTGTCTTAAGGTTGGTCTATATGAAAAATTTGTCTTTGGTCTTTAAAAGGAAAAAAAAAAAAAACAGAAGAGATGGAGGAAGGAAGGAAAAAGAAGGAGAAAGGGAGAAAAGTCGTAAAAGCAGGAGAAAGAGTTGAAGGTCAGGTTCTTATTCCCCTGCATCTGATTTCGGACTTGGTCTCTACAGGAGCCAACTCCTGTTCACATTTCATTTTATTTTATTTATTTTTGAGACAGGTTCTCACTCTGTTGCCCAGGCTGGAGTGCAGTGGTATGATCTTGGCCCACTGCGACCTCCACTTCCTTGGTTCAGGCAATTCTCATGCCTGAGCCTCCCAAATAGCTGGAATTACAGGTGCCTGCCACCACGCCTGGCTAATTGTTGTATTTTTTGTAGAGACGGGGTTTCACCATGTTGGCCAGGCTAGTATCGAACTGCTGGGCTTAATTGATCTGCCTGACTCGGCCTCCCAAAGTGCTGGGATTACAGGTGTGAGCCACCACTCCCAGCCCTGTCCACATTTTAGATTCTTTTTCTGCCCTCCTGCTTGCACCAACTCTGAGGAGTAGGTGGATCTCCTTTGTGAAAACCTAAGCCTCATCAGCCAAGGTTGCTGTGTTAAAGATCAGTTCCCTTGCAAAGCACGACTTTTATCTTCTCTTGTGCACTCTGGATTCCAACTGCCCATGCAACAGGAAGAACAGGACTGGCTTCCACCTCAGGACAGGAGGCCTGGCCTCTCCTCTCTGGTGTCAAGGGGATTCTGGCTGGCCCAAACAACTGCCCTCGCCATGGGCAAAGGAGCCTTGACTGGTGGGTGCTGGTCATTGATACCAGGCAAGAATGAGATTAGGCATCACATGCTAAAGTGAATTCATTAGAGTCACTAATTTAACTTTCAAAAATCTCTTTTTCTCATCATTTTAAGGTTCCTCATTAACTACTTGAGGCTTGTTGCCTTTGGTTCCAATTTTTATCTTTACAACCAAAATGGTCCCTCTCTGTCCTGCTCCCTTTCCTAGGTCACTGGAGGGTGTAACCAATAGACTTTGCCTGGTGCTACGGTAGCAGGGCCCTGCCTATCATTTATTTTGGAGGGAAGGACAAGAGATAAAATAGGCAGAAATCCAGAGAAGAGGAAATAAAAGGCCAAACATTAGCTCCAGCCTAAAGCACATGGTGCAATCCAGCTTCTAGAGAGTTCTGTGCTGGGAAACAAGGTATTGGCAGGCAATTAACAAAGCCCACTTTGTTCCTCACTTGGCATAGATGCCATGAATTAGAACCTGGGCTAAATGACAAAATAAACTACTCATGCTGGTGTGATTCCTCAATCACAATTGACAGCTATTATTTAAATGAACATAGAAACATTTTTAAACGTTTCTGAAAAGTTAGTCTAAAACAGTCATTTTTTAAAATTGGATCAATGGCATCAGAATTTCCATTTCTGCCCACCCCACCCACTACCTCCTGCCACCAGATCAACTGAACTAGAATCTCTGGAGGTGGGTTAAACACATTTGAACAAGAGTGCCAAGTGATTTTAATGCATCCTGAAGTTCGAGGTCTGGAATATCATGTAGCACACTGTAAAATGAATCGGCATTTTCTTGCCCATGAATACAACATTCCAGTAAGTCCTTTTTTTACTATTTCTCAATGAGCTTCTCTTCCTCCTGCCCCCACTTTTTGCCTCCTAAATTAAACAGCTTCTCTTCTCTCTGCCTCAAAGTCTCCCCTGATCCATAGCCTAGATCTGATATTTTAGAATAGATTCTAGTGTTCATAGGATTATTTGGGTGAAATAATTACCTAGAGCTCCTCAGAGTTAAAAAGCTTCACATCTACAAATACAGACTCAATACCTAAGAAGTTAAATTTAGTCAAATAGCATTGCTTTGTAAAACCAAGAGAGATTTATCATTATAAAGGAGGAATTCTCTTTGAACCAAAATGTTGGTGACCATTAAAAACATGGTGGGACAAAAGGTAGAGATCCCATCCACCTGTAAGTCAGTGATTCTCAACCACAGGCAATTTTGTCCCCCCAAGGACACTTGGTAATGTCTGGAGGCATTTTTGGTCATCACAACAGGGAGATGCTACTGGAATCCACTGGGCCGAAGGCAGGGATGTGACTCAACATTCTACATTGCCCAAGACAGCTCCTAAAACAAAGAATTTCATGTCAAGCGCCAGCGTTGAAAAACCCTGTCATAAATCATAGGGCTGTTTTTCTAAAAGGTCAACCGGACTTGCTAAGATTAAATGAGAACTGGGTGACATTAGAGATAAGAAGCAACAACAGAGACACTCAAGAAAGCCAGGAGCAGAAGCTAGAGGGCACTGCAGTGAAGGAACGAGAACTGTGGATTTTTTGGGTAGTCTGACACTTGGGAAAGGGAAAGGGAGCTCATACTGAGGACAAATGTGGCAGACACTGTTGGTTTGTACCAGAATTAATTCTTCCCATCTTTCAAAGTGATATGATTAGAGCTGGGCATATCACTGCCCAAGGCCACACTGCATATCCTGGCTACCTGGCAGCTGAGTATGACCACGTGACTAAGTTCTCATCAATGAAGGGTGAGCTGATGTCATGTATGCAACTTCCACCCTGAAAGGAAATTGCTGCCCTTCTTCCTAGTGAGCTGAAACACGGACTAACCCATAACAAAGCCTCGGCCAGCAAACTCTACTAAAGATGTAGAAAGTGGCTGGGTGTGGTGGCTCACGCCTGTAATCACAGCACTTTAGGAGGCCGAGGTGGGCGGATCACCTGTGGTTGGGTGTTTGAGACCAGCCTGGCCAACATGGTGAAACCCTGTCTCTACTGAAAATACAAAAATTAGCCAGACGTGGTGACACGTACCGGTAGTCCCAGCTACCTGGGAGGCTGAGGTGGGAGAATGACTTGAACCTGGGAGGCAGAGGTTGCAGTGAGCCGAGATCATGCAACTGCACTCCAGCCTGGGCCACAGAGCAAGACCCTGTCTCAAAAAATAAAAAATAATAAATAATAAAAGTTGCAGATAGTAAATACTTTTGGCTTTGGGGTCCATTTGGTTTGTTGCAACTACTCAACTCTACCTGTTAAAGCAACTGTAGACAGTATGTTAACAAATGAGTGTGGCTGGGTGCCAATAAAACTTTATTTGCAAAAACAATCTGGGAGCCATCATTTGTATATCTCTTCCCTAGGAAACGACAGAAGAACAAGATGAAAGGATCATGGTCCCTGATAAACTTAATAAAGTGAGATACCCCACCAACTCAAATCATTGTTATTAACATGAGACAAAAATGAACATCTCTATTTTTTTTTTTTTTTTTGAGATGGAGTTTTGTTCTTCTTGCCCAGGCTGGAGTGCAATGGCACGATCTCGGCTCACTGCAACCTCCGACTCCCGGGTTCAAGTGATTCTCCTGCCTTAGCCTCCCAAGTAGATGGGATTACAGGCATGTGCCACCATGCCCGGCTAATTTTTGTATTTTTAGTAGAGACGGGGTTTCACCATGTTGGCCAGGCTAGTCTCGAACTCCTGACCTCAGGTGATCCACCTGCCTCGGCCTCCCGAAGTGCTGGGATTACAGGTGTGAGCCACCATGTCTGGTCCTCTATTTCTTAAATGCTGTAGCTTTGGGAGTCTTTGTTATAGCTACTTAATCAAACAGACTATAATTTTCAGACTGAGTTAGGCACCTTACATATTTTTTCATTTTAATCTCTATAAAAGCATTGTTAAAAGAAAAACCTTAGACAAATTAATTTAACAAGAGTTTAATTGAGCAAAAAACAATTAATGAACCAGGCAGCTCCAAACCAGAGTAGGCTCAGAGAGGCTCCAAAGCAGCCATGTGGTGGAAGAAGATTTATGTATAGAAAAAGGAAAGTGAAGGACAGAAAATGTAAGTGAGGTACAGAACCAACCGGAGTGGTTACAACTTGACAGTTGCCTTATTTGGACACAGTTTGAACAGTTGGCCATGTCTGATTGACCAAAACATGAATAGGTTACAGAATGTTTACACATCCAGTTAGGTTACAGTTCACTATGTACAGAGAAACCTTGAGGCCAGACTTAAAATATGTAAAGAGGCAGCTTTAGGCTAAATGTAATTTAACAAGATATTGAGATCAGTATTACCCTATTTTATAAATGGAGAATCCAAGGCTCAGGGACATTTACTGCCCTGTCCACAGTGGTAGGAAATAGCAGAGCTTGGATTTGTGGTTTGAATTCTGACCTATCTTACTTCAAGATTATGTATCTTTAAAAAAAAAAGTCATATACAAAGACATGCAAAGCACAACTATTTATGGTTTTAGGGGAAAAAGATTGATTCTGGGCTTGTTTTGCAACACTGTGCTATGTACCAGTAAACAATGGTAGGCAAATCACATGAAGAAAAGAGCACTCAGAGTTCTCCCAGTTATCAGCCCAAGTTATCTCCTAGTTATCTGGTTTGTCCTTTCAAAATCCAGCCCAATGGCTACTTCTTCCACGAAGGCTTTCCTGAGCCCTCTGTCCTCAACTCAACTCTTACAGGCCTGATAGTTTGTAAACTTTGAGGGGTATTTTGGTTTCAGAATGTATGATTATCTTTCCAGGGATGGGCAGCACCCCCCCAACTCCAGATGGACTGCAGGCTCCTCCAGAGCAGAGCCTGCCTCTTAACCTCATCAACCCCATAGTACCAAGTACTATGCCTTACACATAAAATGCTATTGCAGCTTATAGGTGGGCCACTGGTCTATGACTCTAACAAGCCCTTGTGTATTAGTTCATTTTCAGGCTGCTGACAAAGACATACCAGAGACTGAGTAATTTATAAAGGAAAAGAGGTTTAATGGACTCCCAGTTCCACATGGCTAAGGAGGCCTCACAGTCATGGCAGAAGACGAATGGCACATCTCACCAAGCGAAAGGGGTTTCTCCTTATAAAGCCATCAGATCTCATGAGACTTATTCACTACCATGAGAACAGTATGGGGGAAGCCATACCTCCATGATTCAATGATCTCCCACCGGGTCCCTGTCACAGCACGTGGGAATTATGGGAGCTACAATTCAAGATGAGATTTGGGTGGGGACACAGCCAAACCATATCAGCTGGCAAGGAAAGGAGGCCAATGAAGGACTGAGCTGTTTCGTATCTCCGTGTTCTCACCGATACTGAGCATTTACTTCATGGGAAGATTGCTCATGTGACATGCCCAAAGAGTTAATGTACTCTTTACATATAGGAATGAGGTTAGGTCAAATTGCTCCATCCTCATGTGCTTCAGAAAAGCAAAACCTGGGGGAATTCAAGCATCTCCTTTGCTCTGTTGCTGACAGAGGTCTGCCTTGTTTTCCCTTGTGACATGTTTGCATTTCACTCTCAGAGTGTGCCTACCTCAGTTTTTCATGTATAGCTGGATTTTCTATTGTTCTCATTTAATTCCTTCTCAGATTCTCCAACTGCACGTTGCCCAACAGTAATACAATACCATGCAAAGGCCACCAGGAAACATTCTCCTAGACTCAAGTGACCAGGTTCTGCTAACTTTACAATTCCTCTCCCCAAGCACCTTCCAGCAACCAGAAAAAAACCTCCAGGTCAGCTTCCTTCTCCAATCCCAAAATCTGTTTTGTGACCCTGCTGTGCACACAGAACCCCTAGAAGCTTCCTTCCTAAGTCACTATTAGCTTTCTCATCAGCCATATTTCTAAACCAAAATAACTCATCAGTGAGAAAATAATGCAAAAACTTGAGAAACATTACCAGAATCATAACTTCTACTCTCCCTTTTGAGACTGAGGATCCTCCAGGGCAGGGTCTGAGTCTCGTTCATCTATTTACAAATTTTTTAAATATGTATTTGTGGGTACATAATAGGTATGTATATTAATGAGTTACATGAGATATTTTGATGCAGGCATTCAATGTGTAATAATCACATCAGGGTCAATGGAGTATCCATCACCTCAAGCATTTATCATTTCTTTGTATTACAAACATTCTAATTACACTCTTCTGGTTTTTATTTTTTTTATTTTTTGAGACAGTCTCACTCTGTCACCCATGATGGAGTACAGTGGCACAATCTTGGCTCACTGCAACCTCCACCTTCTGGGTTCAAGTGATTCTCCTGCCTCAGCCTCCTGAGTAGTTGGGATTGCAGGTGCCCACCACCATGCCTGACTAATTTTTTTTTTTTTTTTGTATTTTTAGTAAAGACAGGGGTTTCACCATGTTGGCTAGGCTGGTCTCGAACTCTTGACCTCAGGTGATCCACCCACCTCGGCCTCCCAAAGTGCTGGGATTACAGGCATGAGCCACCATGTCCAGTTATTTTAAAATGTACAATTAAATTATTTTAGTTATTTTTAAATGTATAATTAAACAATTATTGACTATAATCAACCTATGGTGCTATCAAATAGTAGATCTTCTTCATTCTATTTTTTGTATCCATTAACCACCCCCACTTCCACTCCCAGTTCCCCACCACACTTCCCAGCCTCTGGTAGCCATTCTTCTACTCTCCATCTCCATGAGTTCAATTGTTTTAATTTTTAGCTCCCACAAATAAGTCAGAATATATGAAGCTGGTCTTTCTCTGCCTGGCTTATTTCACTTAACATAATGTCCTTCAGTTCCATCTGTGTTTTTGCAAATGACAAGATTTCCTTCCTTTTATGGCTAAATAATATTCCATTGTGTGTATGTACCACATTTTCTTTACCCATTTGACTGTTGATGGACACTTAGGTTATTTCCAAATCTTGGCTATTGTGAATAGTCCTACAGTAAACATGGGAGTGCAGATATCTCTTTGCTATACTGAATTCCTTTCTTTGGGGTATAGATCTAGCCCTATTCAGCTTTATACCCCTAATGTCTAGCCTTTCTACATTTAGTAGTTGATCAAGAAATGTTTGTTGATCAAAATGATTTGTAGCATCCCTTGCATCAAAGGAAGACAGCTGTGCCAAGTGGGAGTGAATTCTCACTGTGAAGCCCACAGGGGGCTGGTCTTCCAAAATCAGGCACTGTCACCCCCTCCACCCCCACCCGCTGGAAGCACCTGCCTGTTACCCTTTATCAGAGTAAGAACAAATACTCTGTTGGTTATGATTCAAGATGCGAAGAGGCCATCACATGCCTTCTAATTAATTAAGGTGGATTAAATCACAGACATTAAAGATTTTGAGTGTTCTGTTATGTTAGCTTTATATTTAAAGACTCAGTGATGACCTATTCCTCTGTGTGCCATGAATCATGTGGTGAATAAGTGATTTAAGGTAACTGCTACATTATACCTGGGAGGGCCTGTCAATATGGCTTGCTATCAACTGCCACTTTATATCAAGGCTAATGGAATGAAATGTAATAGGAAATCCTGGTTTGGAGGAAAATAAAAGAGTGGTTGTTCATTGATTAAATTTACCTGAAAGTCTGACATATCCATCGACCAAATGTTGTATTTCTGAATGAGTCACGTGCTTTTAAGACCCTGCCAGTAAAATGTTGGTTGCATTTTTGACTGATCCCCAAAGCATTTGTTCACTAGGTGAATGCCTGTGATCCTAGGGACCGGGAGCTTCAGAAGCTCCAAACATGCCCAGTCAGTACTGTGGGCCTTGATCCTATCTGCTGCTGAAGACCCCAACCCAGTGGACCTAGAACACAGACCAGAAAGGCCTTGAGAATAAATTGGCCCAAAGCTCACATTCCACAGATGAGGAAACCTTTCTGCTACACTGATTAGTTTCCTATTGCTGCTGTAACAAATTACCCCCAACGTAGTGACTTTAAGCAGCACAGACATACTCTCTTCTGATTCAGGAGGTCAGAGGTCTAAAATGGAGGCCTGGCATGGTGGCTCATGCATGTAATCCCAGTACTTTGGGAGGCCACAGCAGGAAGATCACTTGAGGCCAGGAGTTTGAGACCAGCCTGGGCAAAATGGTGAAACCCCATCTCTACAAAATTAAAAAAAAAATTAGCCCGATGTGGTGGCATACACTGATGTCCCAGCTACTCGAGAGGCTGAGGCGGGCGGGGTGGCAGAATCATCTGAGGCCAGGAGTTTGAGGCTGCAGTAAGCTATGATCACACCAGTGCACTCTAGCCTGGTCAACAGAGTGAGACCCCATCTCAAAAAAAAAGTCTAAAATGGGTCTGCAAGGCTGGGTTCCTTTTGGAGTTTCCAGGGGAGTATTTCTCTCCTTTCCTTTTCCAGCTCCTAGTGACCACCTGCATCTATCAGCTCTTGCCCGCCTTTCTTCATCTTTAAAGCCAATAGGGCAGAGTCTTCTTTCCCATATGACCTCCTGTCTCTCTCGTAAGAGACCTTGTGACTACATGGGGCCTACCCAGGCAATCCAGAATCGTCTCCCCAACTCAAGATCCTTAAATGAATCCCATCTACAGAGTGTCTCTGCCACATAAGGTAACATATTCACAGGTTCCGGGGAGTAGAGTGTTGACATCTTTGGAGGACTGTTATTCAGCCAGCCATGCTGTCAAAAGAGGAAATTTTGTAAACAAGCCACTGAAAATATTTCTCTACAGCCTCGATTGACAGAAGCTCAGGTACCTTGTCAATCTCTGGCAGATGCAGTGGTGAGAGCATAGACTATGAGCGCAGGAATCAGGTGGGCTAAGTCTGAGCCTGAGGCTGCCATTCACAAGCTCTGCAGGCTTGGACCAAGCCATTTATGAATGGTTGATGCCCCAAAAGCCTCGAAACCTTGAAGGAAGTGGTAGGAAATGAGGCAAGTAGACAGAGAGTGAGAGACTTGAAGCGCACTGATGAGCTGCGTGCAGAAACGTGAGTTTCACAAAAGCAGAGATCTCCTTTGCTTTGTCTACCCCTGCGCCCTCAGTGCCTAGAATAGCGCTACCATAAAAAATGTTTGATGAACGAGTGTTCAATGTCATGAACAGGTTCATATTAAAACTGACCCTGGTGAACACTTTTACATGACTGGCGGGAATGTAAACTAGTATAACCACTATGGAAAACAGTATGGAGATTCCTTGAAGAACTAAAAGTAGAACTACCATTCAATCCAGCAATCCTACTGGGTATCTACCCAAAAAAAAAGAAGTCATTATATGAAAAAGATAAATGCACATGCAAGTTTATTGCAGCACAATTCACAATTGAAAGATATGGAACCAATCTAAGTGCCCATCAACCAAATGGATGAAGAAAATGTAGTATATATACACCATGGAATACTACTCAGCCATTAAAAGGAATGAAATAATATCTTTTGCAGCAACTTGGATGGAGCTGGAAGCCATTATTCTAAGTGAAGTAACTCAGGAATGGAAAACCAAATATTGTATGTTCTCACTTATAAATGGGAGCTAAGCTATGAAGATGCAATAGCATAAGAATGATATAATGGACTTTGGGGAATCAGGTGGGAAGATGGGAGGGGATTGAAAGATAAAAGGCTACACACTGGGTATAGTGTACACTATTTGGGTGATGGGTACACCAAAATCTCAAAAATCACCCCCAAAGAATTTATTCACATAACCAAAAACCACCTGTACCCCAAAAACTATTGAAATAAAAATAAAAAGTAAAATAAAATTGACCCTGGCATAGAGTTGGGTCCAATAAATATTTGTAGTAAATAATACAATACATGAACTCTAGTGGAGATGTGGTTTAGTGGCTTTTATTATTTCCTTCTCAAAAAGGGTTGCAAACTCCAATGCATATGGTGCCGGGAGGCTGAGAGAGAGAATGTGTAGCTGCTCTAAAATGCACAGAGACCAGTCAGCCCCTGATTATTCTTGCCACTGAGAATTTGGGCTCAGTGCAGCCAGATTTTCTGATATTTTTATTTAAAGAGACACCCCAAATCCAGATTTTCATAGCAGATCATTGGTGTTTAAACATTGTCTCAAATTGTTTTAAACATCGTTTGTTAGGGCCAGCTGAAATGTCTGCCAGCCAAATTCAGACCAAGGCCCTCACTTTGCTACGCCTCTTCTTCCACCTTCCTTAATTTCCAGGGCAGTGAGGGTTTGATAATGAGACAGCCTTGAATGGCTTGTTGATCAGAATTTAAAAAGGGAAGAAGAGAAGGGTCTCCCACACACATAAAAAAGCGCAGCCTAATAAGATTCCCATGTGGGCCCCCTCCTAAAAAAGAAATCGAGATCAGAGAGATAATTCGCTGCCAATCAGACCACAGCAACCAGAAATGCGGCCTTCTCTTTGTGAGGCTTGAGGTGTTGCTGATAAATTAAGCAGGGCCCAAGGACAGTCCCAGATTCTAGAACCCCACTCAAGTCCTCGGATTGCAATTACAAGGTAAGAAACACCACTTAGACCCCGTTGCAGAGTACTATCTTCATAACTGAGGTGCACATACTTGTCCATGGATGTCTTTTATTTAAGCATGGATTATTTACTTCCTCGGATTTTTTTATGACAAAGCATCACTGATCCCCCTGTCTGGGCAGCAGCATTTCTTATCCAGCATCACTGGGCAGGCTCTCAGATGTGCAGGCTCAGGCTCAGCATGTAGCAGCTGCTCTAGCAGGTTAAAGCTGAAGGGGATGGAAGTTGAGACTGGATGAGCTCCCTGAGAGCTCACGCCTCAGGATGGAAAGGTGAAAAGTTCCAGGTGGAGTCTTATCTGTTCTGGCAATTATGCAGTGATCGTGGAAGAGTCAGTGACCCTTTCTGGGTCTCAGTTTCCAAATCTGTAGACTAAGGGAGCTGCCAGGTATGGTTGTTACCAGAAGGGTGTCCTGATCCAGACCCCAAGAGAGGGTTCTTGGATCTTGCACAAGAAAGAATTTGGGGCGAGTCCATAAAGTGAAAGTAAGTTTATTTAGAAAGTAAAGGAATAGCTCTCTCTCCTCCTGCCATTCAAGATGCCGAAAGGAAAGAAGGCCAAGGGGAAGAAGGTGGTTCCGGCCCCTGCTGGCATGAAGAAACAGGAGGCCAAGAAAGTGGTGAATCCCCTGTTTGAGAAAAGGCCTGAGAATTTTGGCATTGGACAGGACATCCAGCCTAAAAGAGAACTCACCCACTTTGTGAAATGGCCCCGCTATATCAGGTTGCAGCGGCAGAGAGCCACCCTCTATAAACGGCTGAAAGTGCCTCCTGTGATTAACCAGTTTACCCAGGCCCTGGACTGCCAAACAGCTACTCAGCTGCTTAAGCTGGCCCACAAGTACAGACCAGATCCAAAGCAAGAGAAGAAGCAGAGGCTGTTGGCCTGGGCCGAGAAGAAAACTGCTGGCAAAGGGGACATCCCCACTAAGAGACCACATGTCCTTCGAGCAGGAATTGACACCGTCACCACCTTGGTGGAGAACAAGAAAGCTCAGCTAGTGGTGATAGCACACAACGTGGATCCCATCGGGCTGGTTATCTTCTTGCCTGCCCTGTGTCGTAAAATGGGGGTCCCTTACTGCATTATCAAGGGGAAGGCAAGACTGGGCCGTCTAGTGCACAGGAAGACCTGCACCACTGTCGCCCTCACACAGGTGCACTTGGAAGATAAAGGCGGTTTAGCTAAGCTGGTGGAAGCTATCAGGACCAATTACAATGACAGATATGATGAGATCCGCCGTCACTGGGGTGGCAATGTCCTGGGTCCCAAGTCTGTGGCTCGCATCGCCAAGCTTGAAAAGGCAAAGGCTAAATAACTTGCCACTAAACTGGGTTAAATGTACACTGTTGAGTTTTACACACATGAAAATAATTAAAATAATACAAATTTTAAAAAGAAAAAAAGAAAGTAAAGGGATGAAGAATAGTTACTTCATAGGGCAGAGCAGTGGTGTGGGCCACTCAGCTGCTTGTACTGATAGTTATTTCTTGATTGTATGCTAAACAAGAGGTGGATTATTCATAAGTTTTCTGGGAAAGAGGTGGGCAATTCCTGGAACTGAGGAATTCCTCTCCCTTTTAGATCGTATAGGGTAACTTCCTGATGTTGCCTTGGCATTTGTAAACTGCCATGGTGCTGGTGGGAGTGTCTCTTAGCATGCTAATGCATTATAACTAGCATATAATGTGCAGTGAGGACGACCAGAGGTCATTCTCATTGCCATCTTAGTTTTGATGGGTTCTGGTCACTTCTTTACCACAACCTACTTTAACAGCAAGGTCTTTATAACCCGTATCTTGTGTTGACCTCCTACCTCATCCTGTGACTTAGAATGCCCTAACCTCCTAGGAATGCAGCCCAGTAGGTCTCAGCCTTATTTCACCCAGCCCTATTCAAGATGGAGTCACTCTGGTTTGAATGCCTCTGACATGGTGACTCAAGCCTACAGTCCCAGCTACTTGGGAGGCTGAGGTAGGAGGATCACTTGAGCTCAAGGGTTTGAGGCTGCAGTGAGCCATAATATACCACTGCACTTCAGCCTGGGTGACAGAACGAGAATCCCACTAAAAAGAAAAGAAGAAAGAAAAAAGAAGGAAGAATTTAAAAAAAAAGGAAGGAGAAGAAGGAAGAAGAGAGCTGGCTGTGAAATGGCTTGCAGGTCCTCCCTGATGTGGCAGTCTCTGATTCTGTGACTCCATCTCCCTTCGTGATACCATCCACTTCCTCTGGTGTCACATAGGACTTCAGTGATGCCCATCAGCATCTGCCAGGCATAGAAGCAACAGGGCATGCAAAGATCCAAGAGAGGGGATAATAGAGCCTGCTTCCTCCACATTTCCCTTGACCAGATCAAGCTGATCGACAGCAACTTTGGTACCAAATCTCCTAGCCAGTGTGCCCACTTATTCATACCATGACCTTGCAGGAAGCCAAAAAATTTCACCCCAAAATATATTTCTTTGACATATTTCAAGATGGCTATTCAGAAGGGCTGGAAATAGAAGAGTAGCTAAGAAGCTGTCTTTTGCAGAGAAATTTGCATCTGTAGAGAAAGCCCGCATCCCTGCAGCCAGGCTTTCTGAGGTCCTCCCTGGTCCAGATCTAGGAAAGATGAACTGAGAGTCTGACATCTCTCAAGATCTGAAAGGAACATTTCCCACCTTTTCTCTCTGAGGGCTGCTACCCATGAGGTTTCACCTACATGACAAGACCACCTTTGCTAGCCAGGCGTCCTCTTCTCTCCCTTCCATAACCTGTTTTGCCACTGTAACCTGATTTACCACCATAACCTGTTCTGGGCTGGGTTCTGGGCCCCCATTCTTTGTGTAACCTCAAGATGGTATAAAAGCATCAACCATCTGGCCATTTCTTTGAGATCTTATATTATGTCAGACTCCCATGCATATCAGTAAACTTATATACTTTTTCTCCTACTAATTTGCTTTTTGTCAGTTGATTTTTAGAGAACCTTCAGAGGGTGGAAGGGAAGTATTCCTACAACCTCATATCCACCTCTGTCCATTTGAAGAAAATTGTTCTGAACAATTCTGGGAAGAATGCTGAGAAAGAGATTATTTTTGACCACAGACCAACTCAAATATCTTTCTTCTTAATCCTCTGAATAAATGATTCATGGAATGCATGCATTTTGAGGAATTGAATGCTTTTCAGTTGTTTTCCTGGAACTTTCCATTTCTGAACAGTAATAAATATACCCAGACATATAGCTGAGTGACTATCAGAATGTCCCATGTGTCTGTTACATTTGCTCCAGAAAAATTCATTAATAAATAAACATATTCCATAAACATGCCAGATAAAACAAAGGTAATGAGATTCACTTTTAACAAGTCAATATTGAGAATAACAAATGATGACTTTTTTAGGGGATTTTCCTGTAAGTTTCCTGAAAGCCCCATAAATCTTTTCCTTCACCTACTTCTATCCATGACTATTTTCTCCTGATTAAAAATTTACCATCCCACAATTAAAAATCCAATCAATTACACAATTACAAGAAAATGATAAGAATGTGGAAAATGGCAAAGAAACATGGGAGTGAGTCTTCTGATTGCTCAAATTCTCTTAATGCCCCAAATGAACCAAGGCTGCTACCCAATGTATTTTCTCAGGGGGATTGGAGTGTAGGTGGGATTGGCAGCCAGGGTCAAGTGTGATTTGAATATTATCATTATTATTATTATTATTATTGAGACAGTCTCACTCTGTCACCCAGGCTGGAGTGCAGTGACATGATCATAGCTCACTGTAGCCTTGAACTCTTGGGCTCAAAGGATGCTCCTGTCTCAGCCTCCCCAGTAACTAGGACTACAAGCACATACCACAATGCCAGCTATCTTTTTATTTTTAATTTTTGTAGAGACAGTGTCTCACTATGTTGCCCAGGCTGATCTCAAACTCCTGACCTCAAGCAATCCTCCCACCTCAGCCTCCCAAAGCACTAAGATTATAGATGTCAGCCCCTGCACATGGCCCAATTTGAAGAATATTAAAAGTGTATTGTGCTGAAATGGCTTTCCCCACTGTCACTGGGTTCTGTGACTTCCATTCTGATGGTGTCCTGCACATAGTAAGGACTCGAATGAATGAGTTAAGTCTTGATTGGCCAAGGTACAGGGTCACATTTGTTTTGTACGATAAGGTTTGCAAAAGTCCAAGGTAGAGAAGAGTATCCCACTAGGCTTTCTCAGCTTAACGAAAATACTCCCTAAGCTTAAAATGGTATTATGGAAAGGAGATTTGGAATCTTATAGACCTGGTTGAAGCCTAGCCCCACACTTGCAAACCAGTTTCATGATCTTGAACAAGATCTTAATATCCCTGAGTCTCAGTTTTACATTCATCTTCAAGTAGCTGTAATAAGGTCTAATTCACAGAATGGTTAGGGGTAGAATAAAATAACCTATCTAAATTACCTAGAGCAGCAATGAAGATAGCAGATAATCAGTAAATATTTAGGTTTTTCTCCCAACCCATCTCTACCCACCAATCCTTCGGCTTTAATTACTTTTATTTTAATTCAGCTTTTCCATGTAACCAAAGCAGGAAAAAATGTCTAACAAACTATTCAAAATATTTTTTCTCATTATTAAGTACATTACATAGTGATTTATCAATCAAAGTTGTATTATTATTTGTTTTTGGAACTTAATGGTTAGAATCTGAAAAAAAGAAGAACCATTCTGAGCCCACAAAGTTTTTCTCTATAAAGAGTTTGAAGGTCTGCATTCACTATTTTTGCAGACTGAACTTTGTTTTAAGGAAATCCTTTGCTTGTATGGATTTGAAAGAAAACACTGCAAGATTGTCCCTGCTGCTTTGGAGTGACCATTGACCTGAATGCAATATTTCACATTGAGGAGAAATTTGGTTGAAGAATTAGAACATTGCTAGACTTAATTGAGCTAAAGCCATTTAAGAATCTCTTGCCAAAAAAAGAATGTCTTGCCTTTTGATGGTGGTGGGGGTGATAGTCTCTGGGGAGAGTAATGGAGTGTTCTTAGCTCTGTGTGACTCTAGAGGGCCTTCTGCACACTGATGCTTGTGCTCTGGAAACTGTTGGTGGAAAATCTGGATTGGAGAGATGGCAGGAGAAAGGACCTGTGTTTCTTTCTAGAAGATTCTTCACACCAGAGCAGAGATGGTGGAAAATACTGGCTTGAGCTTGGCACAGACCAACACAGACTAGTGTATCAATTCTCCTAAGTGATGTTATCAATGAATAAACGACTCAGAACATACTGATATCAGACCATTATGTTCCAAAGATATTATCCTGCTGGAGACACAGAGCAAGGTCATTACCCTGTGTGTAGGAGTGGGTTCCTCCGGAGGGAAGTAGATACTTCCATTGTTAATTCTTGAAGGAAATGGTAGATTATGGAACAGGAACCCAGGGCAATTGGGTGTGGGACTTATGCTGAGCTTCCGGCAAAATGTTTCTTCTCTTTCTGCGGCTCATGACATCCTGGCATCAACTGTCCTGTGAGCCATCCATGGAAGAAGGTCTCTTCTGAAGCCACAATGGAGGTAGCTTAGGTAGATGCAGTGAAGAATCGCTGTGCCCAGGGCAGCCGTCAGTAGTAACAGAGCTGATGGGACAATGGCTCAGAGAGGAGGCAGTGCTACAAACACAAGGACCTAGTGGAGAGCACACCACAGACATGTCGCACTAGGGGGCTGCCTTGGGAGAGGCAACTGTTCTTCCTGGTAAGGGGAGGTTCAAGCCAATGTCAGATAATAAAGGAAATCTAATCACATCGTATATTCATAGGCTTCTTAGGTTTTAATATTTTGTTTACAGATGAATCATTTCCCTAAGCCTGCTCGTCTCAATTGACCTGGTTAAAATTGTTTCCAAACCCAGCAATTCTAAAGAGCAGAACTTGATCAGAATGGAAACTTTCTGGACTTGCTCACTAAAACTAAGACCCTCATCTCAGCCCACCCAGTGAGCATACCTGGAGTTTTTGTTATTTCTTTCAAAAGACTCCCCCAGCCACCCCATCCTGCCTTTTAACAGAAAGGAAAAAAAATGTGTGTTGATTCAGCCCCGCCATACTGGTATTTATGCACCAGAGACAAATTATGTCTTCATTAT